>NC_000002.12:919090-1222121 GCF_000001405.40 Homo sapiens | reverse complement strand
GAGAGACAGAGAGAGACAGAGAGAGACAGAGAGAGACAGAGACAGAGACAGAGAGAAACAGAGACAGAGAGAGACAGAGAGAGACAGAGATAGGCAGAGACAGAGAGAGACAGAGAGAGACAGAGACAGAGACAGAGAGAGACAGAGACAGAGACAGAGAGAGACAGAGACAGAGACAGACAGAGACAGAGAGAGACAGAGAGAGACAGAGACAGAGACAGAGAGAGACACAGACAGAGACAGAGAGAGAGAGAGACAGAGACAGAGACAGAGACAGAGACAGAGAGAGACAGAGAGAGACAGAGACCGAGAGAGAGACAGAGACAGACAGAGACAGAGACAGAGAGAGGCAGAGACAGAGAGAGACACAGACAGAGACAGAGAGAGACAGAGACAGAGATAGAGACAGAGACAGAGACCGAGAAGAACCGAGAGAGAGAGAGACCGAGACCGGGGGGGACCGAGACAGAGGTTGGGGGGAACCGGAGCACCGACACGAGACACAGACAGAGACAGAGATACACAGAGCGACAGCGACAGACAGAGACAGAGAGAGAGAGAGAGGACACACAGAGACAGAGATAGAGACAGAGATAGAGAGAGACAGAGAGAGAGAGAGAGACAGAGAGAGACAGAGAGAGAGAGAGACAGAGAGACAGAGACAGAGAGAGACAGAGACAGAGACAGAGAGAGACAGAGACAAAACCAGAGACTGAGAGGGACAGAGACAGAGGGAGGGGCAGAGAGACACAGAGAGAGGCAGAGACAGAGGCAGAGACAGCAACAGAGAGACAGAGACAGGGAGAGACAGAGACAGAGAGGGACAGAGAGACAGAGAGAGGCAGAGACAGAGACAGACCTCTGAGAGACAGAGAGAGGCAGAGGCAGAGACAGACTCAGAGACAGAGGAGCACCCGGGGAATCTCGGAAGCAGTGTCACACAGTGCGGGTGGGGACCACTGCCCCAGAGAAAGCGTAACGGAGCCTAGAGAAGTGAGTTGGGAGAATGACACAGATGCAGAGTGATTTCTCAAGAATGATTCTGAATTCCCAGGAAAGAAGGAGCAGATGCAGTTCCACCCAGAGAAGGCAACTCAGAGCTGCTCCGCACATCTGTTGGATGGGGAGGGGTGTCAGGGTGCCTCCGAAAATCAGCAGCCCTTGTTCTCTATCAGAGCAAACTCAGGAGAGCTACCTTAGGTAGTCATTCATCTGCTTAGCAGTGGGTCCACCCTGATTCACCTACGTGCCCGTGGAGGGGGCGGCCCAGGGCTGGGCACCACGGAAGACACCCCCACCAGAACTGCCGGGTGTTGAAGGCAGCACTGGCTTCTGAGAAGACTTAAGGACCTCCAGATCTTAAACACGTGGCCCCTGCCCTTATCAGAGTAGGACACATGCCAGAGAACTGGGCGTTTGTAGAGATCTAAGTGGAATGGGATTATTCTCTTTCTGTCAACATGAACACCCTAATCTTCTATCGTCAAAAGAAAGTTTTCAGAAAATTTAAAGATGGCGTAATGAGAAAGAAACAGCAGCTCTGTCACCTGCTAGCAGCCAGCAGGGCTGTGGGGTTCCTCTGAAAAACACAGAGTCCCACATGTCATCAACCTCAGACCGGGGCTCTCCAGGGACATGAGGCAACAAGGCAGAGCAGCAGCAGGGGACACACGACATGCCGTCCAACCACAAAGGTCCCATAGGTCCCTGGCGGGCTGCTGGCCTGAGGGAGGGGCTGCTGCTCCCACAAGCCTGGCCTGGATCCTGCCACTTCCTGTCTCATGCTCCTGGATAGAAATTAAGCCAGACACTGCTGACACAGCCCACGCTCTGACGGCACCCAGTGCAGGGCAAGCCCTGATCTCCTGGCCCTTCCTAGAACCACCCAACACATTCCCACATTCCATAACAAGCCCCCTTTCCTGAGGCCCCACAGCTGCCAGGACACTGTCTCCCTGGAAGCCCGGGTAAGGAGTGCCCTGTGTGCGGGACGCGCGAGCTCAGAGCATCGAGTGCTGTGCTCTTGGGATGGACGAATTCCAGAAAACTCACCACAGGATTCTTTTTGGTATGACTATTTAAACATGATACTCTCCTTTGCAAAACAAATTAGAGTATTTAGCAGTATAATTCTGACTTGCAGTATCACTTTTCAAAATCTGCTTATCTGTAGTAGGTCTGTTTCCATTATGACTACTATAGAGCCCATCTGCCTTCTTCTTCTGAAATAAGGTGAGTGCCTACAAAGCAAATGAAATTTTATTGTAACTCACAAAACATAATTTCATTGTATTTTTAAAAAACATGGTAGATGTGGGGCAAAAAGACCCCTAAGCTAAGGGTTTTCTCTCTTCCTCCCTTACTACTTAACTCCCTCCCTTTCCCTCTTCCTCTCCGCCTCCCCTCCCCTCGCCTCCCCTCCACTCCCCTCCCTTCCCTTTCTTTCCTTCTATGTTTTAGAAAAAAAAAAGAAAGTCAATTACTTTTAATCAATTTGAGGCCTGCCTAAAACAAGAGGCATGGACAGGGCTCCTGTGAGCAGATAAATAAAAAGCAGTTCCTCCTGTAAAGAGTTGCATAAAAAGCAGTTCCTCCTGTAAAGAGTTGCAAAGTGATGCACAGAAATTCTGTGGCACAGAGATTCTGGAGCTGTTTAATTGCTCATCTTTGGGGATAATCACTCAAATCTGAATTTCCTGCCTTCTGTTCAGTCATTCCTTATTCCATAAACAATTTGTATTGGTCCATTCTCACACTGCCATAGAGAAATACGCAAGACTGGATAATTTATAAGGAAAAGAGGCTTCCTTGGCTCTGGTGGCACAGGTTGTACAGGAAGCATGGCGACATCTGCTGGGACTCTGGGGAGGCCTCAGGAAACTTACAATCATGGCGGAAGGCAAAGGGGGAGCCAGCACTTGACATGGGCATAGCAGGAGTTGGAAGGAAAGAGGGCAGGTGCCATACACTTTTAACAGCTGGTTCTCATGAGAACTCACTCACTATCACAACAGTACCGAGGGGTTGGGTGCTAAACCACTCATGAGAAATCTGCCCCGTGATCCAGTCACCTCCCACCAGGACCTACCTCCAGCACTGGGGATTATATTTCAACATGAGATTTGGGTGGAAACCCAGACCTAAACCGCATCACAATTAAAAATCACTGAACTCCTGCTGCTTCAAACCTCCTTTAAACGTACAGTTTTATTTTTTCTTACCTTCATAAACTATCTTAGAAAGCAGTAAAGTATTATATCATCTCCCACCCTACTTGGTTAAACCAGCAAAGAAGCCATCACAAGAGCCCCCATGAGTTACCTAGGTCATGGCCCCAAGAGGGTGAAGCAGGATTAGAAATCTCTTAGTTCCTATCCCCGTACTATTCCTTCATACCACCTGCTTCCCCAGGGGCACATCCCAGAGGCACCACAGCTCTTCCTCTTTTCTGAGCCTCTTGTGAAGCTTCCTCACTTGCAAAATGATTGTGGATACTTTTCAAGCACAGACATTTCTCTTGTTCTTAAGTATTTCTTCACTCTCTATTTTCTGAAACACACATGCTATGGGCAGGAGCCTGGCTCAAATCCAGCTTTGTCCAACGGTACCATGTGGAAGAACAGCCAACCATCATCCAAGCCACTTTTGTTTTAAAAGGATGAATTTCTAAGAAGCGTGGACGTGCTATGGGCTTTCCAGAGGGAAACAGAGGTTGAGACACTAGAGCAGGCAGAGTTCTAAGGCAGCCCCCAGTTCTCAGACCTTGGTGGAAACATCTGCTCCAGTTATTCAATCAACAGAAACTAGGTGTTTCTGTGAAGGGATTCTGCAAATGCAATCAACGTCTCAACTCAGCTGACCTTGAGTTAGGGAGATTTATGCAGGGGTACAGCCTGAACACATGGCCCTTTACGTCTGGGTCTAGAGGTCAGAGTGAAGGAAGTCATAGATTGGAGGCTTATGGGGTTACCTGTTACCTGCTGCTGGCTTGAGGGCAGAGGGTGACCATGTCAATGAACATGGTGGTCTCTGGTGGTGGAGAGCAGCCCTTGGCTGACAAAGGTGGGGAACTGAGTCCTATAAAGTCAAGGGACTGAATTCTGCCAGCAACCCTGAGTGAGCCTTGAAGATGGGAACACAGCCCAGCCGACACCTTGGTTTCAGCCTGGTGAGATCCCAAGCAGAGGACCAGCCGGGAGCTGCCGGACTCCTGACCCATGAGGACTGTGAGATAATAAAACAGTCTTGTGTTACCTGCTAAGTTTGCACAGGTTTGTTACATGGCAATAGAAAACTGATATGGTAAAGACAGACAAAACTCTAGCATCTCCACCACCATGGCCACCCCATCAACAATGCTTTTCTTCACCTGATGTCAGAGAAATGTCTGCATAACAGACATTTCTACATAACAGAAATGTACATACATTTCTACATACAATGTACTACATTTCTACATAATAGAAATGTAGACTACATAATGTCTATATAAGCCAGTAGTCAGGATCGCATGGTTATGCTAAGTTACCTGTGATGCTGCATAACGACCTACCGAGTGTCACAGGACAGGGGTTATTTTCCTGTTGGAGAACTTGAGGGAAAGCCCCACTCTGTGGCATCTGCTGATGTCCATTAGGAAGAATGCTTATGTTTTTATGTCTTTTTTAGTTTCATCTCAATATTCTCCCTTCAAATTCTTAGTGAACAATCTTTTCTCGTACTGTGTAGCCAATGATTTAATCCTCATTCACAATGACACATAATTTATCCAAACGCATAGTTCCCATTTTACCAAAGAACCACTTGAGTATAAGCTTGATCTGACAATGGAATGGAGGAAAATAACTTCTGCCAGTGCACGGGCTTGTAACATGTTGGAGGCAAATGGAAATAAAAACAGTTGCACTTATTACATGTGATTTGTATCATATAAATACATATTTAAAATGAATTAGACTTCAGTATGCATCTACTCTTTATAGTCTTTTTTTTTTAAAAAAAGAACTGAGAAAACTAAGGAACCTCAACCATCATTGGTCTAATTACTTAACAAAAGAAAAGACCCAAGGGTGATGTCGGCACATGGTGGAATGGGAAGTCCCCCTGCTCATATTCCCCACAGCAACAATGAAGGGTGAAGGGTGAAGGGGAAGCAAGCTTGGCCCTTTTTCACATGGCAGCAGGAGAGAGAAGAGTGAGGAGTGAAAGGGAAAGAGCCCCTTACAAAACCATCAGATCTGATGAGAATTCACTCGCTATCATGAGAACAACATGGGGGAACTACCCCCATGATCCAATCATCTCCCACCAGGTCTCTCCCTAGGCACGTGGGATCATGAAGATTACAATTCAAGATGATATTTGGGTGGAGACACAAAGCCTAACCACATTACTACTGTTCACACAAGGACCCAGAGGGACTCTCCTGTCTGTGCCTCCAGCATGCTGGTGGGTTCCCATCCCACTGTAGATGCTGAATGGGCCCTGGACAATTATATGTCAACAGATTAGATAACCTGAGAAAATCAACAAATGGGATCTAATTAAACTAATGGGATCTAATTAAACTAAAGAGCTTCTGCACAGCAAAAGAAACTACCATCAGAGTGAACAGGCAACCTACAGAATGGGAGAAAATTTTTGCAATCTACTCATCTGACAAAGGGCTAATATCCAGAATCTACAAAGAACTCAAACAAATTTACAAGAAAAAAACAAACAACCCCATCAAAAAGTGAGCGAAGGACATGAACAGACACTTCTCAAAAGAAGACATTTATGCAGCCAAAAATCACATGAAAAAATGCTCATCATCACTGGCCATCAGAGAAATGCAAATCAAAACCACAATGAGATACCATCTCACACCAGTTAGAATGGCAATCATTAAAAAGTCAGGAAACAACAGGTGCTGGAGAGGATGTGGAGAAATAGGAACATTTTTACACTGTTGGTGGGACTGTAAACTAGTTCAACCATTGTGGAAGACAGTGTGGTGATTCCTCAAGGATCTAGAACTAGAAATAGCATTTGACCCAGCCATCCCATTACTGGGTATATACCCAAAGGACTATAAATCATGCTGCTATAAAGACACATGCACACGTATGTTCAATGTGGCACTATTCACAATAGCAAAGACTTGGAACCAACCCGAATGTCCATCACTGATAGACTGGATTAAGAAAATGTGGCACATATACACCATGAAATACCATGCAGCCATAAAAAATGATGAGTTCATGTCCTTTGTAGGGACATGGATGAAGCTGGAAACCATCATTCTCAGCAAACTATCACAAGGACAAAAAACCAAACACTGCATGTTCTCACTCATAGGTGGGAATTGAACAATGAGAACACCTGGACACAGGAAGGGGAACATCACACACCAGGGCCTGTCATGGGGTTGGGGGAGGGGGGAGGGATAGCATTAGGAGATATGCATAATGTAAATGATGAGTTAATTGGTGCAGCACACCAACATGGCACATGTATACATATGTAACGAACCTGCACGTTGTGCACGTGTACCCTAGAACTTAAAGTATAATAAAAAAAAGAAAAAAAAGAAAAAAAAGAATTAGTGTAAAACACGCTTTTAAAAATGTTAAAAAAAATTCCTAGAAACATACAACCTATCACAATGGAATTAAGAGGAAACAGATCATCTAAATAAACTAATAACAGGTAAGGAGATCAAATCAGTAATAATAATTAACAAAAATAATAAATCTTTCATCAAAGAAAAGCTGAAGACCAGATGTCTTCACTGCTGAATTCTACCAAATAAATAGTGAAAAACTTATACCAATTCTTCTTAAATTCTTCACAAAAAATTGAAGAGTAGGGAACACTTCCAAACTCACCTTTATGAGGCCAGCATTATCCTAATACCAAAGCCAGATGAGAACCTTACAAGAAACAAAAATTACAGGCCAATATCCTTGATGAACATACGTGCAAACATCTTCATCAAAATACTAGTTACCTGAATTCAATAGCACATTAAAAAGATCAGTCACCATGATCAAGTGGGATTCATGCCTTGGATGCAAGCATGGTTCAACACATGCAAAATCAATAAATCTAATTCACCATATTAACAAAATGAAAGACAAAAACCATAACATTGTAGCAATAGATGCAGAAAAACATTTGACAAAATTCATTATCCTTTCATCATCAAAGCTCTCAACAAATTAGGTATGAAGGGAATGTACTTCAACACAATAAAGAACACGTGTGACAAGCCCACGTCTAATATCATACTTAATGATGAAAAGCTGAAAGGTTTTCCCTTAAAATCCAGAACAAGATAAATATGTGCACTCTCACCACATCTATACAACATAGTACTGGAAGTGCTAACAAGAACAATTATGAAAAAGAAATAAAACACATCTAAATAGAAAAGGAAGAAGTGAAATTGTCTCTGTTTGCTGATGACATAAGCTTATATATAGAAAACTCTAAAGACTCAAAAAAACTGTTAGACTTAATAAAGGAATTTAGAAAATTTGCAGGATACAAAACAACACTCAGAAATCAGTAGTATTTTGTTCACTAACAATGAACTATACAAAAAAGAAATTAATAAAACAATCCCATTTACAGTAGTATAAAAATATAAAATACCTAGGAGTAAATTTAACGAAAGAGATGAAAGATCTGTACAATGAAAAATATACATTGATAAAGGAAATTATAGATGACACACAAAAATGGAAAGATATCCTGCATTCATGGATTGGAAGAGTTAATGTTGTTTAGATACCATACTACTTAAAATGATATACAAAATTCTATGAAGTCTCTATCAAATTCCAATGATATTTTTCAAAGAAATAGAAAACACAATCCTAAAATGTATATGGAACCATAAAACACTCTGAATATCCAAACTATCTTGAGCATAAAAAGCAAAGATGGAGGCATCACACTACCTGATTTCAAAACATATTATAAAGCTATAATAATCAAAACAGCAAGGCACAAGCATAAACACAGGTACATTGGCCAATGGAACAGAATAAAAAGCCAGAAATAAACCCACAGATCTATGGTCAATTGATTTCAACAAAAGTGCCAGGAACATATCATGAGGAAATGACAGTCTCTTCCATATATGGTGTTCAGAGAACTGGATATCCACATGTGGGAGAATGAAACCAGAAGCTTATCTCACACCATATGCAAAAATCAAAATGGATTAAGGAGTTAAATGTAAGACCTGAAACTATAAAACTACTAAAAGAAAACATAGGGAAAAGCTCCACGACTTTTATTTGGTTAATGATTTCTTGAATATGACCCAAAAGCACAGGTGACAGAAGAAACAATATCTTTGTGAGGTTTGCATGTTTGCTCTGTGTCTGTCTGCATGGGTTTTTCTAAGCACTCTGGTTTCCTCCCCACAAAGACATGCAGGTAAGGTTAATTGCTGTGTCCAAATGGTCCCAGGCTGAGTGGCTGTGGGCATGTGTGAGCCATCCTGCAGTGGGATGGCATCCTGTCCAGGGCTGTTGCCCAGCTTGAGCCCTGAGCTTCCAGCACAGACTCCAGTCTCCCCAACCCTGAATGAAATAATTGGGCAAATAATTATCTTACTTGTTTTTATTAATCTTTCTTAAATGTATGCAAAGCTCATATTTATTTCAATGTTTAATATTTGAAGTGTTTTGGTCTTTATTTAGAAGTTTGGTGATATTTTGTGACCAAAAATATGCTGTAAGAATCTAACTCTTATTTATAGCTATTAGCCTATGGGAAAATTGGTTTCTTTATACATCTTTTCACTCCAAGTTGCAGTTTCTGAGGACCAATCAATGATGTTAAGTGAGTAAGTACTGTATTGTATATTTCAAAATTGCTAAAAGAGTAGATTTTAAATATTTTCACTACAAAAATGCTAAGCATGTGATGTTACTGACATGCCAAGTAGCTTGATTTAATTATTCCATAATGCAAACATGTATTGAAACATAACATTGTACATTAATTATATATGATTATTATTTGTCAATTTTTAGAAAGGACCCAGAAGGTAGTGGTTATAGATTGAGGTCCTATACTTGGACAAGGACAGAGTCAGAGGGGACACCCACAGGATGCTGGCTTCCAACCTCTTCATCCTATTTATGTTTCCATTATATGATATCTAAAGGTTCCTCCTGGGCTACAGCTTACAGCTTTTGTTTTAAGATTCTAAAACCTGTTTGATTTAGAATTGACAATTTCTAAACTTATTCCTTACCCTCCTTAGACTGAGGAGCCCTCAGGAGAAGATACACAGGAATTTTAGAACTCCATCCACTGGGATCAACACACCCAAGTCTCTTCTCTTTTTCATCCATTTAAAATGAGACCTGAGGAGCTTACAGGTAAGGTGGAGCTAAGAACAGCATCTCAGCCTCTAAATGGGACTTTGCACAAATATGTTTCAGAACAAACAGGTTTTATAAAATTCATAGCTTAAGCCCTTATGCGTTTTATTATTTGCCCTTTCCTGCCCATACTAAATCTTGCTTAAAAATCATAAAACAGTCAGCAAGCTAGTAAGACATATTTGCCTTTATAAAACAAAATATTCTTGTCTTATGAAAAATTATAAACCTTTCAGTTTGCTGTTACAGTGTGTATTGGTCCGTTCTTGCACTGCTGTAAAGAAATACCTGAGAATGGGTAATTTATAAAGAAAAGAGGCTTAACCAGCTCACAGTTCTGTAGTCTACATAGGAAGCATGGCAGCTTCTGCTTCTAGGAAAGCCTCAGGAAACTTCCAATCATGGTGGAAGGCAGAAGGTGAGCGAGACACCTTACATGGTAGGAGCAGGAGCAAGAGAAAGAGAGAGAGTGGGGAGGTGCCACACAGTTTTAAATGACCAGATATCAGGAGAACCCACTCACTGTCAGAAGCACAGCACCAAGGGAGATTTTGCTAACCCATTCATGAGAATCTGCCCCATGATCTAATCCCACCAGGCCCCACCTCCAACACTGGGGAATACATTTCCACATGAGGTTTGGGTGGGGACACAGATCCAAACCAAATCAGTGTGTGATAGCTTTTGTAACAGAAACAATCTGAGGCTCAGGCAGTCGGCTGACTTCTTGGGTTCCATTTCATTCTCCTGGATGTCATGTATTTATCCCAATGATTGTGGTATGAATGGCTTAGTGGGTCAAAATATTTTGTCACCAAGAATAACACATGTGTTTCTACATGTTCTCAAGCTGCCAGAATGGGTTATCAAGTCTGCATTTAGTTAAGAATTACTAGTGATATGGTTTGGTTGTACTCTTGCCCAAATCTCATCTTGAATTGTAGCTCCCATAATTCCCACGTGTCATGGGAGGGACCTGGTGGGAGGTAATTGAATCATGGGGGTGGGTTTTTTCCATGCTGTTCTCATGGTAGTGAATAAGAATCACGAGATCTGATGGTTTTATAAAGGGCAGTTTCCCTGCACACATGCTCTTCCCTGCCGCCATGTAAGACATGCCTTTGCTCCTCCTTTGCCTTCTGACATGATTGTGAGGCCTCCCCAGTCATGTAGAACTGTGAGTCCATTAAACCTCTTTTTCTTTATAAATTACCCAGTCTCAGGTTTTTCTACACAGTAGTATGAAAATGGACTAATACAAGTAGAGACCCTATCCTGTCCTCAGAGTAGGAGACATTTCCATCTTATGACCTGAATTCATCCTTAAACCAAAGCTAGAACAGCCAATCTTCATCACATTCAATGGCAGATGGGCTAGGAAGTGTGTAATGAAGTTCAGTGGCTCTATTTTTCTAAAAACCCATTTAATTCAAATACGCTAATAGACAAATGTCATTTCATGCACTATTTCCCTCTTTGTCAAGAGAGATACATGCCCAGATCTCTACTTTGTTCCCAAATTAACCCCAAACCAAAGAAACATGTTGTAAGAAAGCCACAAGCACACACTTTAAAAGGAATTCACAGTTAGAGCACGAACTGTTAAAACATTCTGCTATATTTTACAAATGGCTATTTACCTATCCATCTATCTGTATCTCTGTAATCTATCTATATTTCAGCCCCTCTATGACTGCAATAAATCATCTATATATCTACAGTCAGATGTTACTTAATGATGGGGATACATTCTGAGAGCTGTGTCATTAGGTGATTTTGTCATTGTGTTTACATCGTAGGGTGCACTTACAGAAACCTAGATGATACAGGCTACAACACACCTAGGCTACATGGTATAGCCTATTGGTCCTAGGCTACAAACCAGTACAGCATGCGACTATGCTGAATACTTACACAACTGTAACACAATCGTATTTGTGTATCTAAATACACAAAACCAAGTATCTGTGTATCTAAGCACATCTAAACTTAGAAAAGTGAAAGTAAAAATAGGGTATAAAAGTTAAAAAATGACACACCTGTGCAGGAAACTCACCATGAATAGAGCCTTCAGGACTGGAAGTTGTTCTGGGTGAAGCCATGAGTGAGGAGTGAGTGAATGTGAAGGTCCAGGACATTACTGTTTCCTTTTATATGATTGGCAGTGCAGTAGGTTTGTCTACGTCAGCATCACCACAAACACGTGAGTCATATCTTTCACTGTGAGGTTACGATGGTTGATGTCACCAGGCAGTAGGGATTTTCAGCTCCTTTACAATCTAATGGGACCACCATGGCATATGTGGTCTGTCCTTGACCAAAACATTATTATGCAGAATATTATCTATCTGTCTGTCTGTCTATCTACCTATCCATCCATCCATCCACTTTATCTATCATCTATCTATCCACCCATATTCACCTACCTGTCTTTCCATTTCTCTAGCAATACACACATCTTTTACTAGGTTTGTCTCTCTTTACCAAAGATGGGCACAAATCTGAAAATCAAGCTTACTGTCCCTGTTCCTGCAATGGGATCATAAACATCCTTCCGCAAACATGAACATCCTTTGTGAGAGGCTGTACAGCTAATACCAATTAATATAGAAAACCTAATTCTAACGCTTCATGAAAAGCAATGTTTGCTAGACTTTTCCTTCCATTTAAGGACCAGTAAAGGGAATTTCAGGTTGTACTGTCTGCCCATCATACATACTATAGCCACACACATTCATACAGACCGCACACACCACGGCCACACACATTCACACAGACCACACACACTATAGCCACACACATTCACACAGATGCACACACATTGTGGGAAGTACAGTGCTCAATTAAAAAAAATTCCTTTGCTGACAGAAGGTTTGCTATTTCTACACATCTGTCTAAAGAACAGAAAAAGGAAATTCACCAACTCATTACTTGTGGGCCTTTCCACAGTAATTAAATAGCACAATTAGCCAAGCATACATTTTTCTACTCGAAAAGCTACAGAAACATCAACTTTTATAGTTACATCTTTGAAATTATTTAATTAACCAAACTCACAAGCTAGTTAGCATTTATTTAACATAGGTGCTGGTCTAACCCTCTCATTTTATTACTGAAGAAAAAGAGGCCCACAGAGTTTAAGTGGCATTTCTAAAAACATCTGAGACTTGGACAAGAAGTCAGTCTTTATTTCCAGTCTAATTCTGTTAGCATTTAAAACTAAAAATAGAATTTCTTTTACTAATGACTGGTTCATGAGAAGTAACCATGCCACCTTGCCCTAGATAGAACTATTCTTAGTAATAAATTCACTGTTCTGATACCTGACTTCTCATTTTCTCTTTATCTTTAACTTGTTTATTCCAAATGCTAAATCTACCAGAAGACAGCACGCACACTTGCTAATGTCACAGTCAAGCGCTCTGGAGTAACCAGCGGCCTGTAGGAACTGGCAAAAGTGCACGGGGTTCATCAAAGTTTCCCATCTCAGACAATGGTCACACACCTTAATTTTTCCGTTCCGGCTTTGTACCTTGAGATGCGAGCCATGGACAGAGGCACGGACAAGGTGTCCAGCCAGCGCTTCTCATACCTCGGGTCCTTAGCTATGGGCGAGGAAGGTGACGATGGGGCCTGTACAGAAGAAAGGAGAATGAAGCGTCACAGAGGCAGAGGAGGCTGCATGCGGGGAGAGGCATCTGCAGGCACCTGGAACACAGAACTCAAGTCCAACACATTTCAACTGATAAAAAAGCAAGTGAGGTTGTTTCTGAAAGATCTGGAAAGAAAGAAGTGCTCTTCTACCCGGATTTAAGACATTTTCTCCCGCTGTTTTCCAACTGCAAATTGCACGAAAGAGAAGAAGCTGAAGGGAAGGAGAAGGAGAAGAGGGGCCTAAATCTGGAGGGAAAGTTGTAGACACAGCACTGGGCTCAGTGCATAGAGACCGTGAGAAAGACGCAAAACCAAAACAACCTGAAATGTCCACTCAGCGAGTTTAGGTCGAGAGACACACGATAGAATGGCTGATGACATTCCAACGGGCGTCCAGGTCATGGGTCTGCCTTGTTATCGGTAGCAACGACTCTGTGCTGTGGTCAGAGCCGGGCCCAGATGGAAAAGTGGTGAGGCCTCGTCGGGTCTGCGGCTCTCGACAGGAAGCCCGTCTGGGAAGGTGAAGGAGCCATGCAACCACCACAGCACCACGCAGCAGCCCCGCAAGAGTCCAACAACGAAAGGGTCGGAGGTAGGTTCTGGGCCACAGGATCCACCCACCTCCCATTCCACGTTCTCAAAGAGGAGCCTGAGCTCTCTGAGCCATCTTGATCTCAGAGCCGGGCTCGCTGGGAATGAACCAGGTGCTGCCGCCCCAGCGACCGGCAAGAACGCGCCTCACAGGTGTGCCCCACACTCATGGACGTGCCTCACACAGATGTGCCTCACACTCACAGGTGTGCCCCACACTCATGGGCGTGCCTCACACTCACAGGTGTGCCCCACACTCACAGGTGTAACCCGCGCTCACAGGCAAGCCCCACACTCACAAGGCATTTCTGGTGTTTTAATTTGCTTCAGTGTCCACGGGAAGCACCAGCCCTGAGCTCCGGGCTCTGTGGACCATAGGGTCCAGGGACTGTTGCACCTGGAATCCGAGCATCTGTCTGCAAGAAGACTTTCTGTAAGCAGGGGCGCCGTGAGAAAACAGACCTGGGCTTTCTGGAGGCTCAGAAGGGTGGCATGAAGTGTCTTTCATACTTGCTTGTTCGTAAGTGTTAAGCTGCTGGATGTTCACTATGTATTAGAACGTTATTTGAGACTTCATTCCTTATAAATGCATACCTTACACATTGGTTAATCCACCACTTAAAGAGCCAACCCTATCCACCCCAAGTCTCCTCTGCAGTCAGCTTTACCTGCCCAAAAATAATGTCCCTAACAGTTCTGTGCCGCTGAACTGGCTCTGGTTGGTTTGCGGTGAGAGGAGACGGGGGGCGGTTCCCCAGGGTTTCTCATGAGATCCCTGGAACCTTGGAGGCTTCGCTTCCACGTGGATGAGGTTTCCATACGACTCTCTACACAATGCTTACGCTTAACAGAAAGAGTGTGTGATTTATTTTTCGTCTGTGCTAATATATAAGCCCCCTTCTCATTCTCCTCCACCTCAAATCATCTTTGCATCCCTGCCCTAGGATTTTAGATGAAAGGCCTCTCCCTCAACGCAGGTGGGATGGGGGAATGGACACTGAGGGAGGTTGGAGCGTCATACAGAAGAGGCGGCATCGCCATCTACAGATGTGTCTGAAGGCAGAAAAAAAAACTCACATAGCCAGAGGTTGGGTTTGGGTTATCATCCTAACATTGTTTCTCTATATTTATTAATTCCATGGCCAATAGCTCAATAGCAAAAGTGGCAATATTGGAACATTTGAACTCTGAGCTGAATTTTACAGATATTCATTCATGGTTACCCTTTTCTGTTGGGCTCTAACTTCTGGTAAGAGATTCACCTTTGGTGCATGCACGAGAATGACACTGAAATACCTTCTGATCACCTGATGTGTATTTCATATTAGCTTTGCTGAAATACCATTTGTCTACATAGACTACTGCAACCTGTGTAGGAATTCATTATAAATGACTGCATACTGTGGCAAGGTTTTAATTATCCCTATACATTTAATTTTAACTGTGGTATTTGCATGCACAATAATAAATCTGTGCCATAGGAGTTCATCCTAGTAATGCTGCTGTGTGTTTAGCCACATACTCTGTACCCCTTGTTGCTGATTCAAAGGTTTGCTACAGTGTGCTATCTGTTTGCAGAAGTACTAGAATTATACTGCAAAACCACCACTTAAAATTGCATAGAGGATTCTACTATACAATGCACAATATTTAAATAAACAAAATAGTATGCATCCTTTCATAAAATCAGTTGAAGATTACTTTTGAAAAGTGTAGGATCAAAAGCAATTCCCCACTGAGAAAACCCATTTTTTCTTTATAAAATCAGGCTGCATGCAGAGCTTGTAGGTGCAGCTTTGGCTCCAGACTGTGGACTTTCATAGGACGCTTTTCACTTGGAGGCCACTGATAAACCCTGAATTTCATGTCCCACTGAATGTACTTTCCTCTGGAAAAGTATTTTGCACAATCTGGAGAAAATATTTTCTATAACCTAGCAGCTAGGGGAGAAGTCAGGTCTCTGTGAGCTAATGCTTAGCTCAGCGGGGTCAAATGCTCCCATCTACTGAGGGCCAAGGAGAAGGAACATGCCAGTGTTACCCCTCTGCAGCTCCTTCCTCTCCAGCTGCCCCAGCACACCCAGCTCTTTGCTCTCTGCAGTCACAAGCTGGCACTGACATTGGAGGAAATGCCTCCAGCATCCTCTCCTTAGGAGAAGAGTATGTGCAGGGTGCCCGGAAAGGCCTTCTGGTCCTGTGCCCACCTTCCACACAGGCATCTCCAAAGTCAGCTCAAGGTAGGTGCTGCTCATTTGAGCAAACCCCACTCTGAGGGAGTTCATGTGCTGCAGAAAGCAGAGCCTCGTGATTCTCATCGTGGTCCCAAATCTTACATCAACTCAATAGCTTGCAGATATAATGAGGCATGTTCCTACCAGCTGATCACAAACCCTATAGCTTGTACCTGTCAGCTTTTTGTAATCTTGCTGCTTCCAACAGGAATGCAGAGCTCAGCATTTCCAGGGTTGCAAAAGCATCTGCATCTATCCATGGCAGTGGAAACCAATTTTAGATGAGGAACAAAACAGAACATGTTTTCCTCTGTTTAATTTATGATGTAGTCAAAAGTTGCCAAAGAACTGACCCCCAAAAGCCATCCTGTAGCATTTATATGTGACTGACCAACCAACTCACACGGCATTTACTATGAGATGCCACAGTTATTATAAGATTGTCAATCAAAAAAATTAGAGAAAAACATTTCCCAATACACTGAATGTATACAAGAATTAGAAGAATGGATTATAACCAAAAACGCAAGCCACACGTGTTTCGAAGAATGGAGGGCGAGGGGGAGCCTGTACTGGCAGCGATGTTCACATGAGCTGCCTGGAGATGAAGGCCATCAGGTTCAGAGACTCAAAGCAAGAATTGGCATCAGGTCACTGGGCAGGTGCTCTTTCTAAAGCATTGTATTCAGATTGTTGCAGTCCCCAAGAAGGAACTTGTGAGGTTATTTTAGAAGTTTTCAAGACAGTCTTCATCTCAGACATGCAAGCATAAGCTCCCCGACTCTGCATTCTCCCAGCTCTGGTTCTTTGGGGTTGACAAAAAGTGATTTCGTCCTGAGATCTGCAACACTCACAAGATAAACATTCTGAATGGAGGTGGATCTCTAGAGGGCACTGTGCCCAGATGGGTGCATTTTGAAAACTCGAGAAAAATTGAGTACTTTTAACATACTCTTTATAAAGTTACTGGAAATGAATAAAAGTAGATGAAAGCAAAAGCCTCCAAATATTTCAACCACTTACAAGGTTCCCAGTTTAATATAAACTGTGTATCATCCCAGCATTTTTGCCTCCTCAAGGCATGTATGTATGGACACAAAGTAGTGTTCGGAGCACACTCTTAAGTCTACGTTCTCTGATTATCATAGAAATACAACCACATTCTAGAAAAGATGGGAAATATAAAAAGGTTAAAAAAAACCTTATCACCCATTTTGTATATTTCTCATGGTCTTTTTCTATTTGGTTTTTAAAAGTTAAGATCATACTGCACATAATAATTTTTAAAGACATACAAGAAAATAATATTTTTAGATCACAGATAATAAAAAGTGGAATCTGAAGACAAATCTTTGCTTTCAGGAGGCTTCTGAGCCTTTCTGCTTTAATAATAAGCATTTCTTGAATATAAAAAAGACTCCCAGTGAATGCC
Organism: Homo sapiens; assembly: GCF_000001405.40. Lineage (NCBI taxonomy): Eukaryota > Metazoa > Chordata > Mammalia > Primates > Hominidae > Homo > Homo sapiens. The sequence goes on along the minus strand of NC_000002.12, from coordinate 1,204,828 downwards.
TGAAAACTGTGCGTAGTACCAAACCGTATAGTTATATACTATGCTTTTTTCCTATACACACACACTTATAATAAAGTTTAATTTCTAAATTAGGCCCCGTAAGAGATTAACAACTGCTAATACAATAGAGGAATTACATCGCTATTCTGTAAAGAACGTGATGAGAATGTGGTCTCTCTATAAAGAGCTTATTTACTGTACTCCTCCGTCTCCTTGTGATAAGGGGATGGAGCAGTGTGTGCACAAGGTTTCATCAGCTACTCAGAATGTGCACAATTTAAAACTTATGATTGTTTATTTCTGGAATTTTCCATGTAATATTTCAGAATGTGGTTGATTGTAGGTAACTGAAACTGAGGAAAGCAAAACTACAGATAAGAGAGGCATCACCATACACTTGGTGTTTTAATACTTTGTGTTTAAATAAGAGGTTTGAAGCCAACTTTTTACATGTTGCTGTATTTTCTACAGTGAATCACTGAAAAGCTTTGCACTTTTTTTGTTTGTAACTGAACTGTATTGAGGCATAAATGGCATACAATAACGTGCAGATTTTAAGTGCACAGTTTGATGAGTTTTGTCAAATATATATAGCCCATGCAGCCCAAATCCAAATTATGAAACAGAGTATTTCTACCTCATCCACATAACACCTACCCCCATGATACTTCCTCTGTGCCCGTTTGCAGGCAATCCCTCCAGCCCAAGGTAGTCACTGATCTGGTTTCTGCTGTTATAGACTAGTTTTGCTGCTTTATAACTCGGTATTAATCGAATGATGCACTATCACTTGTGTGTAAACCTTTCTTCTCTCAGCATAAAGCCTGGAAGATGCATCCATGTTAATGTGTGTGTCAGCAAATTATTCATTTTTATCCATTCACCTGTTGAAAAAGATCTGATTGTTGCTTGAGGATATTATAAATAACGTTGCTATGCTGTCATCTAAATTTGGATTTTGAATGTTGTACGAAGCTTGCATTCCTGAAATAAGCCCCATTTTTTTCATGATACATGATCCTTCTTTCGATTTGTTAATATGTTGTTGAAGAATTTCTGCATCTACATTCATGAGGGCTATTGGTCCATATATATACATATACATATACACACATACACACACACACACACACACACATATATATATATATATATTTTTTTTTTTGTTTGTTTTTGAGACAAGGTCTCACTCTGTTGCACAGACTGGAGTGCAATGGTGTGATCTCGGCTCACTGCAACCCCAGCTTCCTGGGTTCAAACAATTCTCGTGCCCCAGCCTCCTGAGAAGCTGGGATTACAGATACGCACCACCATGCCTGGCTTTTTTTTTTTAAGTAGAGATGGGGTTTCATGATGTTGGCCAGGCTGGTCTCAAACTCCTGGCCTCAAGTGACCCTCCCTCCTCTGCCTCCCAAAGTGCTGGGATTACAAGTGTGAGCCACTGTGCCCGGCCTGTGTAACATTTGTCACTCTTAATCTCAGTGGAAGGTTTTGGTTATCAGTGTTATCCCAGTTTCACAGAGTTATCTGGGATTCATTTCAACCTCCTCTATTTCCTGAAAGAGTTAGAAAAGTGTACATATTATTTATTTGAAAGAATTCACCAGTTGCAGGATACTTGAGTTTTGTATAAATCTTTTTAGTCCTAAGTAGTAGATCATGGCCCAGCATTCCATCTATCTTGTTGAATGTTCCATGCTCACATGAAAAGAAATTGCATTCTGGAGACTTTGGATCCAGGACTCTATAAATGTCAGTGAGGTCCCAGTTGATTCATAAGGTAGTGTAGTTCTTCTACATCTTTACTAATGTTTTTGTCTATCCGTCCTATCAACACTGAGCATAAAATATTAAAATCTCCCATTTTGATTGTGGATTTCTCTGTGTTTTTCCCATCTCTGCCAGTTTTTGGTTTGTATTTGGGAGCTCTGTTATAAGGTACATACCATATTTACAATTATTATGTTTTCCTGATGAACTCATATTATTTTTAAATCATAATAAAATGTTTCTCTTGGGAACATTGCTTATTTTGAAGACCACTCATCAAACATTAATAGACTGATATTTTTATGGTTATTGTTTATAAAATACATGCTCTCCATTCTTCTAATTCCCACCTGTGGGTATCTTTATATTTAAATTATATTTTCTGTATACACCATACAGTTGGATGTTGCTTTTTTAAAAATCCAGTCTGACAACTTTTACCTTTTAATTAAAATGTTTAGTCCATTTATATTTAATGTGATTCTCATACTGCTGGGCTTAATTACATGTTGCTATTGGTCTTTTTGTTCCCCTGGATTTTTTCTACTCTGTTGAACAAATTCTTCTGTATAAAGGGTAAATCATTTTTTTTTCACGATCCTCTTTTATCTCCTCATTGACTGTAGGGGTCATAATATTGCATTCTTAATATATCAGTGTTTCTTTAGAGTCAATATTGTATCACTTTAAACTTCATATTGACACATCAATCTTCCTATACCTCACTTCACAAATATAAAAACCTCAACTGACTGTGCCCTTGGTTCTATTTTTGCTGTATCTTTTACTTCTACATACATTATCAAGTCCAGTTTACTGTGTCATCATCTTGTCCTTTAAAGTATTATTTATCTGAAAGAAAACTGAGAAAAGAAACAGTTTATATTGGATATTTTATATACATACCCACCTATTTGCCATTCATAGTGCTCTTCACTTCTTCCTATGTATCAAGTTTCCACGTGGTTTAATGTCCTTCCAGCTTGAAGAGCATGTTTTAGTATTTCCTGTAGTGTAGGTCTACTGGCAACATTTTCTCTCAACTTGAATTTATTTTTAAAAATAAGCTTTTTTATCATCTGGCTGCTTCCTAAACCTTCTCTTCTTCCTTGGTTTTCAACAGTTTGACTGTGATATGCCTAAATAGTTTTCTTTGTGTCTATCTTGCTTCATGTTCACTCCTATTCTTTGCATTCTTATTCTCATTCTGGGACTCCATGATATGTAATTCAGACCACTGGAGGTGTCCCACAAGTCTCTGATTCTCATTTCATTTACTTTTATTTGTTTTGCCCATTTTTATTAACACATAGTATTTTCACACATTTTTGGGGTGTATGTGATACTTTGATACATGCATATGATGCATAATGATCAAAACAAGGTATTAAAAATCCATCACCTCAAACATTTATCATTTCATTGTGTTGGGAACATTTCGGATATTTTCTTCTAGGTATTTTGAAATATGCATTTCAAATGCATATTCCTCCATAAGCCATATAGCATTTGAAATATGCATTTCAAAATACCTAGAAGAAAATATGTGAAATGTCCCCAACATAATGTATTTCTATTAACTATGTTAACAATAGAACTTATCCCTTCTATCTAATTGTATGTTTGTACCCATTAACCAACTTCTCTTCACCTCCCCCCACACCCTTTCCAGCCTCTGATAACCATCCTTCTACCCTCTACTTCATGAAATCAACTTTTTTAGCTCTTACTATATGAGTGATAACATGTGATATTTGTCTTTCTGTGCCTGGGTTATTTCACTTAGTATAATGACCTCCAGTTCCATCCATGTTGCTGTGGATGAAAGGATTTTACTATTTTATGGTTGAATAGTATTTCATTGTGTATATATACCATATTTTTCTTATCTATTCACCTAATAATGGACACTTAGGTTAACACCACATCTTACTCTTGTGGATAATGATGCAATAAACATGTGGGTACAGGTATCCCTTTGATATACTGATTTCCTTTCCTTTCAATAAATACCCACTAGTGGGATTGCTCAATCATATAGTAGCTCTATTTTTAGTTTTCTGAAGAGCTTCCATACTGTTTTCCAGAGTGGTTGTACTAACGTACATTTCTAAAAACAGTGTATAAGACTTCTATTTTCTCCTCATCCTTCCAGAGTCTGTAATTTTTCTAAAATCTTTTTTAAAATAACCATTCTAACTGGGGTAAGATAATATTTCATCATGATTTTGATTTTCATTTCCCTGATGATTAGTAATGCTAAGCATTTTTTTCATATATCTGTTCGTTGGCCATTTGTTGGCCTATAGGCCATATGTCTTCTTTTGAGAATTTTCTATTCAGATACTTTGCCCAGTATTAATAGGATTAGTTTGTTTTTCTTATTGTTTTTGCTGTTGAGTCCCTTGTATATTCTGGATATTAGTCTCTTGTCGAATGAATAGTTTGCAAATATTTTTCTCATTACATATATTGTTGCTTCACTCTGTTGATTATTCCTTTGTTGTGCAGAAGCTTTTTAGTTTAATACAGTTCCATTTGTTTATTTTAAAAAAGTTTTTGTTGTCAGTGCTTTTGAGGTCTCAGTCATAAAATCTTTTCCTAAACCAGCGTCCTGAAGTGTTTCTACTATGTTTACTTCTAGTAGTTTTATAATTTTGGATCTCACGTTTAAGCTTTTAATCCACTTTGAGTTGATTTTTTAATATGGTGAGAAATAGGGGTCCAGTTTCATTTTTCTGCAGATGAATATCCAGCTTTCCCAGAACCATGTATTGAAGAGAGTATCCTTTCACCAATGTATGTTCTTGGTATCTTTGTCAAAAATTAGTTGGCTGCCAATATGTGTATTTATTTCTATGTTTTCTGTTATATTTTATTGGTCTCTGTGTCTGTTTTTATACCAGTACCATGCTTTTTTCATTACTATAGCTCTGTAGTGTATTTCAAAGTCATTCTGCCCTTTTTGCTTAAGTTCTGTTCTTTTTGCTTAAGATTGCTTTGGCTATTCATGCTCTCTTGTGGTTCCATACAAATTAATAAAATTATATCTTCTATTTCTGTAAAGAATTTTATTGGTATTTTTATAGGGATTGCATTAAATCTGTTAAATGCTTTAGGAAATATGGTCATTTTTACTATATTAATTCTTTTGATCCATGAGTATGAGATGTCTTTCCATTAGTTTGCGTTTTCTTCAATTTCTTTCAACAATGTTTTGTAGTTTTTCTTGTAGAGGTCATTTACCTCTTTGATTAAACTTATTCCTAAATATTTTTTCATAGCTATTGTGAAAGGGATTGGTGTCTTGATTTATTTTTCAGCTGGTTTGTTATTGGTATTGAGAAATACTACTGGTTTTTGTGTATTGATTCTTTATCCTGCAACTTTCCTGAAATATTTTATTAGTATTAAGAGTTTTTTGGTGAAGTCTTCAGGTTTTACTATATATAAGATCATGTCATCTGCAAAGAGGGACAATTTAACTTCCTATTTTTCAATGTGAATGCCTTTTGTTTCTTTCTCCTGCTTCATTGTTCTGTCTAGGACTTCCAGGACTATGCTGAATAGGAGTGATAAAAGTGGGCATCTTTGTCTTATTACAATTTTTAGAGGAAAGCCTTTCAGCTTTTCCCCATTCACTACAATACTAGTCATGGGCCTGTCATATATGACCTTATGCTGAAGTTTATCCCTTCCCTAATTTGAGTACTTTTATCATAAAGCATTGTTGAATTCTATCAAATGCTTTTTCTGCTTCTACTGAGATGGTCATATGGTTTTTGTTCTTTATTATATTGATGTGATGTGTCACATTTATTGATTTGCATATATTTAACTGTCCTTCCATCTCTGGGATGAATCTTGCTTGATGATGGTGTGTTACCTTTTTAATGTGTTGTTGGATTAGGTCTGCTAGTTTTTTTATTGAGGGTTTTTGTGTCTGTGTTCATCAGAAATATTGGCCTGTTGTTTCCTTTCTTTGCTGTGTCCTTTTCTGGTTTTTGCATTACGTAATGCTGGCATTGTAGAATGAGTTAGGAAAAAATCCCTACTCTTCAATTTTTGAAGTAGTTTAAGAAGTATGGATGTTAGTTCTTCTTTATAAGTTTGAAAGAATTCAGAATTAAAACCATCCAGTCCTGGGCTTTCTTTGTTGGGAGAGTTTATTACTGATCCAACCTTGTTACTTGTTATTGGTCTATTCAGGTTTTAGACTTTTTTTTCATGGTTCAATCTTGGTAGGTTGTATATTTCTAGGAATTTATCTATTGTCTCTGTTTTCCAATTTGCTAGCATATAGTGGTTAATAGTCTCTGATGATTCTTTGTATATCTTTGGAATTTCTGCTTCAAAATCTTTTTTGTTTCTAATTTTATTTATTTGGATCTTCTATTTTTTGTTTAGCTAGCAGTTTATCAATTTTATCTTACTAAAAAACTTTTATTAATCTTTGTGCTTTTTTAGTCTCTATTTAATTCTGCTCTGATCTCTGTATTATTTTTCCCTTCTGCTACTTTTGGCTTTAGTTTGTTCTTGTTTTCCCATTCTTTAGGCTAACTATAAGGTTGTTTACTTGACTTTTTTTTTTACGTTTTTCGATGTGTGTCTCTTATTTGTTATATACTTTCCACTTAGTCCTGTTTTTGCTATATCCTATATGTTTTAGTACATTGTGTGTCAGACAGACTTTCTGCTTAGTATTGTTTTTGCTATATCCTATAGATTTTTGTATATTGTGTTTCAGTTTTCATTTGTTTCAATAATGTTTTTTACCTCCTTCTTAAATTCTTTATTGACCCAATGGTTGTTCAGGGGCATGTAGTTTAATTTTCATATATTTATATAGGTATAGTTTCTAAGGTTCTTCTTATTTTTTCTAGTTTATTCCACTGTGTTCTGAGAAGATATTTGATATAGTTTTCATTCTTATAAATTTGTTCCCACTTTTTTTTGTGGCCTAATGTATGATCTATCCCAGCAAAGTTCTGTGTGCTGATGAGAACAATGTGTATTCTGCAGCAATTAAAAAAAATTCTGTAAATATCTGTTAGATCCATTTAGTCTAAAGTACAAGTTAAATCCAATGCTTCCCTGTTGATTTTCTTTTAGATAATCTGTCTAATGCTGAGAAAGCAGTGTTGAAATCCCCAATTATTTTCATATTGGAGTTTATTTCATTATTTAGAACTAATAAATAGTTGCTATATATTTATGGGTGCTCTGGGTCAGGCATGTTGGCTCATGCCTGTAATCCAGCACTTTGGGAGGCTGAGGCAGTTGGATCACTTGAGCCCGGGAGTTTGACACCATCCTGGGCAACATGGCAACACTTCATCCCTACCAAAGTACAAAAATTAGCTGGGCATGATGATGCATGCCTGTAATCCCAGATACTTGGGAGGAGGTGGGAGGATCACCTGAGCCCAGGAAGGTTGAAGCTGCAGTAAGCCATGATCATGCCACTGCACCCCAGACTGAGTGACAGTGAGAACCTGTATCAAATATACACACACACACACACACACACACACACACACACATATATATACATACACATATATACATACACATATATATATACACATATATATATGCATGCTCTGAAATTGGGTGCATGTGTATTTAGAATTTTTATAGACTTTTGATGAATTGATCCTTTTATCATTTTATAAAGATCTTCTTTGTGTCTTTTTTTTGTTTTTGACTTAAAGTCTATTTTATCTGATATAATTATAGTTGCTTCTGTTCATTTTTGGTTTCCATTTGTATAGAATAGCTTTTTCTATTCCTTCACTTTCAGGTAATAAATGTATTTACTAGTGAAGTGAGTTTCTTGTGGGCAGCATATAATTGGGTCATTTCATTGTTGTTGTACCTATTAATCCAGTCTGTATCTTTTAAGTGGGAAATTTAATTCATTTACATTTAAGGTAGTTATTGATAGGTGAGGACTTATTCCTGTCATTTTGTTAATTGTTTTCTGGTTGTTGTGTACATCATTTTTTCCTTTCTTTCTCTCTCATTGTTTATCATTGCAGTTTGGTGGTTTTCTGTAGTGGTTAACACTTGAGTCTTTTCTCTTTTTCATTTACTTGTCTGCTCTACCAATGAGTTTTAAACTTTCATGTTTTTTCATGATGGTAGATGTGGTCCTTTCACTTCCAGGTGTAGGGCTCCCTTAATCATTTTGTGTAGAACCAGTCTAATGGTGACTAATTTTATGTTTTTGCTTGTCTGAGAAGACTTCATTTCTCTTTCATTTTTGAAGAATAGCTTTTCTAGGTACAGTATTCTTGGCTAGAAGTGTTTTTTTTCTTTTAGTACTTTGAATGTATCATCTCATTTTCTCCCAGCCTGTATGATTTTTGCTGATAAATCAACTGATGGCTTGATGGAGGTTCTCCCTTATATGTGACTTGCTACTTTTCTCTTGCTGTTTTCAGAATTCTCTTTTTATCTTTTACTTTTGACAGTTTGACCATACTATACGATGAAGAAGACCTTTTTGGGTTGATTCTGTTTGGTGATTGTTAAGCTTTCTATATCTAGATGTCTAAATCTTTTGCCAGACTTGAGAAGCTTTCAGGTCTTACTTTATTAAATAGGTTTTCTATGCCTTTGCTCATCTCTTCCCCATCTGGAACACATGAAATTCAAATATGTAATCATTTTAATGTGTCCCATATGTCATAAAGGTTTTCTTCATTCTTTTTTATTTTTTCTTTTGTTTGTCTGACTGGGTTATTTCAGAAGACCTGTCTTCAAGTTCAGAAATTCATTATTTTGCTTGATCTACTTTATTGCTGAAGTTCTCATTTGTATTTTTTATATCATCCATTGAGTTATTGAGTTCTAAGATTTCTGTTTGTTTCCTTGTTTTTAAAATATCTATGTCTTTGGTAAATTTTGTGGTATTATCAAAAGTATTTGATATTGAGTATTCTGACCTAACTTGGAGTCTGAAACTATAAAGCAGTTACTCACTGGAGATTAAGAAGAAGGTGATATGCAAAGTTTGAGTTATGCATGACACAAAAAAAAGATTCCAAACTCAAACTATTATATACTGTAGGCCTTTAGAGTTAACTTCTTCATGGTATGCTGTAATATCATGATGTTATTTTTAGATTATCCCAACAATGTGAGTTTATTTTTTTTTTCCTGATCAATAAAGATAATCACTAAACCCGGGAAAATAGTTAATCTTTAATAACATAATATCCACAACTTCATGTTCAATTAAAAATAATTTTGCCTTGGGCAAAGACTTCATGGCTAAAACACCAAAAGCAATGGCAACAAAAGCCAAAATAGACAAATGGGATCTGATTAAACTAAAGAGCTTCTGCACAGCAAAAGAAACCATCATCAGAGTGAACAGGCAGCCTACAGAATGGGAGAAAATTTTTGCAATCTATTCATCTGACAAAGGGCTAATATCCAGAATCTACAAAGAACTTAAACAGATTTACAAGAAAAAACAAATAACCCCATCAAAAAGTGGGTGGCAGATATGAACAGACACTTCTCAAAAGAAGACATTTATGCAGCCAACAACCATATGAAAAAAAGCTCATTATCACTAGTCATTAGAGAAATGCCAATCAAAACCACAATGAGATACCATCTCATGTCAGTTGGAATGGCGATCATTAAAAAGGAAACAACAGATGCTGGAGAGGATGTGGAGAAATAGGAACGCTTTTACACTGTTGGTGGGAGTGTAGATTAGTTCAACCATTGTGAAGACAGTGTGGCAACTCCTCAAGGATCTAGAACTAGAACTACCATTTGACCCAGCAATCCTATTACTGGGTATATACACAAAGGATTATAAATAATTCTACTATAAAGACACATGCACACACATGTTTATTGTGGAACTGTTCACAATAGCAAAGACTTGGAACCAACCCAAATGCCCATCAAAGATAGACTGGATAAAGAAAATGTGCCACATATATACCATGGAGTACTATGCAGCCATTAAAAAGGATGAATTCATGTCTTTTGCTGGAACATGGATGATGCTGGAAACCATCATCCTCCACAAATTAACGCAAGAACAGAAAACCAAACACTGCATGTTCTCACTCACAAGTGGGAGTTGAACAATGAGAACACATGGACACAGGGAGGGGAACATCATACACTGGGGCCTGTTGTGGAGTGGGGGACTAGGGGAGGGATAGCATTAGGAGAAATACCTAACGTAGATGGCAGGTTGATGGGTGCAGCAAACCACCATGGCACGTGTATACCTATGTAACAAAACTGCACGTTCTGCACATCTACCCCAGAACTTAAAGTATAATAAATAAATAAATAAGCCTGATCAGCAGACAAAATAAGCCTCTGGGTCACATGTTCATAATTTTCACCTTTATAAAACCTACTGGAGGCCAATTTTAGTATAATTTTAGAGTATAATCAGCACAAACATAATGGGGAAAGAATTTAACTATTGCAGGCGGCAACACGACATCACTAAGAAATCTTAGTTGAAAGTGGCCAAAACTGTAAAATATTGGCCAGGAAGAATCAACCAACGTGGTACCTACAGGACCTTTAGTCCTTTGAGGAAATCTGAAATCTTTAGGTGCCTAAGAAGTTCTAAGAAAGAAAGATTCCCACATTCCTATACTTTAAATGTGTAAATATATGTGATTTTCACAGCTGTATGTGGTCACAAGGTGAAACTGCCTGAGGACATTGCTGGGAGTTTGTAAACTACACCTGGAAAACCCAGCATCCAGCAGGACACGGAGAAAGACAATACTCTAGACTGCATCCCCAGCGCTTCTCCCCCCATCCTGACCATGCTTCTTCCCTTGTGCAGAGCTCACTCTGCTTCCTCCTACTTCTAACTCTCTGGGAGTTACAGCTTCTTATAAAGAGAGGATAATGAATGATAAAAAATGAAAAGTGGAAACAACACTCTTTTGCTACTTCCAACAATAAACACTAATGTGGTAGAGGAAAGGCTGCCAGGATTCCTGCCCTGTGCACACCTGGTCCAGTGCATACCTCATCTGCCCACTCTGGGCCTGGGGATGGGAGACAGACTGGCTGGAGGGAGATGAAGGTCCGACAGAGCTAAGTGTGCCCACACTGTGGCCTGCAGCCAAAGCTCCACTCGGAAAGTCAGAATATACCAACTACAAATCAAGGTCTTAATAACAGTGAGAAGTTGTTTTGTTTTGTTTTCATGTGTTCAGAGTTATTCTGGTGGGTGTAAAGTGTGGTCAGGAATCTAAAATGTAAACTGTGTTCACCTAGAAACATGCAGTAGATGGTGAATTCTTGGTCTTTATAAAAATAAATTTACTTCTGCCCTTTGCTGTCAGGCGAGAGTCTAACAAGGCCTAGAAATGCTCAGGACTTTCTTCTTTATGGCTGAAAAGAAATGGAAACCCATGTCCAAAATGTAACACATAAAAATGTTTTTTTTTCTTCTTTATTCAGGGGAGATATATTCTGCAATCCTGTGGCAGGTGCATCACTGTGGCCACTAGCAATGAGTGTTTTAAATGATTTACTTTTCAGTACAGCAACGGACTTCTAAAATATGCGTTGCTCATTTAGTATCTCAGAAAAATAAATAGACAAGGGAACAATCAAACAAAAGCAGGCAGGTCCTCGGGTATCAGTGATGAAGCCTGGGCTACGCTTTCCAATCCTTTTCATCAGGTGGTGAGCGGCTGCCTGCGGAGCCTCTAGGAGGGAGGGCTTTCCCAAATTGTGCCGAGAGCCTCCCCAGTTGTCCACCTGCCACCTGAGAAAACTCAGGAGGTTCTGGGAGTTCCCCACGGCTCGGCAGGAGTCACCCATTCCCGTTTCAGAGCCACCTATTTTAAGGAGCAACTTTGAAACAGAACAAAGAGTTCTGAATTTGGGGTGAAGCTATTACAACAATGAGGAATTTGGGGGGCCTGCTGCAGACTATGTAATGGGGCCACAGCCCCTGCCCTGCCTCTCTGCCATGCCGCGGGCATCCTCAGCAGCCCCCTCCTCCCTGAGCCCCTCATAGAGGGGTCTCCAGCATGGCCTCTGTGAGCCTTTCACATGGACTAGCTGAACACAGAGGCTGACCTGCAGGTGTCTGACTGCTCTCTTCCACCCACTACTCACAGAGGACAGGGCACCTTCTGATTAACAGGACAAATTGTGTGGAAACATTCCTTTATCTGCCATAAATCTGACAGTGAACGTACACATTTTATCATCACAAAACCTCTAGAACAGGGTGCCCAAATTCTGCTCCATGAAATGCAATTTTTGCTGGTCTATTCCACTAGGGGAGGGTGTAGGAGGGACGGTGTGATCAGATGAGTCCGAGAAGTCACCTTAGTATGTTTTCCCTTGGAGCAACACAACTGATTAACGCAAGCTCGAAATTTCCTGCGTGAAGGAAGCCCGTCTCACATTGTTCCAACCAGATGATGATGATTATTATTATTATTTGAGATGGAGCCTTGCTTTAATTCTAGAAAACATCATGTGTTTTCTAAAATTAAAAAATTAATTTACCAAGAATTAAAAATTCTTGGTAAATTCCACTTGAAAATACTGACAAATTTCATCACACGACTGTGTCACCACATAGTTATTTTCCTATTCTTGAGAAGTTAGATTAAATCTACTTCTCTTATCGCACAGCACTGGCTAGGGAACACCCCTTGTAATAAATCCCTGGGTGTGGAGTCTATGGTGAAGACACAAGGGTCCCTAATGATCTTGGCACCCGCTGCAGAGCACTCTCCAGAAACACTGCTTCCTGCACTCAGACCTTTCTAAATCACCTAAACAGAAAACACAGCCGTGAAACAGAACCTTTTGTGGAAACCACGTTCCCAACTCCCTCTGCCCCACATCATCTGGCTCTGACTCCTGGGATTGCAATGCCTTCTGGGCCCAGTCCTTCTATCTTCTCAGAGCCCATGCGTGGTTCTTAACAGAGCTGCTGTTTATATACAACTACTTCATTTTTATCTAAAAATATGTTAATATATAGGGAAGGAAACAATTTACTGTCTTCTGCCAAGCAACCCCTTTCCAATTTGAAGATCCTAAGTTATTTACTTAAATGTCTATCAACTTTTCTATCAGCTACATTTTAAATATTTGTATTTTATATATACATAAATAACATATATACATACATACTTATGTACATATATAATATATAAAGTTATAAAGCATAAAATTAAAATGAAAACAATAAAGCTACCACTGGACTAACAAATTAGAACTTTTTATTTTGAGACAGAGTCTCGCTCTGTCGCCAGGCTGGAGTGCAGTGGCACGATGTCGGCTCACTGCAACCTCTGCCTCCTGGGTTCCAGTGATTCTCCTGCCTCAGCCTCCCAAGTAGCTGGGACTACAGGCGAGCGCCACCACACCTGGCTAATTTTTTGTATTTTTACTAGAGATGGGGTTTCACCGTGTTAGCCAGGATGGACTCAATCTCCTGACCTCATGATCCGTTCACCTCAGCCTCCCAAAGTGCTGGGATTACAGGTGTGAGCCACCACGCCCAGCCACAAATTAGAACATTTCTAATCCCATTACAGCTCTCTGGGCCCTGCTTTCTGATCCCACGGCCACAGTTGGCCTTGTCTCCTCCAAAACCAATATCCTGAATTCTGTGGTGGCTCCCGTTTTTGATAAGCACAATGATGATAAAATCTGGGGGACTGCTTTAAGAAAAATAATACAAATGTAAAGTCTACATGAGAGCAATTCAAATGCACTTCAATTTGCCACTAAATCTATTCCTAGTAAAACTTCGTCTACCCAGCTGGATAGAGGAATGCCTACAGGCACCCCAACATCATCTGATATGAAAAGAGATATGATAAGGGAGAAATTGCAAATTTTACAAATGTAAAAGTCATGGGAAGACATCACTAGTGTTCCTCCTAGGGCCCAATGCAATTAAGGGGCCCTGAAGCCCTCATTTTCTTTCTTGTTCTTTGCTTCCATTTTAATCTTAATGAGCATGTGGGATTGCCTCCTGATTCTAGCTTCAGTGAATTTTGCTGCATGTCTCTGAAGGAGCATGTAAATTCAGCTCTGGTGTTTGTATCCATAAGTGCAATTTCTGCATATTGATGTTTTTAAACATTCAGTTGTAAATGATAGTACTAAATTGTTTTTCAAAGTGGTTGCACTAATTTATATCTGCTTCCTCTATGAATGAGTATTCCCATCAATACACATCAATACACATCGTGGCAGCATTTAGATATATGATATCTTACAGAAAATTGACTTCTAAAGATATTTGCTTTTCTCTTACAATTGATGAGTTTGAAAATCTCTTAACGTGCCAGATCATTTATTATTCTTGCTTCCTTTTCTGGAAATATTCAATTATATATTTTGTGTATGTTTCTATTTTGCTGTCCTTTATTGTAATTGTAAATATTCTTATATTCCAAATATATATATGGTTAAGTATTATATATATACATTTACAGTCACATGCATTTATACATATGTTTATATATGTCATATATATATATATATATATATATATATATATATATATATATATAGTCAGCCCTCCATATTTGTGGTTCCACATCTGTGGATTCAATCAACCATGCATTGAAAATACCTCCCACAAAAAGTTATACAAAATGATCCAAATGAAAAATAGAGAAATAGAAATATATAGAATAGAAAAATAGAGAGTAGGAACTATTTACACAGCATTTACACTGTATTAGGTATTATAAGTAATCTACAGATGATTAAAAGTATATGGGAGAACGTGGGCAAGTTATACACAAATAATTATACCATTTTATATAAGGGTCTTAAGCATCTATGGATTTTGTTATCTACAGTGTGTCCTAGAACCAATCCCCTGTGGAAACCAAGGGATGACTGTGTGTATATATAATATTTTCCCCAAATTCGGTTGGTCTTTCCACATTACTATCGTGTTTAACAGAAAGCTTTTTAATTTAATTAAGATGAACTTAAATTTTTTATGTTCACTTTTTAAGATGAACAGTCTTTCCCTTTCCCGAGATCATAAAATTATTCTGATTTTCTTCCCAAAGGTTTTAAAGATTTGGCTTCATATATTAATTGTTAAACCATGTGAAATGTATTTTTTATTCTAAGCTTCCTTATTTTTCCAAGTGTTCTCTAAGACACCCTCTGTTATATGAAGTATTCCATATAAGATAGAGTCCCGGCCGGGCACGGTGGCTCACGCCTGTAATCCCAGCACTTTGGGAGGCCAAAGTGGGTGGATCACGAGGTCAAGAGATTGAGACCATTCTGGCCAACATGGTGAAACCCCGTCTCTACTAAAAATACAAAAAAATTAGCTGGGCGTGCTGGCGTGCACCTACTTGGGAGGCTGAGGCAGGAGAATCACTTGAACCCGGGAGGCAGAGGTTGCAGTGAGTCAAGATTGTGCCACTGGACTCCAGCCTGGGCAACAGAGCGAGACTCCATCTCAAAAAAAAAAAAGTTAGAGTCCCATTATATTTCCTCTATTGTGTTTCAGTTGGTCATTTCACGTGATCCTGAATGCTGTCTTAATTGCAGTATCTTCAAATAAAAGGTCTGGAAGAACAAGAAGAACAAGACCCCCAACTCCTGCTTCAATAATACCTTGACTATGCTGGGACTTTGCTCTTACAAATATGTTGAGAACTGTCTTGTTAATTTCTACAAAATTATCCTCATACGATATATATTGACACTTCTTGGAATGTATACATGCACTTGGAAGACTCTTCATATTTAGGATATTGAGGTTTTTCTATCCATTGATATGGTATTTCTTTCCATTTCATATTTTTATAAAGGTCTTACAAAGATTTGCTACCTTATACTTTATTTATATTTTAACATATTTTTATTACGCTTTCTATTTTTGAATATAATTGTAGTTGACTTTTTATGTTATCTTATATGCTGTCACATTGTTGATCTCTCATTATATCCACATTACATAGTGTATTTGGCTGCATTTTTAGGTCATCTAGAAATAACAGTCCCATTTCTTCTTTGACAATAATCATGTTTTGTTGTTTTTTCTTGTCATAGTGTGCTTATCAGAACCTCCATTTCAATATTTCTTTCACAATAAATAACGTAGGTATCTTTGTCTTATTTTTGATTTTAATGGGAATTCATTTAAAGATTCACCATTAAAAATATATTTATTAAGATTTGCCATTGGATTGATAAACTACTATGCCCATGTGTTCAACTTTGTTAATATTACAGTTCAAACCCATCCCGTTACTATTAAGATTTTGTGTGACTTTTCAATATTTGAGAGAGATGACTGATACCCCAAAAGGAGACAGTAGATTAAGTTTTCACTGTATTAACTTTAAAAATTTATGTATTTTGTAGCTATTTAAGTTGACATTTTTCATGTATTTCAGGCAAATTGAAAATTATCCTTTCTATGTTTAACAATGCACTTTGTCTTAACATGTGTTTTCTGGTATTGCTCATTATTATTGTATATATATTGAATTCCTTCAATTTTCTTTCAGTAAAATGTATGAAAATTTATTTTGAGTGTGTCTCTTTTAAATAGCAAAAGCTGAATTTTCTTGTTTGTTATTATTTTATCTAATAGGCCTCTGACTCTTACCTAGCAAATTTATCTATTTACATTTATTTAATTTCTGCTGTATTTATATTCAACTCTACCTTCTTATCTTTGGTTCTCTCATTTTCTTCTTTTTCTGTATTTCTTTATTTTCTATTTTCAGGTTTTTTGTAATTTCTTCTTTTTCATTTTATTTATCTTTACTGGTCAACTATGTATCTCTGATGTTTTACTAGGCATACCTATTATAATTCGTGAAGTATCTTAACAATATGAGCACTTCAGAATGTACTTTACATCCACTCACCTCATTCTGAATTGTAAGCTATTGTTTTCAGCACGCTGTGTCTGTTTTTTCTTAACCTAAGACACTGGACACAGTCAACAGTGGTGCATTAGTTTATAAAGCTAACGCTTGTTAGAGCCATCTGCATTTACATGCCCTCTACTCTCCAGCCGCCCTTCTAGAATCATGTTTATTTATCTTCCTGAAGTGTGTCCTTCAGAAATTCTACTAGCGAAAGTCTGTTGGTAAAATGCTCTTTCAGACTCTCTTTGTGCGAACAAGTCTTTATTTTTACTTTGTTCTGGAAAGATAGTTTTATGAGGATCATAAAGATAGCTCAACAGTTATTTTTCTTTCCTACATAATTTTGAAAATAATACTGCACTATTTTCTGGTTTCCACTGTTGTTGAGAAATCTGCTGTCAACTAAATTGCCATTCTTTGGAAATGATCTCTGCTTGCCCTAGCTGATTTTAAGATTGCCTGTTGCTTCTTGGTGCTCCGTAGTTTCACAATAGTTTGCCTAGAATTGGATTGCCTTTAACTACTATATTAGTCAGGGTTCTTCTGAGAAACAGAACCAATGAGGGGTGTGTGTGTTTGTGTGTGTAGAGAGATAAATTTATTTTAAGGGACTGCTTTATGTGATTGTGGAGGCTTGAGAAATCCAAAATCTGAAGGGATGGGCCAGCAGGCTGGAGCCCCAGGAAGTGGCTGCAGTTTAAGCCCAAAGAGCAGCAGCTGGCAGAATCCCTTCTTGCTTGGTGAGGTCACCCTTTTGTTTTAAGGCCTTCAACTGATTGGACGAGGCCCACCCAGATTAGGGAGGTCCATGTGCTTTACCGAAAGCACTGATCTGTTAATCTCATCTAAAAACCTTCACAGAAAAATCTAGAATCATGTTTGACCACCTATCTGGGTACCACGTCCTAGCCAAGTGGACACATAAAATTAACCAATGCAATTATCCTACCTTGGATACATTGTTCTTTCTGAATTTGTAAATTCATATGCTGTAAATTTTTATCTCCAGAAAATTATCATTAATTATGTATTCAAATGTTGCCTCTCCTCCATCCTTTCAAGTAGCACATGGTTCAGACACCTTGATGGGTGAGCATGTGCTAGACGTCTTCGGTCTGTCTCTGCAGCCCCTCTGCATTCCCTGTGCTGAATTTGTAGCTGCCACCTCACATTTGTCTTCCACTCACAAAACCTCTCCAGCTCTAAAGTCCTGCTTAACAGTGAACTGATGTTTCTGTTTAAATATTTATAATATCTAGTAGAGTCACTTGATTTATAATTTTTGCAGTCATGTGAGTCTCTTGCTTATTTCTTTAATGTTTAATATATGTGATTAATATGGTTTGGATTTGTGTCTCCACTAAAATCTCATGTTGAATTGTAATCCTCAATGTTGGAAGAGAACTTGGTGAGAGGTGATCAGATCATGAGGGCAGATTTCCCCTTGCTGTTCTCATGACAGTGAGATTTCATGAGATCTGGTTTATTAAAAGTGTGTAGCACCTCCCCCTTCTTGCTCTTCCTCCCACTCTAGCTACGTAAGACCTGCCTGCTTCCCCTTTGGCTTCCAACATGATTGTTTAAGTTTTCTGAGGTCTCCCTAGCCATGCTTCCTGTATACCCTGTGGTACTATGAGCCAATTAAACCCCTTTTCTTGATAAATTACCCAGTTTCAGGTATTTCTTTACAGCAATATGAGAACAGACTAATACAGAAAATTGGTACCACGAATACTGCTAAGGTATTGCTATAAAGATACCTGAAAATGTGAAAGTGACTTTGGAACTGGGTAATGGCAGAGATCAGAACAGTTTGGAGGGCTCAGCAGAAAATAGGAAAATAAGTGAATGTTTGAAACTTCCTAGAGACTTGCTAAGTTGTGACCAAAATGCTGATAGTGAATGAAGTCCAGGCTGAGGTGGTCTCAGATGGAAATGAGGGACTTATTAGAAACAGTAGCAAAGGTCATCACTTTTGTTACACTTATAGCAAAGAGGTTGGAGGCATTGTGCCCCTGCTCTAGGGATCTGTGCAACATTGAACTTGAGAGTTATGATATGGGGTATCTGGTGGAAGAAATTTCTGAGCAGCAAAGCATTCAAGATGGGGCCTGGCTGCTTCTAGCAACCTGTGCTCATATTTGTTTGCAAAAAAATGATGTAAAAGTAGAACTTATATAGAAGGAAAGCAGAGTGTTAAAGTTTGGAAAATTTGCAGCCTATCCATGTGGTAGAAAAGAAAAATCCATTTTCAGGGAAGGAATTCCAGCCAGTTGCAGAAATTTACATAAGTAAAGAGGAGCCAAATGTTAATAGCCCAAACAACAAGGAAAATGCCTTGAAGACATTTCAGGGACCTTCTTAGCAGTCCATCCCATCACAGACCTAGAGGTCTTGGAGGGAAGAATGATTTCCTGGGCCAGGCCCGGGGCCCTGCTGCCCTGTGCAATCTTGGGACACTGCTCCCTGCCTCCCAGCCACTCCAGCTCCCACCATGGTATAAGGGTCCCAGATATGTCTCAGGCCTCTGCTCCAGGGAGTGCAAGTTGTAATCCTTGGTGACTTCCATGTGGTGTTAAGCCTGCAGGTGCCCAGAGGGCAAGAGTCAAGGTTTGGGAGCCTCCGCCTAGATTTCAGAGGATGTATGGAAATTCCTGGATGTCCAGGCAGAAGTCTGCTGCAGGGGAGAAGCCTTCATGGAGAACCTCTACTAGGGCAGTGCAGAGGGGAAATGTGCGGTTGGAGCTCCCACACAGAGTCTCTACTGGGATGCTGACTACTGGAACTGTGAGAAGAAGGCTACCATCCTCCAGACCCCAGAATGATAGATCTACTGACAGTTTGCACCATGTTCCTGGAAGACCCACAGGCACTCAACGCCAGTCTTTGAGAGCAGTAATAGGAGCTGAGCCTTTGAGAGCCACAGCAGTGGGGCTGCCCAAGGCCTTAAGAGCCCACCCCTTGCATCAGAGTGGCCTGGATGTGAGACATGGAGTCAAAAGAGATTATTTTGGAGCTTTAAGATTTACTGACTGCCCTTTTGGGTTTCAGACTTGCATGGGGCCTGCAGCCCTTTTGTTTGAGCTGAATTCTCCCATTTGGAATGGGTGTATTTACCCAATGCCTGTATACCCATTGTATCTTGGAAGTAACTAACTTTTTAAAATTATTTTACAGGCTTATAGGTGGAAGGGACTTGCTTTGTCTTAGATGAGACTTTGAACTATGGACTTTTGAGTTAATGCTGACATGAGTTAAAACTTGGGGGACTGTTGAGGAGGAATGATTGTATTCTGCAATGTGAGAAGGACATGAGATTTGGCAGGGGTCAAAGGTGGAATGATATGTTTTGGATTTGTGTCTCTGCCCAAATCTCATGTTGAATTGTAATCCCCAATGTCAGAAGAAGGGCCTGATGGGAGGTGATTGAATCGTGGGGGCAGATTTTCTCTTGCTATTCTTATAATAGTGAGTGAGTTCTCATAAGATCTGGTTGTTTAAAACTGTGTAGCACCTCCTGCTTCTTGCTCTTCCTCCTGCTCTGGCCATGTGAAGGCACACCTGCTTCCTCTTCACTTTCTACCATGATTGTAAGTTTCCTGAGGCCTCCCCAGCCATGCTTCCTGTACAGCCTATGGAAATATGAGCCAATTAAACCTCTTTTCTTTATGAATTTCCCAGTTTCTGGTACTTCTTTATAGCAGTGTGAGAAAGGGCTAAGATAGTCATCATAGTTTTTTTATATTCAATGTCTGAAAATCTATACGTTTTAGTTGCCTGAGTCTATTGTTTTTATTTTTTGCTCACTCATCTATGTAGTATTTTCCCTTATGTGTTTGATAAAATGTGTTGATGTTCCCATATTTGGTTGAACTTAAATTACGGATAACTTGGGGCCTAAATTAAATGTGTTTTCAGTTACTTGTGCTGTGAGCTGGGATCAACTTAGCCATGTTCCTGAACTCCTGGATTAATGTACAATTCTCCAATTCTGACCCCTTCTTTCTACTGCTGACCTTGGCTTAGTCTCCTGATGGACTGGGGGCCCATAGAAGTATTAGGACCAAGGGTGGCCCCCACAATCCTTGAGTGCTTGTAACTCAACACTCCACATTCAGTTCATCTCCATTCAACTCGCTGAAATTCTACAAGCCAAGCAATAACTATTTTATATTTTTTGTAGGAAATAGGGTTTTGACAGCCCTTCCTAACAGATATTCTAAAACACTACCAGAAGTAGAAAGCACCTTTCCTTATATTTGTTTGAGAAAAAAAAATTGGATATACATGGAAAAACTCTTTTTTTAATGCTTACTTCTTTCCTCTTTTGAATAACTATATATTCTAGGTTTCCTTAATTTTTCCTTCAGCAAGAATAAATGCCTTTTGCATCTGAGTTTTTTGAAAAAGAAAAACTTCATGAACTGAGAGTGTATAAATAGCTTTTGAAAATATTTTAAGTTGTTTTATATGTGTACACACACACACATATATATAATAAAAATAAAATGTCCAGACTGAATCACAAAGTTGCTAATTCCCATCAATTTTTTGAACTTGCTGTTTTGCCATCGTGTTGATGATGCTAAAGAAATACTATTCTCTATCTGTCCAGCCTTACTGGTGAAGGCATATGACATGAAATGATGCAAGAATGTGAAACTGGAATTCTCACACCTCACCCTGCTGGTGGTCAGTTGATACAACCTGTTTGAAAAACTGCCGAGTAGGATCTGCTAAAGGTAAGGACATACACGTATCATATCACCCTGAAACTGCACTCCTGAGCAGACACCCAGAAGAAATGGATACTACATCCCCTAAAAGACATGTGCACAAATGAATCATAATGGTTTTATATGTAATAGGCCCCAATCAGAAAACTCCAATGCCCACATCATTAGATTAGATAGCAACATTGTGTTATGAGCATACAGTGGAATACTGGATAGCAAGGAAAAATAAAAAAGTCTACTGCTGCATATAATGTCATAATATTGAGCAAACAAAGTCAGACACAAGAATATGACTCTCATTCATGTGAAATTCAAAAACAGGCAAAACGAATCTATGGTTATAGAGGTCAAAATAGAGATTAGGTCAGGTGCCATGGCTCATGCCTGTAATTCCAGCATTTTAGGGGGCTGAGGAGGGAGGATTGCTTGAGCCCAGGAGTTCAAGACCAGCCTGGGCAACATGGTGAAACTCCATCTTTACAAAAAGGATACAAAAATTATCTAGGCATGGTAGCGCACACCTATAGCCCCAGCTACTGGGAAGGCTGAGTTGGGAGGATCACTTGAGTCCAGGAAGTTGAGGCTGCAGTGAGCCCAGATCCCATCACTGCACTCTAGCCTGGGAAACAGTGGGAGACCCTGTCTCAAACAAGCAAACAAACAAACAAAAAAACTGATTATTTTTGGGGGGAATACTTCCAGATTCTAGAGACATGCTATCCTCGACAAAGATGCTGTAAAGTTTAAGTTTTCACTTCAGAGTCACCTACTTCACTGCAGGCACCTTGTACATCAATTAAATGTGCAAGGTCATTTGCTATCTCTGCCTGGGAGGCAATCTTTCCTCTCGGATTGCAGACTCAATACTTTATTTATTTATTTTTATTATTATAGCTGCCTTTTCTTTTGTGTGACTATTATTTACAAGTTTCTCATCTGTTCTATTACGCCTTTTGTAATTTTTGTTTTGAGACTTTTTTCCTATACCCTTCTTGATTCATTCAGTTAGTTACAATGACCAGAGTCTTTTTGATTAGTTTTTTTTTTTTTTTTTTTGAAATTTTTAAGTTAGAAAAGCAGGGATTTACTATCAGAAATATTTTGTTCTTTATAACTCCTTATTCATTTTTGGTAAAGGTTTCTTACAAAGGAAAACTAGTGAGTCCCACATTAGACTTGCAGGGGCAGAGCTAAAGCAGAAGCCACAGGTGAGCACTTTAAATCTTCTCAAAGGATCAGGTCAGCAATCCAAGAACCCAGAACACTGAGTGAAGGCACCATCTCCCAAGGCGAGGAAAAGCATTTTTGCACATGCGCACAATCAGGGAGGCAGCCCTCTATGCACCCTTTGAAGGAAAGCTGCACACTAACCAATTAACAAGCCAGTCAGGACAGAATTTGCAGAAGATGGGAAGAAGCAGCAATGGATTCAGCAACAGGTGAAAGATCAATGGATTCTGTACTTCCAAACCTAAACGCATGATATTAATGTGAGTGGGATTTTTCCTTCATTATAAATGTTTAGTAAGGATTCTTGAGACAAAAATGGCATAGTATAAATAATGAACTTAGAATCTTAAACTACGTGAACCATACTCAGGTGCTGGGAAAGGATATGTGGCAACTAGAAACAAAAGCTCCCTGCAAGCTTCAGCTTTTAGGAGGCAGAAGAAAAAGAAATGAGAAATGTGACTTCTAGGAAAGCAGTAGTTAGTAATTTAGCTTCAAATAATAACACGGAAAAACTGTCAAATATATAAGGTAGCTCAGGTAATTACTCCAGCTGTCAGGACAGAGAGAAAACATTACACACCACCTACCCTACCTCTAGAGGAAGAGGTTGCTAATGCAGCAGGGGTCAGAGGTATCCACTTGTAAAGACAGAAACCATTCCTCTGGGTTTCTTGTGATTACAAGGTTGCTCTGAACATGACAAACTTTGCTTTTTGCTCCATCAGGCCTGGCCCTGGGAGGATGAAAGTGAAGCTGGTGAGTCTGAAAATGCAGCCAACAAAGCAACTTAAATCCTTTGAGTCTAGAAAGTTTCCAACTCACCTCTTTCAAGAAAGAAATTGCACCATCTGTTTTATTCTCCAGTCCATAGACACTATCAATGCTAGTATTACCACTTTGCTAGGTACCATAAAACACACTCTTGAGTGCAAAGAATAACCACAATGCTTTATTTATTTTATTATTATTATACTTTAAGTTTTAGGGTACATGTGCACAATGTGCAGGTTAGTTACATATGTATACATGTGCCATGTTGGTGTGCTGCACCCATTAACTTGTCATTTAGCATTAGGTATATCTCCTAATGCTATCCCTCTCCCCTTCCCCCACCCCACTACAGTCCCCAGAGTTTGATGTTCCCCTTCCTGTGTCCATGTGTTCTCATTGTTCAATTCCCACCTATGAGTGAGAATATGTGGTGTTTGCTTTTTGTCCTTGCGATGGTTTGCTGAGAATGATGATTTCCAATTTCATCCATGTCCCTATAAAGGACATGAACTCATCATTTTTTATGGCTGCATAGTATTCCATGGTGCATATGTGCCACATTTTCTTAATCCAGTCTATCATTGTTGGACATTTGGGTTGGTTCCAAGTCTTCGCTATTGTGAATAGTGCCACAATAAACATACGTGTGCATGTGTCTTTATAGCAGCATGATTTATAATCCTTTGGGTATATACCCAGTAATGGGATGGCTGGGTCAAATGGTATTTCTAGTTCTAGATCCCTGAGGAATCGCCACACTGACTTCCACAATGGTTGAACTAGTTTACAGTCCCATCAACAGTGTAAAAGTGTTCCTATTTCTCCACATCCTCTCCAGAACCTGTTGTTTCCTGACTTTTCAATGTTTGCCATTCTAACTGGTGTGAGATGGTATCTCAATGTGGTTTTGATTTGCATTTCTCTGATGGCCAGTGATGATGAGCATTTTTTCATGTGTTTTTTGGCTGCATAAATGTCTTCTTTTGAGAAGTGTCTGTTCATGTCCTTTGCCCACTTTTTGATGGGGTTGTTTGTTTTTTTCTTGTAAATTTGTTTGAGTTCATTGTAGATTCTGGATATTAGCCTTTTGTCAGATGAGTAGGTTGCAAAAATTTTCTCCCATTCTGTAGGTTGCCTGTTCACTCTGATGGTAGTTTCTTTTGCTGTGCAGAAGCTCTTTAGTTTAATTAGATCCCATTTGTCAATTTTGGCTTTTGTTGCCATTGCTTTTGGTGTTTTAGACATGAAGTCCTTGCCCATGCCTATGTCCTGAATGGTAATGCCTAGGTTTTCTTCTAGGGTTTTTATGGTTTTAGGTCTAATGTTTAAGTCTTTAATCCATCTTGAATTAATTTTTGTATAAGGTGTAAGGAAGGGATCCAGTTTCAGCTTTCTACATATGGCTAGCCAGTTTTCCCAGCACCATTTATTAAATAGGGAATCCTTTCCCCATTGCTTGTTTTTCTCAGGTTTGTCAAAGATCAGATAGTTGTAGATACACGGCATTATTTCTGAGGGCTCTGTTCTGTTCCATTGATCTATATCTCTGTTTTGGTACCAGTACCATGCTGTTTTGGTTACTGTAGCCTTGTAGTATAGTTTGAAGTCAGGTAGCGTGATGCCTCCAGCTTTGTTCTTTTGGCTTAGGACTGACTTGGCGATGCAGGCTCTTTTTTGGTTCCATATGAACTTTAAAGTAGTTTTTTCCAATTCTGTGAAGAAAGTCATTGGTAGCTTCATGGGGATGGCACTGAATCTATAAATTACCTTGGGCAGTATGGTCATTTTCACGATATTGATTCTTCCTACCCATGAGCATGGAATGTTCTTCCATTTGTTTGTATCCTCTTTTATTTCATTGAGTAGTGGTTTGTAGTTCTCCTTGAAGAGGTCCTTCACATCCCTTGTAAGTTGGATTCCTAGGTATTTTATTCTCTTTGAAGCAATTGTGAATGGGAGTTCACTCATGATTTGGCTCCCTGTTTGTCTGTTATTGGTGTATAAGAATGCTTGTGATTTTTGCACATTGATTTTGTATCCTGAGACTTTGCTGAAGTTGCTTATCAGCTTAAGGAGATTTTGGGCTAACTAAAATCAGAGCAGAACTGAAGGAAATAGAGACACAAAAAACCCTTCAAAAAATTAATTAATCCAGGAGCTGGTTTTTTGAAAGGATCAACAAAATTGATAGACCGCTAGCAAGACTAATAAAGAAGAAAAGAGAGAAGAATCAAATAGATGCAATAAAAAATGATAAAAGGGATATCACCACCGATCCCACAGAAATGCAAACTACCATCAAAGAATACTACAAACACCTCTATGCAAATAAACTAGAAAATCTAGAAGAAATGGATAAATTCCTCGACACATACACCCTCCCAAGACTAAACCAGGAAGAAGTTGAATCTCTGAATAGACCAATAACAGGATCTGAAATTGTGGCAATAATCAATAGCTTACCAACCAAAAAGAGTCCAGGACCAGATGGATTCAAAGCTGAATTCTACCAGAGGTACAAGGAGGAGCTGGTACCATTCCTTCTGAAACTATTCCAGTCAATACAAAAAGAGGGAATCCTCCCTAACTCATTTTATGAGGCCAGCATCATCCTGATACCAAAGCCTGGCAGAGACACAACAAAAAAAGAGAATTTTAGACCAATATCCTTGATGAACATTGATGCAAAAATCCTCAATAAAATACTGGCAAACTGAATCCAGCAGCACATCAAAAAGCTTATCCACCATGATCAAGTGGGCTTCATCCCTGGGATGCAAGCCTGGTTCAACATACGCAAATCAATGAACATAATCCATCACATAAATATAACCAATGACAAAAACCACATGATTATCTCAATAGATGCAGAAAAGGCCTTTGACAAAATTCAACAACCCTTCATGCTAAAAACTCTCAATAAATTAGGTATTGATGGGACATATCTCAAAATAATAAGAGCTATCTATGACAAACCCACAGCCAATATCATACTGAATGGGCAAAAACTGGAAGCATTCCCTTTGAAAACTGGCACAAGACAGAGATGTCCTCTCTCACCACTCCTATTCAACATAGTGTTGGAAGTTCTGGCCAGGGCAATCAGGCAGGAGAAGGAAATAAAGGGTATTCAATTAGGAAAAGAGGAAGTCAAATTGTCCCTGTTTGAAGATGACAGGATTGTATATCTAGAAAACCCCATTGTCACAATGCTTTAAATCGTCTCTACAAGAGAGAGCCCAATGGTCAACTCACTGCACAGCAAATTGGCTTTTACATGATTAAAGTACCATCCAGAAAACCAACTAGCATGCCTCAAAATTCTTACAGGATTTTGAGTCTTTTAAAAAATTTTCATCTATGTATTTTTCCCTTGATATCATGCCAGAAGTGTTTATCATATAATTAAAAATATTTTAAAGAACAACAACAAAATGATAAGTGTTTATTGTCCCAAATTCCAACAATACAGTAGTCTGGCTAATATAAAAATTATCTCATATTTAACAACAGATGCAATCACTGCTAATCTTTTATGACAAATTAATATAAAAGAAATTATTTAAATGTTGTTTTCATTCAGCAGTGTGCCAATAACCTTTTATCACCTCAAGAAGTGCATGTCAACTTTAAGGGCTATGTGGGTATGCTTAGTTTCCTTTTCAAAAAAAATAAATTTAAAGTGCTGGTCTACTGGAAATAATTATCTCTTTTTTGTCAGAAAATATATTATTTTTTTCTTTTGAAGCACGTTTGCTGGGTATTATAGAATTTTAAACAGGAATTAATTTCTTTTTCATACTTCAAAGGTGTCATTTCATTTCCTCTAGCTTCTCTTGTTTTTGTTGAGAAAGAAGTTGTCAATTTTACTATCATTTTCTTTTTAACTTCTGGTTCCTTTTAAAGTTTTTTTTTTTTAATTTTTATTTTTAAGTTCCAGAGTACATCTGCAGGATGTGCAGGTTTGTTACATTGGTAAACGTGTGCCATGGTGGTTTGCTGCACCTATCAACCCATCACCTAGGTATTAAGCCCAGCATCCATTAGCTATTTTTTCTTGATGCTCTCCCTCCCACCATGGCCCCCACCCCTTGCCGGGCCCCAGTGTGTGCTGTTCCCCTCCATGTGTTCTCATAGTTCAGTTCCCACTTATAAGTGAGAATATGTGGTGTTTGCTTTTCTGTTCCTGCCTTATTTTGCTGAGGATAATGGCTTCCAGCTTCATCCATGTCCCTGCAAAGGACATAGTCTTGCTCCTTTTTATGGCTGCATAGTATTCCATGGTGTATCTCTACCACATTTCCTTTATCAAGTCTATCATTGATGGGCATTTGGGTTGATCTATGTGTTTACAATTGTGAATAGTGCTGCAATTAATATACACATGCATGTATTATTGTAATAGAATAATTTGCATTCCTTTGGGTATATACCCAGTAATAGGATTGCTAAGTCAAATGGTATTTCTGGTTCTAGACCTTTGAGGAATCACCACACCGTCTTCCACAATGGTTGAATGAATTTACATTCCCACCAACAGTGAAAAAGTGTTCCTATTTCTCTGCAACCTCGACATCATCTGACTTTTTAATGATCACCATTCTGACTGGCCTGAGATGGTATCTCATTGTGGTTTTGATTTGCATTTCTCTGGGGATCAGTGATGATGAGCCTTTCTTCATCTGCTTGTTGGCCACATGAATGTCTTCTTTTGAGAAGTATCTGTTCGTGTCCTTTGCCCACATTTAATGTTTTTTTTTTTCTTGTAAATTTGTTTTAGTTCCTTGTAGATTCTGGATATTAGACCTTTGTCAGACAGATAGATTGCAAAAATTGTCTCCCACTTTGTAACTTGCCTGTTCACTCTGATGATAGTTGTTTTTGCTGTGCAGAAGCTCTTTAATTAGATCCCATTTGTCAACTTTTGTTTAAGTTTTTATTTAAAATAAAAACAAACTTTATTTTAGGTTCAGGGGTACATGTGCAGGTTTGTTATATAGGTAAACTTGTGTTATGGGGGCTTGTTATACAGGTTATTTCTTTACCCAGGTATTAATCCTAATACTCAATAGTTATTTTTTCTGATCCTCTCCCTCCTCCCACCCTTCACCCTCAGGTAGGTCTCAATA
This sequence comes from Homo sapiens, assembly GCF_000001405.40. Classification (NCBI taxonomy): domain Eukaryota; kingdom Metazoa; phylum Chordata; class Mammalia; order Primates; family Hominidae; genus Homo; species Homo sapiens. The sequence continues at coordinate 1,176,283 of NC_000002.12, read as the reverse complement.
TTGAGTCTTGATAGCCTTCTAAAACGAACATATTAAAGCTATTTTTAAACTCTGCAATTCAGATTCCCTGTAATGAGTTTAAATAACCTGATGATGCTTTATTCTGGAGCTGAGCTAACCATATGAATAACTACAAAGAATTTTAAGGTTAGCACTTCTTTTTCTCTTTCTCTTGCTGATAAGGAGGATGAGGATGTCTGAAGATGACATATTCCAAGCATTAGGCTAGTCACTCTACCCATGTCCCCTCCATAATTCCACAATTACTCCTTGACATGAGGATCACATCCACCAAAGCCTGAAGAACCAGGAGAGCTGGGAGAACCAGGAGAACTGGGAGAACCAGGAGAACCAGGCAGCCTCCCTTCAACGATACTGTCGTGTTACTTTTCCACTGCACTTACCAGAGCCACAAAGACTGTCTGACCTTTCCTGAAATGGCACCGAATCATGCCCCATGCTCTGTGTCTCCTTCCAGGAAGAGTTTAGAGTCCACTCAACAAGCTACAGCCACACAATGGGAGAAAAACCCTGAGGATAACTGCACAGAAAGGGTAGGAGGACAGTTTCTCCCTGCTGAACTGTGCTGGCTTGGGGGACAGGGTGTTGCAGACAAATGGAATTGTACAATCCTCTTGTAAAATTAATTTTAAAAAGACTCTGTAGGAAAATATTAAATAATATGGAAAGAAATGGAGCAGCATTAATTCAAAGATAGCACAAATAAATATGCTTTCCATAAGCAGGAAAGGTGAGTCAGAAAGGTTTGATTCTCCCCAGTAAATCTGGCAATTACAGTCAAAATCCCAACACTGTTTTTTGTAGAACTGGATCAAGAGCTATTGAAATTCACAAGAAAAAACAAAGAGAGAGGATGGAAAAAATAGAGTGAGTTAGGAGGTGGCAAGAGGGCAAGGCCTACAGATGACACAAATTGATTATAAATACCTAGTAATTACATAGTGTGATATTGCCATTGATATTGACCAATAGAATACAACAGAGGTCTCAGCAGCACACGCCTGCGCTCATGGTGCTGGTTACTTGTGAGCCGTGGCAGTGCAGATTACCCAGAAATAGTGTTGAGACAACTGGTTACCCATAAAAATGCACCTGGAACTCTACCTTTCACAGCTTTAATAAAAGCAGATCTCATGGGATTTAGAGATCTAATGTGAAAAGCAAACGTTAACAATATTTAGAGGAAAATATAAGGAAGTGTCTTTATGAACTTAAGATAAGAAAGATTTCTTGAACAAAATCCTAAAACCACAAAACCACAGAAGATAGCACAAACAAAATGAAAAAGCCAAGTTATAAGCTGTAGGAAGAGATTTTTAACCCATTACCACCAAAATATTATTACCAAGTGTATATTAAACATTTCAATGGATTTGTAAGAAAAAAGATCACCTTAACAGTAAATGTGCCAAAGAGATAAACAGCATTTCACAGAAGAGGAAAAACCAAAGGAAAATACAAATAGAAACAGTAAACAAAACTCATTAGTAATGATGGAAATGAAATAGAGCCCCAGAGAGAGAACCATTTTACAGCTACTGTACTTCAAATATTAAGTCAAAAATTACCTAGCACTGGAGAGGCTGTGGCTCAACTGGAATTTCCCAGAGCTGTGTGAATATAAACTGCACAGCCACTTTTGTAGAAAACTTGCTGTTATTTTGAAAATAGAACATCCTGGTATAATCTAGCACTCAGAAATTCTACCTTATGGAATAGCCAAGAGACATTTATAAGTATCTTTATGGCTGCACCTCTTTTAATGATGATAAACTAGAAAAACAAACATAAAACAAAGGCAAAGTGTCCACAGGCAACTGACAATGGATAAACTGTAGTGAAATATCATACAGCAAAAAACCTCACAGAAACAAACAGTAAGTAAACATGCAAATCTCAGAAGACTATGGAAGAATAATATTTTATAAGCCTTGCAATAAAATGAAATTTTACATATATATATATATATATATGGATAAAACTTTTTTTCAATCAAGAAAATGACAAACACAAAATTCAGGATGCCTTATATCTCTGGGCAGGCCAGAAAATGGAGTATGGAAGACTGCACAGATGGAAAGCTAGGGACAATATTCTAATTATTGCTTAGAACTGCAATTTCATGGGCATTTGTTTTATTATTTTGCTTCATAACTGACACAGAGTCTAAATGCAATTTTTAATTTCAGGAGCTCAATTAAATGGTTAGAAATGGAGTAGTCAGACATCTTAAACATAGATTGTACAAACATGAATATTTTTCTCTAGGTTCTCCCTGTGTATGAAGTATCCAGTCATTTTGATGATTTGACTGGAATGATTTATAATAAAACATTTTTTCAAACTGCTTACAGGATTCTACATTTCTCGTGCACTAATGCCTCTGTGGATGATGAATTCCCCAAGGGGCGCAGCTCACAGGTCACCCTGCGGGAGTTGGAGCCCAGGCTTCTGAGAGAGGAGGGCGTGAGCCCTGTGTCCCAGGGAGCTGCAGGTTCTCTCAGAGCCCAGGCTTCTGAGGAAGGAGAGTGTGAGCCCCATGCCCCAGGGAGCTACAGGTTCTCTCAGAGCCCAGGCTTCTGAGGGAGGAGGGCGGGAGCCCCATGTCCCAGGGAGCTGCAGGTTCTCCTTTTTGCTCAAGTCTGGTTTTCTTGGGAGGGTGGATATTTAGAATGTGATTAAAACTCACTGCATTATACAGTGTTCATACCTCCTTAGGTGTTTTCTGTTAAGAAATTCATGGGAGTCTCACAGAAGTTTCCTAAAAATAACCTGCAGTCCTTCCTACAGTCACGGTGATATGTAAGTCAGAGGCAGGACTCAAAGAATTCTTGCCTGCTCACTGAGATGCTGTGAATTATGAACTTAAAATATCCTATAATGCAATCAGGATGTGTCCCACGTGGGAGTAAATGTCAACAGAACAGCACCTTCAATCTGTGTTCTAAGTATTTCCTCTGAAACTAACACAATTATCTTCACTGGGCAGTACAGCATCTTTTTAATTCTGTCTAGAGATTATCTCTGGGCTACTGATATTTCTGTTAAAATAAAATTTAACAAAAATCTATATGCTTACTGTGGTACTGGAGTTTCCGTTCAGATGCAAACCGCTGTCAAAGAGGGGAGAGGAGGCCCCACTGCTGTGGTCGCTGGATGGCCCTGGGGACCCTGCAGCAAAACAAGAGAAGTCCCTTCCAATTGGTGCCACTGACAAAGCACACTGTGACCATGCAGTGACTTCAGTTCTACCTGTGCATGGGAAGTTACCAGCACCAAAATGCCTGGTGTCCAGTTATGGGCTGGGTCATCCCCAATGGCCTCTCACTTTCCTGCTGTGATATGGTCTCCTCACCAAGATCTGACCTCAGGTTGAAGGGAGGGACCACTGCCGGCTCCTGTGAGGGCTCCCCAGGGTGGAGGGACAGCATCAGGAAGGTGTGCCCCCAGCAGCTCAGGCCCTCCCTGTCAACATGACCCCCTGGAATGGTCAGCACAAGGCGCCTTCTGTGATTGCAGTGTTCTCTTTTGAAAGGAGATGATCATACCAGGCCACTCAAAAGGTTTTTTCCAGAGACAATATTGAAAAGCTCACACTCAAAGCACTTAGCACATTACAGGTAAAACAGGTGCTCATAAAATAATTTCCCTGGAAATACAGGCTCATGCAACCAGAGCTTACACCTGCTAAACAGAAACAAGCCAGTTCATAGATCTTCATGCTCCATGGATTACCCAGGGGACATAGAGCACTTTCATGCCGTTTCCAAGGTCCTGGGAACAGCTCAGGGAGAAAGGCTGTATTTGTTCCTTTATTGTCCCTTCCCACCAATATCTTCAGGCTGGACTATAAGAGTGGGCAGCTCCCATGTGGCTTAGTGTTTTAGCCCAGCATTTTTGTGGTATTGCCACGTAAAGACAGATCTGTGAACACAGCAGCCTGACTATGCCAGATTCCCAGCCAGGTGGAACAGAGACCTCCCAACACTGAGAAAGGAGCCTTTGATGCATCCCTGAGTGGAGAGCAGGCCCTGTTGTTAGATCACCTGAGTGCCTGGAAAGAGGAAAGAAGCACTGAGAACAGCACTAGCAGGAGGACCTGTCACCAGCCAGCCATCAATCATCACAACCACATGGTGCTGTTGCAGAATGGAGGCTTGAACTTGCACACTGGCTTCTTGCAGGAAAGACCCCTGTGAAGCTGAAGAAAGCCTGGTGGACACAACTCCATGCATTTGTATTTGGGATGCCCTGTTGTGCCGTCTATTTCCTGGGATTAAAGTGAAGAACAATCGGCACCACATATGCAAAGTCATAATGTGACCACCAGCCTCGCTTGGTGCAGACAGGAATGCGATATGGCTTGGAGGCTCAAGACCCTCTAACCTCCAATCTGCCTCTGCAAATGTGATGTGCAACGTTCAGCGAGTTACCATGGCTCGCTGTTACCCTTTGTCCAGCTGTATAATATCTACAAAGACTCATATTTTTAGAAAACACTTCATACCATATTCCTTTGTGAAAATTAAGATATTGAGAAACTTGGAGAACTCTGGGGGAAATAAGAATTGCTTAACTTTTAAAGGGTAGTTGTCAATTTTACTAGATGAAGAACTTTTCTTTTTCATTGACCACTGTTTACTGTCTGGTGAAGACTCTGCTGTGGACCAGCCACTGCTCCACACAGCACCCAGAGCGTTTCACAGGGTTGTTGAGACAGCACCTGAATCTGCCCTTTAGCGTTCAGAAGCACATTTCACTGTTATCTATTTGAAATTCTTTCCCAATGCCTGTTATTTTATACCCGTAATCACCTTATCAGTAATTGGAGAGGAAAATCAAAATATTTTTAATGACTGCAGTCTTCCAAAATCCCAAAGTTCATGCTATAGACAAAGGAGACACATGACTAATGGCAGCAGATCCAAGCCACCATTGACTGAATGAGCTAACAGGTAAATAGTCAATAAATTTACATTTGACAGTCACGCTTCCACTCTAAATTTCTATAAATTTATTTCTGATGAATAGGTATCTTGTCATCCATATCCCAGAACAGAAATGTGAATAGTTATATCTTTCTTCTATCACAAATAAAAGTCCATTATTTTTTAAAACCCAATATCAAGAATTCTTAATGAGAAAAATAGACTTAGTTTATTTTTATTAGGTGTCAAAAATAAACAATCATATTAGAAAACATGTAGTATATGATCAATGTTTATTAAAACACCTAATCTTAAAAAAAATTAACCCTAACCTATCAAAACTGCTTAGATTACCCTCAGGCAATGCTGGTTGGAATGTAAAATGGTGCGGCTGCTGTGGAAAATAATTTGGCAGCCACTCAAAAAGTTGAGCCTAGAGTCACCAGAGGACCCAGCAATTCCAGTAGTCGGCATCCACTCGGTGGGAAGGAAAACATCTCCCAAGAAAAACGCATTCACGGATGCTCATGGTGGTATAATTCACAATATCCCCCAAACAGAAGCAAGACAAATGCCCATCAGCTGATGAATGGATAAACAAAACCCATACAAAGGGTATGTACATGGGTCCGTATACACAGATATATTCCCTAGGACGGATGCTGTTCAGCTAAGAGAATGCAGCACCGATGCCCGCGACATTGGGGGCGGACTCTGAAACTACACTGGGGGAAGATGCCAGACACAAAGGCATCTTTGTGCGGGATTCCATTACAGAAAACGTCCGGCGCAGACGGAGATCCTCATTCCAGGTCGGATGCCACGGGGTTTGAGCCACCAGCAGATGTTGACTTCAGGGGAGCCTGGGCCTGGCCTTCAAGGCCCTTCCTGATTACCCACAAAGAGACAGGAAGGAAATTCCCGGCTGCCGAGGGCTGGGGTGGGGAGAGTCCGGGCTGACTAACTGGCACAGGGTTTATTTTTGGGATGAGGGAAATGTTTTGGAATTAGACAGTAGCAATGCCTCTACAACGTAGTGAAATATTTAAAACTGCTGAAGTGTTACTTTAAAACGGTGAATTTTCTGTTGCATGAATTGTATCTTTATAAAAAGACCAAGAGCCTGACTTGTGAAAAATAAAACCCTACTTTGACTCAGTCTCAAACGGTTGTTTATTTTCTCTTTGATAAACGTTTTAAAATGTGGAAACTGGACATTTTCCGCACAGATCTGCCGTGATACTCTCTTTCCCCACTCACTGGAGCTGCTCGGTGGATTTCTGCTTCATGCAGTCAGAAAGTGAAGTCTGCTCAGGCACAGCAATTTTACCTTCACGGTGTGAATTCAGCAGAGGACGTTTCGCCTGAATTTATAGAGAGATTATGGCTGTCTTGCTTAAATTGTTATGGATACTAAGATTTTAACATTTTTCACTGTAAAGAATGAAATAAAAGGAGAATAGACACTTATTGAATTAATGGGGACTCAGCACCCCTGGCCTCTGTGATCTGCACCCCAGGCTGCCCTTTCCTGCATGTGCCCGAGGACGTGTGGGGTGGTCCGTGTAGCTGGGCCTGTCCAGGCAGAGCCATCAGAGTCAGCACAGCCCCGCTCAGGATGCCGGCAGCAACGCTCATTGAAGTCACTATGTGACTGGCAATGGACCCCGGAGCCTGCAGGTTTTAGTGGAGCCCACGGACAGAAGTCAGGATGTGAATCTCAACAGAGACAGCCTCCGGCCCCACAGGCTCAGGCACTAGAATTGCAAGAGCTGCCCATCCTCAGAGGGAAACACAGGCTCAGTGCTATGGGGCTCTAGGCAGGGGCTCACGGTGAAAACCTCCACCTGGGGCACTTCCTCTGCCATCTGGTGTTGCAGTGTTGCTGCTGCTGTTGCTTAAATTCTGCTCCTTCAAAGGCACCCAGGGAAGCTGGCTTAGACGCAGCACCCATCTCACTCGGCCTGTGAAGTCACCTTGCCTGAGAGAGAAGTCAGGAACGGCCCCAGGGTGAGTGTCCTCTGCCTCCCACCCCCACTTAGCAACATCCGAAAGCACCCCCTGCTTTCTGTCTGTCTCCTCCTTTATCAATGCCACCTCCTCCTGTCCAAGCCACTATCTTCTCTTCTTTTCTTTCTGGCAAAAATCTATGAAAAGTCTTAGTTTCTTCCTTCGTGAGCCTGTATGGTCACAGCTGCTGCAGAATCTGCAGACACTCACGCTGCCCCCTCACAAGTGAGTCCTCCTCCCCCATCCGAGCTCACTGCTGGGCCTCCTGATGTGCGTCTGACACCTGAGTCTCCCTGCTGGCTCCAAGAACTTCTGTGCAGCCCTCAAGTCCACCCCCTTCCCAACTCACAGCAACGTTTCTCAAAACCCCAGGGGTGCACCACTGTGCCGCGTGTGACATTTCGCTCCCTTAAACCTTTGCCCCATTGCTAACATGTTCTGCCTCTACGGCCCTGGGAATATTCGCCTTTCTCATGCACAGCCCCTCAGCACCCCTTACTCTTTTTCCTCAAGAACCCTCTAGGTCTTCATTCATGCTCCCGTGGCTCCTTCTAGCAGAGGGAGTGGTCTCTGAGGATGGCAAGGCATGCAGTGAATCTTACTGATCCAGGTTTGCTACAATGGCAGGAAGATCGATTTTCCTAAGATTGTGAATAGCATAGTTATCCTGCTGTGATCGATGGGAAAAATGGAGTTGCTGAAATGGATTTGTTCCTGGTTGCTCAGGAAGATGAAAGCAGAAGTCATGCTATGAGTCTAATGATGCTTTTGATCAAATGCTGAAACAGGAAAAGTTCACTTGTTCCCCTTGCAGGGCTTGTGATGGGGGAGTGGCTCGCTTCTTCGGTGCCCCACTACTCAAACCTCTGGCGGGGGTGCCATAGAGATGGGCCGGCTTTGGGGCTCTGACCCCTGGCAGCATCTAGGGGTGGATGTTTCCAGCTCCTGAAGCCCTAGTGGGAGTGTGTTCCAGGGCGCTCTGTTAGTTCTGCCGTCTGTGGGCGGCCTGTAGGCTTCAGTTCTGCCGTCTGTGGGCGGCTTCTAGGCTTCAGTTCTGCCGTCTGTGGGCGGCCTGTAGGCTTCAGTTCTGCCGTCTGTGGGCGGCCTGTAGGCTTCAGTTCTGCCGTCTGTGGGCAGCTTCTAGGCTTCAGTTCTGCCATCTGTGGGCGGCTTGTAGGTTTCAGTTCTGCCGTCTGTGGGCGGCCTGTAGGCTTCAGTACTGCCGTCTGTGGGCGGCCTGTAGGTTTCAGTTCTGCCGTCTGTGGGCGGCCTGTAGGTTTCAGTTCTGCCGTCTGTGGGCGGCTTCTAGGCTTCAGTTCTGCCGTCTGTGGGCGGCCTGTAGGCTTCAGTTCTGCCGTCTGTGGGCGGCTTGTAGGCTTCAGTTCTGCCGTCTGTGGGCGGCTTCTAGGCTTCAGTTCTGCCGTCTGTGGGCGGCCTGTAGGTTTCAGTTCTGCCGTCTGTGGGCGGCCTGTAGGCTTCAGTTCTGTCGTCTGTGGGCGGCCTGTAGGCTTCAGTTCTGCCGTCTGTGGGCGGCCTGTAGGCTTCAGTTCTGCCGTCTGTGGGCGGCTTCTAGGCTTCAGTTCTGCCGTCTGTGGGCGGCTTCTAGGCTTCAGTTCTGCCGTCTGTGGGCGGCTTCTAGGCTTCAGTTCTGCCGTCTGTGGGCGGCTTCTAGGCTTCAGTTCTGCCGTCTGTGGGCGGCTTGTAGGCTTCAGTTCTGCCGTCTGTGGGCGGCTTCTAGGCTTCAGTTCTGCCGTCTGTGGGCGGCCTGTAGGTTTCAGTTCTGCCGTCTGTGGGCGGCCTGTAGGTTTCAGTTCTGCCGTCTGTGGGCGGCTTCTAGGCTTCAGTTCTGCCGTCTGTGGGCGGCTTGTAGGCTTCAGTTCTGACGTCTGTGGGCGGCTTCTAGGCTTCAGTTCTGCCGTCTGTGGGCGGCCTGTAGGTTTCAGTTCTGCCATCCGTGGGCGGCCTGTAGGCTTCAGTTCTGCCGTCTGTGGGCGGCCTATAGGCTTCAGTTCTGCCGTCTGTGGGTGGCTTCTAGGCTTCAGTTCTGCCGTCTGTGGGCGGCTTGTTGGTTTCAGTTCTGTCGTCTGTGGGTGGCTTGTAGGCTTCAGTTCCGCCATCTGTGGGCGGCCTGTAGGTTTCAGTTCTGCCATCCGTGGGTGGCTTGTAGGCTTCAGTTCTGCTGTCTGTGGGTGGCCTATGTTAATCAGCTCAATTAGACCCTCTGCCTTATCGCAAGGACAGAAGGCTTTCTGTATCCCGGGGTTCTTGCCTTAGCATACCAGAAGAATCAGATCCCACGTGAGCTTGGAGGGTTGGCACAAGGTTTTATGGAGTGTTGGTAGCTCTCAGAAGATGGATGGAGAGCCAGAAGGGGCATGGAGTGGCAAGGTGGTTTTCTCCTGGAGTCTCGTCCAACCACCCCAGCCAAACTCCACATCATTCTGCCAGTCGATAGCCTGCCAGTGTCTGCTGGTGCCTGTCAGCATACTCTTCCGCTCCTCTGCTCTTCTCCACATCCGGCCACTTGTGTCTCTGCCCACTAGGGTCTTGGGGTTGTTATAGGCATAGGATGGGGGCGTGGTAGGCCAGGGTGGTACTGGAAAACGCAACATTTGGGTGCAAGAACAGGAGTGCCTGTCCTCACTTAGGTCCATGGGCACAGGCCTGGGGGTGCAGCCCTCGCCAGGGACCCGCCCTTCTCCTCCCAGCACTTCCCTGCCCCCCTCCTGTATCAGTGAAAAACCCAATGCATGATCAGAACTCAACTACTGATGTGCCTGAGAGCTACAGCCGGGCCACTCGGGGCAGGAGAGAAGGAAGGCATTGACAATAGGGACATCAATGGAAGAGAGAGAGAAAGTAAAACAGTCAATATGAACCCCCAGGGAGGGAAGCTGTTCCTTCCCATGAGAGAGTGACAGGAAGGACAGCCCACCAGCCCCCATGAGAAGGAACCCGACTGTCGGCTCAGCGGGAGGTCCTCATTCCACATCGGATGCCCTGGGGTTTGAGCCACCAGCAGATGTTGACTTCAGGGGAGCCTGGGCCTTGCCTTCGAGGCCTTTCCCGATTACCCACAAAGAGAGGGCAGTGATGCCCTCTGCTAAATCAAAGGAACGGTGGTGACTCCAACCTTTATAAAGCCATGACAGCTGAATAACATTAGTAAAAGTTACAACAACTATCTTCACTAAAACATTTTTCTAGATTTAGGGTTCATCACTTTCATATTGGGTCACAATTCAAGTATAATAGAGGATTACAAGCTTTGTGCCAAAATATGTCAGGGACTTCATAGCATAAATGTACCATTATTTTCATTTTTTGCACTGAAAATTTCTCAGATCAACATAGGTATTTTACGTGTAAACTTTGCTTCTACGTTAACATATAGATAAATACAATCATGGTGAGTTTGCATGAAGGAACGAGCATGTAGTTAAGTGACGAGAAGCACAGTCGAGAAGCACGGTCTGATAACACTTCCTTCAAAAAAGCCCGTGGATGTGTTAAAACATACAACGTCATGGGACTACATGATGCCACGGTGCCTGCCTATACTTTTCTTCTCTCTGAATGTACACTCAGCAAATGATTAATATCCCAGTCCATGTGGTAGCATTTGGATAAATAATGTGGCAAGAAAGGAATTTCTCCAGCACCCTGGCATTTCTCCTCTTCCCACTTACCTAACGGGAGCTTCAGAAATGCCGGCGCTTCCCTGAGATACTCAACGGTGATGGTAACTTCATCGCCAGCATTTCTCAGCAGATGCACCTGTCAATATGACAAAAATAGCTACTTTTACCACCACAAAAGAACCAGACACAGAATTAAAAAATAAAATCTCTCTACCTCTCCTGTTTCCCAAGAATTCAAAGTTCATAGTTACCTCTGAAACACGGAAAACTTTGTGGGCTTCAGCTGGAGTAAAGAAGAGTGGTTATCACCTCCGAGACCACCTACCCCCCACACTCTATCTGCGTAAACAAGTGCATGAGTGAGCAGGGGTCTGCCCGTATCATCCACAACACATCACAGGGATGCTCTCTGCATCCCTATGAATGCAATCTACCAGAAAATAATACCCTCGGAGAAATCAGTTTGTTACTACAAACAGCCTGTGTTCAGTCACTGGCAAAACATGGATTAACTGTGGCAAAACAAACCACAAATACTAATTTAAATATTTAAATGATGCTTTAGTTCTCAGGAAATTAGTGGCTATCACTTCAAAAGGATGGAACTTAGCTCTGTGCTGGAGTTTCAAATTATACAAACTGTTTCAGTCACCTCACATACAATCCCCTACGTTTCAACACAGCATCTAAAATCAGCTTTTTGTGCACAATGTATTTGCCATTGTTTAAATCTGATTGAGACACTAAAAGTCTAGATGCTGCAAAGCTGTGTGTGTCAGAATTCACTGCACCTGCATCTGTGTCTTCCCATAATGCATAACCCTCCTCTGCTGTATCCTCCTCCTCCGAGGCCAGGTATAGCCCACCCGCCCTCTCCTCTACACAGAGCCTGCCAACAGTTTGGGCAAGTTCCTACCTCACTTCATCCTCCTAGGCCAGGTATATCCCCATCTCACCCTCCCCTCTACATGGAGACTGTCCAAAATTTGAGCAGGTTCCTGCCTTACTTCATCCTCCTAGGGCAGGTGTATCCCACCTCGCCCTCTCCTCTACACAGAGACTGCCCACAGTTTGGGCAGGTTCCTATCTCACTTCATCCTCCTAGGCCAGGCATATCCCACCTCGCCCTCTCCTCTACACAGAGACTGCCCACAGTTTGGGCAGGTTCCTACCTCACTTCATCCTCCTAGGCCAGGCATATCCCACCCCGCCCTCTCGTCTACACAGAGACTGCCCACAGTTTGGGCAGGTTCCTACCTCACTTCATACTCCTAGGCCAGGCATATCCCACCTCGCCCTCTCCTCTACACAGAGACTGCCCACAGTTTGGGCAGGTTCCTACCTCACTTCATCCTCCTAGGCCAGGCATATCCCACCCCGCCCTCTCGTCTACACAGAGACTGCCCACAGTTTGGGCAGGTTCCTACCTCACTTCATCCTCCTAGGCCAGGCATATCCCACCTCGCACTCTCCTCTACACAGAGACTGCCCACAATTTCGGCAGGTTCCTACCTCACTTCATCCTCCCAGGCCAGGCGTAGCCCACCTTGCTCTCTCCTCTACATAAAGCCTACCCACAGTTTGGGTAGGTTCCTGCCCCACTTCATCGCTCCCTCTGATCTTTCCTCCTCATTTCTTCAGTCACTTTCCATGCCCGTCATTGCCTACCTGGAGGATTACAGTTCTGCACAGCTCCCTAAGACACCTGATGTAGCTTGAATGGGTTTTGAAGACTGGATTTAGAAAGTTTGAAAGTTCCCATGGCCTGAGATCCAACATAAATGCCTTCCTATTTCACCTGAGGACATTTCTATCTGGCATGGCTGGTCCACCTCCACCACTGGTGCTCCCTCCTGGCCCTCTGAGCCACCCCACCCCGGCCATGCCTGTGGACAACCTTAAATATGTCGGTGCTTCACATAGATCTTGACCTCATAGGACAGCCTCATCCCTTTTACCTCATGAAATCCCACTAAAAACTCCAGACTGGAAACACATCTGCAGAAATGCTCCCGTAATGCCACTGAGCATTTTCAACATCCTTTCTTCTCCCTCTCCTCCTCATCCACTTCCATGTGGCTGGTGACCCTGTGCTGATGGCCTCCAGGTCGCAGGTGCTGTTGGGAGGCTTCACACGCCCACTTCCTGTTGGAAGGCCTCACATGCCACTTCCTGTTGGGAGGCCTCACATGCCCACTTCCTGTTGGGAGGCCTCACACACCCACCTCCTGTTGGGAGGCTTCACGTGCCTACTTCCTGTTGGGAGGCTTCACAGGCCCGCTTCCTACTGGGATGCTTCACACACTCACTTCCTGTTGGGAAGACTTCACACACCCACTTCCTGTTGGGAGGCTTCCCATGCCCACTTCCTATTGGGAGGCCTCACACACCCACCTCCTGTTGGGAGGCTTCACGTGCCTACTTCCTGTTGGGAGGCTTCACAGGCCCGCTTCCTGTTGGTATGCTTCACACACTCACTTCCTGTTGGGAGGCTTCCCACGTCCACTTCCTGTTGGGAAGGCTCCACACGCCCACTTCCTGTTGGGATGCTTCCCACACTCACTTCCTGTTGGGATCCCTCAAAAGCCCACTTCCAGTTGGGAGGCTTCACATGCCCACTTCCTGTGATCCTGCAGCACTGCCTTCCTGTCATGCTCCACAGGCTGGGCCCCCATAGGGCTGAGTCAGGCCTCTTCTGCCGGCTGTCTCCAAGGCGTCTTTCCTCCCCTGCTGTTCAGTACAAGTGCACCCTTGTGAGACGCCTGTCTCTGACATCCACATCCTGTCTTCATACAGGCTGCTGCAGTACAAAGTGACTGTGAAATAGAAGCCCTCCTCTGACCAACTCCCAGAAAGTGTCAAAGCTTAACCACTAGCAGATTTGTCTGATTCTATCCTCCCCCCGCACAAGATCCTGGAGAAAACTACCAAAGCTGAATTTTCTTCTCCTCTTTGGTGAAAAGAAGTAGAACCGAGGCTCTCCTTTGATAAACGAGGTTCATGACGGCGACGACACCCTTCCTTTCTACATGGAAGGGCTGGACTCTCACAAGGCCCTGCAAGCCCTCGTCCCTGGAGGTGCAGAGTGTGCGGTGTGGGAGGGGAGATCACACAGACCTCCGCTGTCCACTGTCCAGCCACCTCCCAGCAAGTGACAGCCACTGTAATACCCTAGTTGTCCCGGGAGCTCAGTGCAGTGTAATTTTAAAAGGCAAAACATCACCAGGACAAGAGCAGTTTGAGATTCATGAAGCTCACCGTGCCCCATCCTTAAACAGGCTGCCCTCCTCCCAAAGGACCAGGCCACACACAGCTTCCGTATGTGAGTCTGTCGCCCAGCCAGTGTGCCTGAAGTCCTTGTTGGAAATCATTGAGGTGTGTGTGGACACCTCCCTGCCCACCTCCATACCCGAGGTAAGTGAGTCTATTCAGTGACTTTCCCCAGTTTTTCTGGAGAATGACTGTGGATTGAAGCAGGAAAATCTGCCATCCCTTGCTTACAGGAATCTGCACTTATTACAATGGACAATTTTGTCAGAAGTAACAGAACCAATCAATAGAGAGAGGCAGAGTAGCCTGAAAACAAGCACTTTTTTTTTTTTTTTTTTTTTTGAGACGGAGTCTCACTGTCGCCCAGGCTGGAGTGCAGTGGCGCCATCTGGGCCCACTGCAAGCTCCGCCTCCCGGGTTCACACAATTCTCCTGCCTCAGCCTCCCAAGTAGCTGGGACTACAGGCGCCCGCCATCTCGCCTGGCTAATTTTTTGTATTTTTAGTAGAGACGGGGTTTCACCGTGTTAGCCAGGATGGTCTCGATCTCCTGACCTCGTGATCCGCCCGCCTCGGCCTCCCAAACTGCTGGGATTACAGGCGTGAGCCACCGCACCCGGCCAAACGAGCACTTTTAATTAAAGATTGGATTTAGCTTCAATTTATTATTATTTTTTAATCCCAAATGTTTACCTTGCCTTGATTTTTTGGGGACTTTAAAATACCCGAACAAGACAAAGGCATTCAATTTGTTATCAGTCTTATTTTTTATTTAGTTTGAAGCATATATGTGGTGTATGAACAAAATAATTGAATGTTGACCATTGATGCTACTGAATTCAACCAATGCCTTCAAAGATTTCTCCCTCCTGGAATCATGGCCCTAAGCCTGACGGCACTGGGAGAGACCCTGGCCCACACCTGCCTAGGGGGCAGCCTCCTTCAGCCCACAGCAGCAGTCACTGCTTTTTGCAGCAAATTAACACCAGTAGCCATGGCCTGGAGGCTTTCCCCTTTTCTGTCTCTCTCTCTATCTCTCTCTCTCTCAACACAGCATCTAAAAGCAGCTTTTTTGTGCACAATGTATTTGCCATTGTTTAAATTTGATTGAGACACTAAAAGTCTAGATGCGCTCTCTTTTTTTTTGACTGTCATCCAGGCTGGAAGGCAGTGGTGCAATCATAGCTCACTGCAGACTTGGCCTTCTGGACTCAAGTGATCCTCCCGCCTTGGCCCCGTAGTGCTGGGATTACAAGCGTGAGCCACCATGCCTGGCCTCTCCCCATTTCCACCTGCAGCTCCCATTACAGTGCACACCTGCTCTGCGCCGACAAAGTCAAGGTAGGAGGATGCGTTCCAACCTCCAATTCACCAGCATGTCAAACTCTGACAGGTAAGCCAAGTCCATTTCTTCCTTAGAAAGGAGTCAACTATGAAATGAAATCTCCCAACACCTGTAAAATGACTCTGAAGCCATTGGATTCACTGCGGTGTTTGAGTCAGCTTAGCCATGCCTGGGTGGCTTCTCAGCAGCAGAGGTTCCTTCCTCGGAATTCCAGAGGCTGGGAGTCTGTGATCAGGTGCGAGCAAGGTGCCAGATCCTTCCTGGTGAGGGCCTGGCCTTCTGGCTGTGTCCTTGCGTGGTGGAGAGAGGAAGTGCGCTCCAGAGGGCTTCTTCTTGCAGGCACTGATCCCATCACCAGGATGCCATCTTCATCACCTCCTCTCACCCTAGTCACTTCCAGAGGCCCCGTCTCTGTCTCCTGACGCCCTCATTTAGGGGTTAGGGCTTCGACATGTGAATCTGGGGGGACACAAAGTCCAGTCCGAAATGGGCTGGTGAGTAGCCCAGGACACGAAGTTGGTGACATCAGTGCAGTTTCTCCGTGGAGTCGCAAACTCGACCTGTTGACGGAGGCTTCCAGGGGAGCAGAGAAGAGCACAACACATGATTCTACACACAGCAGCCTCGGGTCAACGCAGCTCCAGTTTTAATTAAAAATATAACACATTTGATAGTTTAGATATGAAATAATACAACATATGCAATCAAAGAGTCTGATTTTTATACCTACGAGATCCCTAGTTTGACACCTCAGAGACAACTGACGCTGGGATATTGTGTGTGTTCTTCTGGAAATTCTATGCCTTTGTAAGAACGTTTTCTCGTCTGAGGGCAGTTTGGTCATATTGATCAGATATACAATGTATGTGCATTTTAATCCAGCAGCCACACGTGTAGATGTGTGAGTATGTGGGAATAAAGAGGTCAGTACAAGAATTTTCATACACCATGTACACCATGTATCCCATTTATTTGCCCCATTTTCACTTGAAACAGGCCCTGAACTCTGTTAGACATGATACTTTCTTTATCTAACACATCTGACAGCTTATCCCATATTATTCATGTATTTCTAGTCTTTCTCACGGACGCAGTGTTCCGTTTTACAAATGTTCTGTAACTACTTCAATGAATCCTCAATCCTCAAATTCCTGTTGAGTAGTTTCTTAGTCCCTCCCCTTTCATCCCTAATCATATTTGCATTTTAATTAATATTTCTTCATCAGTCTTTTCAGAGGCCTCTGCATCTTGCGTTATTACAAGCCCACCTTGGGAGACGGAGTTTTAGTATTATTTTCTCTGACTTGTCCTCTATGTTTTCTCTTCTACAAATTCGCATCTTCATTTTTATTATTTCTTTCTTTTTTTGCTCCTGCGGGCTTCTCTGTTGCTCTTGCTTCAGATTCTTAGGTGACAACATGGCTCTTTTTCCTTTGCTTTCTTGTTTTCTAATAAACATATCTACAAATTACCAGTCTTCCCTTAAGCCCTACTTGTATTCGACGAATTTTGATACAAAGTTCTTCAATATTTTTCACGTTACTATTGTGTATTTTTTCCTTTATATTGTCTTTTTACACCAGTATAGCTATTTTTACAGTTTCCAGAAGTGTGGATATTTTTAAAAGCATTTGTCATTTTGTTTACTAGATATCATCTGTGTTGCGTTTCTTCTTGGGTTCCTTGTGGCCTAAATAATTGTTAATGCCCCACGTGTTCTGGAAAAAAAATGTGAGTTTATGTTGAATAAAGACCCATGAGAACAAACACAGTCACACATATACACCCCCCACATACACACACATGCACACACACCTGCATACACACACACACACTCACACACACCCTCCCACATAAACACTCATGCACTCATACATTCAGACGTAATTCCACATACGCACTCATGCACTCACACACCCCCCCCACATATGCACACCCATGCATACACACACACGAACACACAGGTACACGCATGCACATACACACGGACACACGTGCACACACAGGTACACCCGTGGACACATACATGCACACACATGCACACATATGGACACACACACGGACATCCACAAGCTGACTTCCTCTCCTCTACGATCTGCCATACGCCCCACTTTAGTAACACATTCCAAGACCTTGCATTAGACCTTGCTGTTGTCAACATCTGCAAGGGTTCTGTACTTTAAATCAAGCACCCAACTACCATTCCTGTCTTCCGGTGTGCTCCGTAAAGCCTTCCTGCACACACGACACTGCAGCCCTATGGAGACTTACCACGATTGGCAACGACAGCGCTCTCTCTTGTTCTCACCATGCCGCAGCCTTACATTCCCCTTTATTCAGGCTAAATTCCAAGATCCATCACTGTAACCCTTCCCTGCACACACCTTTAATTCTCTCACACCCCTGGCCGTGCTGTGCCTAACTGCCCCAAATCCCAACCATGGTGAAATGCACCTCCCCAGAAGATACACTTTGGCGTGCTTACACATAGGTCACTTGAAACATGATTTGGAAATGTGCACTGATGTGTTATTCAATTGTCATGAATATTCTTCTTTCTTTCTCACTTCTTCTCTTTTACAGAAGCTAAGCCCAGGAGCCAGGCACCTGATGCCACGCTAAACACACAGGAGTCTCCTCTGCATCTCCTCCCCCACCAGAAATGGGGAGTCCCTGTGGACAGTCACATCCCACTAATTCATCCTCTTTCCTTGAACCACTTCTCATAGTGTACTCAGATGTAGATAAATTTTAAAAAATAATAATTTTCTACTTTTCTATGTAAATTTTTAAATGCTTCCTTCACATGAACTTGAGTGAGTAAAGGGAAGGTTTAATTTATGAATAACTCCCCTAAATTAGTTTTAAAACCAGGATACTTTTATTATATTTTATTAGAAATGATTCAAGTATCCTTACATACTGCCATAGTCAGCAGCACATCATTTAAGACAAAAAACAGTTTATGCAACTGGGCCCTTTGAGCATGATGCTGAATCTACTAATCACCATGAGCCCCCACCTGAGTGTGTGCTGCTAGGCATGTCTACAGGATGCCCCGTACCAAACCTGCCGGCCGGCCAAGGTAACTTTGAAATGCTAACTTTTGTGCCTAGAGCAATGAGACTTTTAAAGAAAACTGCCTAAGGCAAACTCCTTCTCCCTTATTAAGTGATGCATAAAATATCCATCTATAGCTTTAGAATCCTTCCAAAACCTCCCAGAGCATTGCGGTGCTGGGCTCATATCACCCGCGGGGCAGGCTGAGCACATTCCTACAGCACATCTCTAGTCTGTGCACACCAGAAGCTGAGTTATTTCCAGAGTCTGAAAAAATTCTGTGACCTCAACAGAGAAAAACTCCACTGTAGTTCTCTATAGAAAATGACTTAACTCATTTCTGCTTAAATACACTATGTTAATAAAGAAACAGACCTTAGCCTATGAAACTCTTCATTCTTAATGAGCTTGCATTCTAGTTGCCAGTATCCTTTCAACATTGAAACCCAGTCTCTGTTATACATAAGGAACCTACTTATGGATGTGAGGGACGTGCACAGCCCTGGACTTTTTCTAAGTGTGAAGGCCTCTTCGTGGACACCGTCCCTCCTGTCTGGCATCCTTGTGCACGTGTGAGTGTCTGGGGGGCTTTTGCCAAGTACGCACAAGCCACAGTACTGGTTGCACTCCAGCGCACGAGCCGCGGTGCCGGGGTGCATTCAGCGCACAAGCCGCAGTGCCGGGGTGCACTTCAGCTGCACCTCTGGGTTCTGCAGGGGTCAGGGGTAGAGCCAGGGCAGGACTCGATGATTCCTGCCAAACTTACCAAGTCTCTAGTGACACATCCAGTGGATCAGCACTGGTGGCCACTCTGCAGGGTGCTGGCAGTGATGGGATGGAGGGGAAAGGAAGGTGAGGTGAGGAAGGGGCCGAGTCAGGAAGAAGCCGAGTTTTGACTATTTCTGCTAAACAGTAATGTACGGGATTGAAGTGCACATGGGGTATGCTGAGTGAATCCATGCAGGGACCTGCAGCTTCCTGGAGCAAATGACTTTTCCTGTCTGCATTCCCTGGGGATTCATATTTCTATGGATAACCAGGGAAGGAGTTTAAGATGCCCAGATTGGCCTCCAAGGGTCTCACTGTCCACCTTCCTCAGCCACACATCCAATCACCGTGGAAACCTCTGTTTCACCAAGAGTTGCCGCCCTGCGCTGGAATCTTTATTCTGAGCATCTTGGGTCCTCTTTCACCGCAGGCCCGTTCATTTCCTACCCCCACGCAGGCAGGGCTCAGCCACCCACGTCTCAAATGACAGCCCGAGCATCACCTTACTGTCTCCAGCCGGGACCTCACTGCCTCCTCCTCAAACCGAACCCCTGGTCCCTCGTCCTTCTGCCCTCACCTGTCATGGTCACTGGTTCAGAAACAAGGGACTTAACTCCAGGTCTCTTCCCGCTCTGTGGCTGCACCCTGGCTGCACTCTGTGGCTGGAGAAAAACGTTAAGTGCTGGCTGGTTAATCTCTAAATTCATGACGGTTCATCCTCTGGGGACTCTAGCGCAGGGCAGGACACGCCTCAACCTGTTTTCCCTCCCTATCCCAAGATGGGTGTTTCCTTCCTTCTCTTCACTGAAGCCTCCACCTGTTCAGCTGCTGATCACAGCTCTCAGTTCACTGTGCAAATAAAAGTGAACATCTGTGTACTCCTGATCTGCCGACTTGCCGTGTCTGAGGCCTGTTCTGTCTCCCCATCCCCCCCAACAAAAGAGCTGCCCTCGATCTATCTAAGGCCACAGGAATCCCTCCCTTTGAGCCTCTGCCCCATGCATTCGCCTCGTCCTACATCACAATGTTTCCTTTATGTGGCTTCCTTCCCTTCAGAGTAGTCCTTGCCAGGGAACCCTTCTACCATGAAACCCTTCCTTAGTGCAACATCCACGGGCGGCCCTGTGCCATTTCTCTGTTCCCTTCCACAGCAAAATGCTTTTAAGAACTTGTTTGTGCTCCATCTACCCCTTGGTCTCTTGCTGTTGTCTCCTCGGCGGGGTTCCTTTGTCTGCGGTGTCCTGGCCTGGCCTGGCCTGGCCTTCTGGGTGTCCCCTCTGTCTGCTGGCCCTGCTCTGCTTCCTGAGCTCTGAACGCTGGGGTCCATGGGGAGCAGCGCTTGCATTCCTTGATTGCACACTCTGTGTGGCCATCACCCCTACACACTCACTTCCAGTCCAGGGCTCCTAAGTCCACACGTGCCTGCACCCCTCCCACGTTAGATCTTCAGCCTGTGCCGCCCACCTCAAAAGCTGGCACCTCCACGAAGCTCTTTCCTCAGCCCCAAGCTTGGGGGTGATTGGGAAGCCTTCTCAGAGCCCCGCTTTGCCCAGCAGCAGGTCCCCCAAGCAATGGGAGAGGCACTTGCAGGTGGCCGTCTCTCTCACTGGCACCCACCACCACGGCCAGGGCTGACGTCCAGATTGTTGCACACATGGCCCCAGGGGCTCTGAGCTCAGCCCTGAAATTTGGACTTGCACTGAAATTGCTGCCTCTCCTTTCTGTATTAACCTTCTGAAATTACTGGCTGTAGTATTTCTCTGGTAGACGGAATATGCTTGTGTCTGGTGTGTGTGTACATATGTGGTGTGTGTACACGTGTGTGTGATGTGGGGCATGTATATGTGGTGTATGTGTACACGTGTCTGTGATGAGGGACATGTGTGTGTGGTGTGTGTGGTGTGCATATGTGTATATGCATGTGGTGTGAATGTGTGTGTACATGTGGGTATGTGTATGTTATGTGGGGTGTGGGTATGTGTGTGTGGTGTGTGTATGTCCATATATATTTGCATGGTGTTTATGTGTGTGGTGTGGGTGTGTGTGGTCTATATATGTGTGTGGGGGGGGGGTCTACGTGTGTGTGTGTATGGAGTGTGTCTGTGTGTTTGTGTTGTATGTATATGTGGGTGTTATGTGTGTATGTTTAATGTATGGTGTGTGTGCTGTGTGTGTGGTTTGTGTTTATGTGTGTGGTGTGTATGTGTGGTATGTGTGGTGTATGACTATGTGTTGTTTGTGTGTGTGTATATGTGTGGTGTATGTGGTATATGTCTTTGTGTGTGGTGTGAGTTTATGTGTGTGGTGTGTATGTTTTTGTGTTGTGTGTGTGTATGTGGTATGTGTCTTTGTGTGTGTGGTGTGTTTGTGTGGTGTGTGCATGTCTATGTGTTGTTTGTGTGTGTGTATATGTGTGGTGTATGTGATATGTGTGGGATGTATGTGTTGGAGGTAGAAGGAAGGTGGGCTCTGAGTTTCTCAGCCAGTAGGAGAGTCCATTTTCCTTAAATAGGGGGAATTAATCTCATTTACACTTACTGCTACGGTATTTTAATTTATGGAGTTTACTGATCCATTAGACATGCGGTGGTATTTGATGAGAATTTCAGTAAACTTCCAGAATAATTCAATGACAAGTTGTCACTGTCACGCTGCTGCAGGTGCTCCATCCCTCACTTTTTCTCTTCTTGTGCCCTTTTGCTGTTCATTTTATCCGGCCTACATTGTGTCTGTCACACTTGCTCCTTCACCCAACTTCTCATCAGCGTTTTTCAACATATATGTAGAACTTTCTATTTTATAAATTGTTAACTTTTAAGTTTTCATTCATAATCTCAATCTTATTCAACATCTTCCGACAGAAAGCTGTGTGCTTTGGCGTCCCATCCCGCTCGCCTTAAAACTGGAAGGACAGGCAGCACAACTGGACCCTCCGGGAAGATGCCATCTCCACGCCCGTGCCAGCGCCTCAGCTGCATGTGATGGCAGCTGCAGCCAGTGCCTCTGGTGGTCCCTAATGTCAGCCTCCATGGGGCTGGGCCCTTCTCCCCCCAACCATGCTCCTCCCGCCTCTCCCCGCCCGCGCCCTTTCCCTGTGCTCCCATCAAGCTTCCTGTTGGCTCCCTGCCCTCTTCCTCATTGGCTCAAGACACTTTGCATCTGCTAAGGTTTTCTGAAACTTTTAAGATTTCCTGTTTTTTGCTTATATAAGTAACATTCTGTTTTGCAAGAGATTTCTATTCGACTTTTGTATTTCATAGCTGGTTCCTGGAAGTCCTCTTGGTTGGATCTTAAATACACATCTCCACCCAGAAGCCACATCTGCACTCTGGCACAGCTAAGTCCCTATTTTAGCAGTTGCCAACCTCAGGCCAGCTCTCGTGGGCATTGTGCCCAAGCTGATGCACTTTGATTTTTGTTCGAAGTTAGGAAAATGTATTCAGTCTTCCATCACCCGCATTGAGAAACAGCTAACATTTTCAGCATCAATAGTGTTTTTTTCCTTAAATAACCTGCATTTTACTGCTCCGTGCAATTAGTTATTATCCACTTGTCTTTGGAGAGATTATGTGTAAAACACGAACAAGTTATTGCCAGGGAATAATTAAATTCACAGAATTTAAGTCACTCTATGCACTTAGACAAGTGCATTTAAGCTTTTCCGTGAGGCTTTCCCTTTGTGGAATCACCATCCCTGGGCATGAGATGACTGTGTACGCACTTTTTAGACATTTTACTGACATTCCTAATCATATAATATTTTCTTTATAATTCAGAGGCAGATCCTTTTGATGTGTCATTCGAACAACGATAATGCAATCTTCTAAAATGTGGATCTTTTCCTTCACATATTTTAAAATAAACATCATGTAACAAGGGTTAATGGGTGCAGCATACCAGCATGGCACACATATACATATGTAACTAACCTGCACGTTGTGCACATGTACCCTAAAACTTTAAAGTATAATAAAAAAATGGATAATAAAAAAAAGATGTCACGGTTTCTTACTGGCTATAAATGTTAGTTTCCTGTGGTCAACTTGGCTGGGCAGTGCCCAGTTATTCAACCAAACACCAGTCTAGGTGTTGTTGTGAAGGCATTTTTTTTTTTTTTGAGATGGAGTTCAGCTGTTGTTGCCCAGGCTGGAGTGCAATGGTGCGATCTCGACTCACTGCAACCTCCGCCTCCTGGGTTCAAGCAATTCTCCCACCTCAGCCTCCTGAGTAGCTAGAATCACAGGCGCCCGCCACCACACCCAGCTAATTTTTGTATTTTTACTAGAGACAGGGTTTTGCCATGTTGGCCAGGCTGGTCTCGAACTCCTGACCTCAGGAGATCCGCCCACCTTGGCCTCCCAAAGTGCTGGGATTACAGGCATGAGCCACCATGCCTGGCCTTGTGAAGGCATTTTATAGATGTGGTCAACATCTATGATCAGTTAACTTTAAGTAAATGAAATTACCCTCAATAATGTAAGTTGGGTCCTTAAGATCAAAACGTGAGATTTCTCTGAGGAAAAAGAAAATCTACCTGCCGGATAAAGGCTCAGATCCTCTCAGGAGTTTGCAGACTGAGGTCCTGAACTACAAATGTTACACACAAACACACACAGATGCATACATGTGCACACATACACACATGCACATGTGCACACACACACATGCACATGTGCACACCTAGAAACATACGTGTGTGCACACATGAATACACATGCACACACATGTACACACACACCGAATATACGCATCCATGCACATGCAGACATAAGCACATACTGCACATGCCCCTGGATGTGCACACATATATGCAGTACACACAGGTACACATGTATATGCACACCAGCATGCACACGGCCTCACACGTACATGCATGTGCACAAACATGTATACACATGTGTACCCAATATCTTTCCTACTCGCTCTGTTTCTTTGGTGGAGCCCTAACCAATCCTATATCAGCTATCATCAAATAATACCTGAAATAAGAGTGGTAGATTGTCCATAATTTGAACTGAAGACTAATTGCTCTACCCTACATCTTCACACAATTCGAGAGTGGACACCATGATTGACTGATTGCCTGGCCTGTAACCATCTAATTAGGAGTCAGCACATTGATGATCTCTTTATAATCCAGATAAATAATGCCAGAACTACACATGATGTGTAAAACAAAACAAAACAAAATTCTATTATGTGGTTAGCAAATGAAGGACCATAAATGCTTACGTATTTAATATTTGAATTGTTCTCTAGATATCTTTGAGAATTTGGTAAATTGAGTATATTATAGTAGAAATGACTTAGAATTGAGCAAATCTGTTTTCAATTCTTAGTTCTGATGCTTAGTGCTCTTGAAAACCCAATTTATGCCACTTACACACGAGTGCTAGTCACCCATTTTCTCCAGTCGCTATGAGGATTAGGTAAAATCATGTGAGCAGGTGCCCTGCAGAGTGTGAGCAGCTGTGCTCATCTGCATCGTCACCAGGTTCATGAAAGTAACAAAGTGATGAGAAGCACGGCACGCACGGGCAAAGGGCGCGCAGCAAATCCAGGACGCAAAGGCTTTCGGAGCAGCCTAAAGAATAATATAAGTCATAAAAATCTAAATATGAACAGGAAAGCATTGAAGGTTCCTAGAGTGGAAGAAACATGCAGAGGTCACAAGCAAGGGGCGCACGTGGGCATCGCGCTTCAATCTAGGGGGAAAGCTGCAGTTTGGTGTCTGGTGTTCCTGCAGAAAGAGCGAGGCTGGGTTTGGAAACAGGCAGAAGGGTCTCAACATTTATCAGAAGGTAGCACCGGGAAAACAAAACATTAGGAAATGTTTGAGCCAAACAAGCAACAAACAACAAAGCACCACCAACAAACCAACAACAAACGACAAAGCCCTCTGCTGTGCACAGGAGTGGGACACCCCCCGGAGGCAGCCCGCCGGCACCAGGGTCCTGAGCACACCTTGACTCCAGAGCTGGCACAGATGGGACCGCAGCCTGATTTCAGCCTGCACATGCCTTACATTTGGGCTGAAGACAGAGCTCATTTCCACAATATGAGAACAATTGAAGGAACAGTAACTGTGCAGTTAAGGCTTGTTTCTTCCAAAATCATGCACTTTCACTGATACTTTCCACTGTTCGTCATACCATATATTCTATACTTTTCCAACTCAGTGGTAATTAGAGGTTTTGACAAAACCACTCCCAAATTTGACAAATCAAATGCATCACCCAGAGAGTGTCAGTCACTGAGCCCAAACCACAACCCACCAGGGACAGCACAGGTGAGAATGAGGCTCTGTGGGGTTGGAGCTCGGTTCAGCAGCCGCATGGCTGCTCTGGGCACACGGAGGGAGCCCAGCTCCAGGCAAGTCCCCGGGACAGAGCCGACCCCAGCTGCCTCCACACAGGGCTATTCATGAGAGGTCTGGTCTTCCCTTGACAACTTCTGTTCCACAACTAGAAAAGGCTGAAGTCTCTCAGGCATAGATACTGACCCTCTAAATTCTGACCTTTATACTCTAACACGACATTTGCTGCTGAGTGGGTCGTACTTCCATCTCTCTGTGTCCTTAAGTAAACTTCACAGGATGCCCCTTTACTTTTGTCAACTGAATTCCATAAGCATGTTTTGCTCTCTCACAACAGAAAAACATCTCCTCCCCATTCATCTTGGCCTGACCCCATCCTGCTCTGTCCTCCTGGCCATACATCAGGAGGCGCACACCAAGCCCCCAGGGAAGACCCTCTGGGCTGCACGTCACCCACCAATTAGAGCCAATGAAATGTCTCATGCAGATGTGTGCCCAGGCCTGCCCACTGGTGCTGTGGCAGGGAAAGCCAGCTTTATGGGCTGCAAACAGCTAAATTTACTTTTATACATTTCACTCACTCATGAGTGACAGACAGCCTTTTCGATCCCCAATAGATACAAAGTAAGATGCTTGTTAGCACTGCCCACAGATCTCTAGGAGGCAAGTGGAGATGACAGCTGTGTTTGCTTGTTAGAACACTAGAACTATGAGAATGGGGTTCCACACAGACCTCCACCAGGGATTCCCTTTCCCAAGATCCCTGCATTTTAAAACAGCCTCTCAAAATAGTTCCCTAAACCTTCAAATGCTTGCTGTTAAATTAAGTCACCATTCGCTCAGAGATCTGTGATTGTGAAATATTTAAAGAACATTATTTCATCTGTGAGTGCAATTTTAATAACGGAGGAGTGCCAAATGAAAAGCTAATCAACTTCAGCTGGGCGCGGTGGCTCAGGCCTGTAATTCCAGCACTTTGGGAGGCCGAGGCGGGTGGATCACAAGGTCAGGAGATTGAGACCATCCTGGCTAACATGGTGAAACCCCGTCTCTACTAAAAATACAAAAAAATTAGCCAGGCGCGGTGGCGGGAGCCTGTAGTCCCAGCTACTCGGGAGCCTGAGGCAGGAGCATGGCGTGAACCCGGGAGGCGGAGCTTGCAGTGAGCCAAGATTGCACCACTGCACTCCAGCCTGGGCAACAGAGCCAGATTCCATTTGAAAAAAAAAAAAAAAAAAAAAAAAAAAAAAAAACGCTAATCAACTTCATCAATCTGTTGAGGGTGGGTAGGAATAATGTTACCACCTGAACCTAGAAAAGACATGGTGGATAGATTTTTCCAAACCACTGCTGCTCATAGATTCTTGCAGGGAAAAGCACATTAGGACTTGAGTTTACAGATTAACCCACAGAGGTCTTGGTAATTTTGTAATATGCTCATGGACGAAAATAAGCGGCAAAACCCTGAGTAGAGTTTTAATCTTCCGATGCTGTTGCTTCCTTTCTCCTGTGTGTATTCACAACTGTCCTTTTTTCTAATCCTATTCACAATCCTTGGCCACTTTCAGTATCTCTTCCTTTGTACAATGAAAAGACAAACTTAGCTCAGCTATGGGGCAATTCCCAGAGCTGCAACCTCCACACAATCTCATTGACAAACTCTCACCCTCCCCACCTGTAAGCCTCACTGCTCCCCGTGTGTGTGTGTCTCTCTCTCACACACACACACACACGTCCGACAAGAAGAACATGTATGTTTTAATTTCAATCTAACTGCCAACTTGCCCAGCGACCCCTGGTGTATGAACCATGGAATCCAGAATTTACTTTGCTTTCCAAACTCATGTCCACAAGACTCGTTTTAAATACCTTCCAGGGAATAATTTTGTAACCCTGGGGTACACTCCATGGTACCTGACAACAGTCACTGTTTGTTATTTTTAGGGAAAGGGGCGATGCACAGAAGCATCAAGCAGCTGTGAAACCTCGAGACTCCTGTCCCTTTCATCTGCAGAGGGTGTACCTGCCAGGCTGTGACACCAGGGCAGGAGGCACCTGCAGAGGGTGGGCCCAGCAGGAAGGCGCCTCCTCCCTTCCCTCCACCTTCACCTTCTCTCCTCACTTCCTTGTTTCCATTCCTTCACTCTTGAAAGCCCCTCTATGTGGGTCCGGCTTGGAAGAACATCCAAAGGGCCTCAAGAGAGCAACCCCTCCACATGTTCACTCTCATTTCATGCTGGCTTCATCATCTGGGTGATCACACAAGGAGCGGGGGGAACCCTTTCCAAACCACAGGTGCATCCCGCCCCGGGAGCTCAGGCTTAGTGTCAGGTAACACAGTAACACACAGGTCAGTAGTGAGGGCAATAGCAAGCTGGCATCTTCAGCATGAAGAGCTCACAGGCAGGTCCTTAGCTGACTCCTGCTCAGCCTGGTGCTGGGCCTAACACAAAACACACACAGCAGCAGCACAGCAGCCCCGCAGCCTCCCCAGCTCTGGGTTCCCACTTCTGTGAAGCATGCACCTGGGCTGCCCTGGGAACACGAGGTGATGTCGCCTTCATGTCCCTGGCAAACATGAAAAGCTGCCAGGCCCTCTCTTCTCCATGTGAGAAATAAGGAGTGGGCCAGGCCCTCTCTTCTCCATGTGGGAAATAAGGAGTGGGACCAACCAGGAAATCACTAAGGCCATTCCGTATTTCACAGTTTTCCAACACTTTCATTTGGAATGACAGAGCCTCACAATGTTTCTGCTCTCACTGATCTGACCCTCTTGCAGGGCCCCCTGAAATTGTACCAGCTCCTGGGATTGATTTTCCAGCAGTGAGTACTGCTCCATCTAGAGGAAGCCAACAAGGAGCCAGAAAAATGCAACCACCAGCTCATTCATTCCAGCACCCTCTCTTCCAGACAAGGTTACTACTTCGGTCCTTATAATGCAAAAACAGATGAATTCTTCAAGTAATTGGCTCTCTTCTTTTAAAATCACATTCAGACCTCTATTGCTTCAACTGCCTCTGAAAATTGCATATACTTAAAATTAATGGTTATTAGCAGCAATGTTTTCGGAATAATATTTGTGAAGATAATTACTTTCACATGGAACAATCATGTCTGGGCAACACCGCATTTCATGCCACACAACTGTAGCTAGTCATTAGCCTCACTCTGTTGACTATCAAAGATTTCCTTCCCTGTGTGGAATCACTGACATCATTATCTGCAGATTTTCTTGGTGACTCTTACCCCCCATACTTGGGTATTTGTCAGGGTTCTCTAGAGGTACAGAACTAATAGGATAGATGTACATAGTAAGGGGAGTTTATTAAGGAGTATTAACTCACACAATCACAAGGTCCCACAATAGGCCATCTGCATGCTGAGGAGCAAGGAAGCCAGTCTGAGTTCCAAAGCTGAAGAACTTGAAGTCTGATGTTCAAGGGCAGGAAGCATCCAGCATGGGAGAAAGATGTAGGCTGGGAGGCTAGGCCAATCTAGGCTTTTCACATTTTTCTGCCTGCTTTATATTCTGGCTATGCTGGCAGCTGATGAGATGGTGCTCACCC
Source organism: Homo sapiens (assembly GCF_000001405.40). Classification (NCBI taxonomy): domain Eukaryota; kingdom Metazoa; phylum Chordata; class Mammalia; order Primates; family Hominidae; genus Homo; species Homo sapiens. The sequence continues at coordinate 1,147,359 of NC_000002.12, read as the reverse complement.
AAATTAAGAGTGAGTCTGCCTTTCCCAGCCCACTGACTCAAATATTAATCTCCTTTGGCAACACCCTCACAGACACACTGAGGATCAATAATTTGCATCCTTCAATCCAATCAAGTTGACACTCAGTATTAACCATCACAAGCCCAACCCTTGTCAATTTGAATCCATATACATCTCCTGAGATCAAAAATAGTCCTCAAATATAGACAATAATGAGGTTATAATTATACCTAACATAATACAACTATCCTTTGTACAACTGGAAATACACCAATCCCCAACTCAAATGCTATTATATAAAGTTAACAATACTTAAATGCTGATATGAAGTCAATAAATCTTATGTCACATGATAAAGGAGAAAGGAAATAAAGTGAAGACATTTTCTTAGTACAAGTGTATACATGCACAAACATGCTTTTAACAAAAGGAGGAGGAAATACTCATGACAATTACAGTTCTCATTTCTGCAGCTGGTCCCGTGGTCCTCCATTTTTAGGGAGGGTGTAAGGTCTATGTCTAGATTCATTTTTGTACATGTAGATGTCCATTTGTTGAAGACTGCCTTTTCCCCATTATAATGTTTTTGCTCTTCTGTGAAAGAGAAGTTGACTATATTTATGTGGTTCTATTTCTGGGCTATTACATTCCATTAATCTATTTGTCTATTCTTGCACCAATACCACACTGTCTTGATTAAATTAGCTTTATAGTAAGTCTTATAATCAGGAAGTGTCAAGCCTCAAACTTTGTTCTACTTCAATACTGCATTGGCTATTCTAGTCTTTCCATCTCCATATAAACTTTAGACTCAATTTGTCAATATCCACAAAACTTTTTGCTAGAATTTTGGTTGATATCATATTGAATCTACAGATCAAGTTGGAGAGAACTGAAATCTTAACAATATTGAGTCTCCCTATTCATGAACATAGACTATCTTCTTCATTAATTTTTTTCTATGATTTCTTTCATCAATTTTGTAGTTCACCTCATTTAAACATTATACATATTTTGTTATATTTACACCTAAGTAATTTATTTCTTTTAGTGCTAATGTAAATGGTATTGTGCTTTTTAAATTTCAAAGTCCAGTTTTTCATTTCTGGTACCAAGCAAGGCAATTAAATTGTATATAATAAATAACCTTGCATTCCACATCCAAGGACTTTCAGTATGGTGTTGAAAAGAACTGATGAGAAGAGACATCCTTGTATTGTTCCTGATCTTGGTGGGAAATCATCTAGTTTCTCACCATTATCTATGATGTTAGCTGTGGGATTTTTTGCAGTTAATCTTTATCGAGTTAAGGAGGTCCTTCTCTACTGTTAGCTTACTGAGAGTTTATATCATAAATGGATGTTGGGTTTTGTGGAATGCTTTTCCTGCATCCATTTATATGATCATTAGGGTTTTCTTCTTTAGTTTGTTAATGTGATAAATTACATTAATTTCCAAATGCTGAACTAGTCTTGCATAGCTGCAAAAAATCCCACTTGGTTGTGGTGTGTAATTCTTTTTAGACGTTGCTGAATTCCATTTGCTAATATTTTGTTGAGGATTTTTTGCATCTATGTTCATGAGACATATTGGTCTATAATTTTCTTTTCTCATAATGTCTTCATCTGGTTTTGGTATTGTGATAAAGCTGGCCTCATGGAATGCACTAGGAAGTGTTCCTTCTGCTTCTGTTCTCTGAAAGTGATTGTAGACAATTGGTATAATTTCTGCTGTAATGTTTGGTAGAACTCACCAGGGAACCCGTCTGGCCTGGCACTTTCTGTTTGAGAAAGTTATTAACTATTGATTTAATTCATTTAATAGATGTAGGCCAATCTAGACTGCATTTTATTGTGTAAGTTTTTGCAGATTGTGTTTTTTAAGGAATTGGTGCATTTTATCCAGGTTATCAAATTTGTCAGCATAGAGGTGTATGTCATGTCCATAGGATCTATAGTAATATCCTCTCTTTGATTTCTAATATTATTAACTTGTGTTCTCTCTTTGCATATGTAGCCTGGCTATTGGCTTATAAGTTTATTTATATTTACAAAGAAACAGCTTTTTTTTTCCTATCTTGATTTCCTGTCTTCAGTCCCTGATTTCTTCTCTAATTTTCATCATTTATTTTCCTCTACTTACATTGGGTTTAAATTGCTTCTCTTTTTCTGGTTTCCTAAGGGGAAAGCTTAGAGCTTTGGGGAAATAAACTCCTGCTGTTGAAAAAAAAATTATTTTGACATTTCTTCTAATATATGCTTTCAATTCTATATATTTCTTTCTTATCACTGCTTTCACTGCATCCCACAAATTTTGATAAGTTGTATTATTTTTAGTTGAAAATATTTTTAAGATTTCTATTGAGATTTCTTCTTTGACCAGTGTGTTATTTAGAAGCGTACTGTTTATTCTCCAAGCATTTTGTGACTTCCCAGCTATCTGTTATTGATCTCTAGTTTAACTCCATTTTGGTTTAAGAGCAGACACTGTACAGTATCTGATATGGTTTGGCTGTGTCCCCACCCAAATCTCATCTTGGATTGTAGCTCCCATAATTCCCATGTGTTACGGGAGGGACCTGGTGGGAGGTAATTGAATCATGGTGGCAGTTTCCTCCATACTGTTCTTGTGGTAGTGAATAAGTCTCATGAGATCTGACAGTTTTATAAGGGGAAACCCCTTTTGCTTGTTTCTCATTCTCTTTTGTCTGCCACCATGTAAGATGTGCCTTTCGCCTTCCACCATGATTCTGAGGCCTCCCCAGCCACGTAGAAGTGTGAATCTATTAAGCCTCTTTTTCTTTATAAATTACCTAGTCTCAGGTATGTCTTCATCAGCAATGTGCAAACAGACTGATACAATATCTGTTCTTTAAATTCGTTAAAATGTGTTTTTATGGCCCAGAATGTGGTCTGTCTTGGTGAATTCTTCATGTGATCTTCAGAAGAATGTTATTCTGCTGTTGTCGGGTGAAGTAGTCTGTAGATGTCCATTATATGCAGTGGATTGATGATGCTGTTGAAATTTGTTATGTCCTTTCTGATTTCTGTCTGGTGGGTCTATCCATTTCTGGCCAGTTGCACTCTTAAGGCTGGTGGGTTGTCCGTTGTCAACTCAGCAACCCTCCATTTCCCTTCTCAAAGCAGAAAGAGAAACCAGGTTCTATGTTTCTCCAGATCCTTTCCCATATGTCTCGGGGTGAGAGTTTGCTGAAAGAAACTCATTAAAGATTTAGGAGGTAAAGAGGAGATGTCAACCGTTTTTGAAGTCAGATAAGCACACCCTTGGGTAGATGGATCTATGGGGCTACCCAGCGTGTCCTGAGAGCCACAGCTTCAACACTGTCAACTGTGGGAGATGTGCAAGCGTTCCAGAGTTTTCATGAGAATTGCAATAAATTTCTGTTTTTTTTCCTCTTAAGAACTGACAGTTTTATAGTTTTTGAATATAATATTTTCTTTTTCTGGGGGGGGGTTGTTTGTTGTTTGAGACAGAGTCTCGCTCTGTCGCCCAGGCTGGAGTGCAGTGGCATGATCTCTGCTCACTGCAGCCTCTGCCTCCCGGGCTCAAGCAATTCTCCTGCCTCAGCCTCCCAAGTAGCTGGGATTACAGGCATCCGCCACCATTCCCAGCTAATGTTTTTTTGTATTTTAATAGAGATGGGGTTTCACCATGTTGACCAGGCTGGCCTCGAACTCCTGACCTTAAGTAATCCACCTGCCTCGGCCTCCCAAAGTTGCTGGGATTACAGGAGTGAGTCACTGACATTGGCCAAATATCATATTTTCGACGGCAGACTCTCTGCCCTTTGCATTCCAGCAATCCCAACTTGGTAAGAACCCGTTTATCCCCATCTTCAAACTGTTACAGCTAGAATTCCTGGAGCTGCTCCCATTTTCCTGACAAAATCCTAGTGGGTAGAGTTTAGTGTTGGATAAGGGCAGAGGGCTGCTTAAAGCTGCAGTGGAGAACATGGAGAAAGACAATGACAAGGCCCAGGGACTCATGTTTCCACTTTAAGGCATGAGTGGAGTGCTAGAGAGCTTCAGGATTTCCCTGAAATGATTCCTTATTTCTTATAACTACAGAGTTAAGACTTCTGAAAACTCAAGCCCATATCTGATTTTGCAGGTGGCTGAGTAATTCTATCTATCAGGCAGTGAGTCTCTCTACAGTTAGGGCATTGATGGGCAAAGAGTGGGAATGAGAACAGATCCCAGCATGTCTGTGTCCCTTTTGCACATTCATATCCTACTGACTTTCCTTCCCCTTCCTCCCCTATCGGCAGTCACTGTTGCCCAGAGGTCCTAGAATTATGTTTTCTGAGGCAACAATTTAGCAGGACAATGCTGACTTTCCTCAATATGCATCTGGCCACTCCCCATATTTCTAGTCTCATAACTAGCCCCAAATCTTATTATGAAGCCTAATTTCAGAAAAGCTATCCCATGCATATCTAAAGAATTGCAATGCAATGGTCATGACAATGGCAGAAATGAACTTTTGATTGTGCATGGGAGTATGTGTTTAGGGTTGTAGAATCCTCTGTTGGATTAGACCAAATGTATTAATATGGGTGCAATGACTAGAGATTCTGGATTGAATGACTGGAGATTCTGAATTGAATGAGTAGAGATTCTGGATTGAATTTGTTTAATTACTTGAGAGAGACTCTATTGGTTTCCTTGGTTAGTTGACTAACATCAGGACTCACAGTGGCCACACTAAGTGTGGTTGAGTTGCCATAGCTTCCTTGGTGTGTGGTCCCAGAAGGAATTCAAAGGGTTATGGAAGTAGGGTGCATACTCCCATACCTGCTCCCTTGCTGAATCTACATTCATTTCTTTGCCAAAAAAATTGAAAAAACCCTAAGTGAGGAAGGCTCCACCATCCCAGGAACTCTGCTGTGGCACTTTCCTGCTGAGCAGGCATGGTACTGGGCTATGCCACCACTGAAGGTGGCTCCTGGAATCCAAAGGGATGGTGGACCCTGGACGGGATGGCAGAGCCCAGGCAGCAGCACTGAACCTTCAGATCAGGTGCGTTGGTTCCCTTCATGGGTGGCAGGGCTGATGGTTTGACCTGCAGATCTATCTAGCCATGGCTAATTGATCATGGAGCTCTTAGGTTTGAAATAGATGGGGAATACATTGCAGTTGCAATTGATTTGCGTAGGTGAAAAATCTCCAGGTCAGGTGGATAGAGACTGGACTTACCACAGTAAAGAGGCCTGGGCTCTCAATCAATTTCAGGGAGAGAGTCAGTTCCCAGAACAGCAGCCCTGAATAAAGGGAAGTCCAAGTCTGTTTGAGGAAAGCCCACCAACTCTTTGTACTGCAGATCTCCCTGTTAGCCTCCGTAAAGCAGAGATTCACATCTATGAGTGGTGGACAAAAAATGCTGCTGGACCCTGGCTCTGGGGCGATGCCACGTCCTTGGAGCCCCAGTGCCTGCCATGGCCCCTGTCACAATGTGGGACTAATGTGGGTCGGGGGACAGCTGCCTTTGTCTCGGACTCATCCCACACTTGTCTCAGGGCCCCAAACACGCCTTGGGGCTCTTTAACTCCCCTGAGTACAGAGCTGAACAGATATGTGTCCTACTGGTGGAACCTCCACGTTGGTGTCTGGACCCCTGGATTCAGGCCCATCATGGTTGGGTGACTGGACATCCTAGAATGGCTTTTCCTTTGGAAAACGGAAAACCAAAAGCCATGCTGTAGGGAAAACTTGAAAGATGTGGAGGAGGTAAATTTTATTCCATTTCTTTCGATTGCCTCTTGGCTCAGGCAAAAAGCAAATAAATTATTAGCAAGGGAGTGCTCTATTGTAAATATCAACAGATGGAACTCCAGTTCCAGCTATTGTCCCAGATGTGTTCTGTATCCCAGAGCAAATCAAAAACGTCCCTGATACCTGGTAAACAGCTATGAAAATGGCCAGTGATTCTTTCTCCTGCAGTTTCTAGCTGTTAGCACACATCGCCAGAAACAGCCTGCCTTTGAATGGCAATAGCATACTTTGTGTTCCGGCACCGAAGCCAGAACGTACTCATTCTTGAGGAAAAAGGCCTTGCTTACACAGGATGTAACGTCCTGTTTCAGTATTAACCATAACACATGTCATTAAATGGAAAACCTGGCGTAACAGGAAAGCAAGCTTCAGCTCTGTATTAGGAACCCCTTCTTCTGCTAACATGGAATGAAGTCCCCATGGTCTGCTGAGTAAACTGTCAGAGCCAATTTCTGTGAATGGGGCTTCCCACCCTGACCTGCTGTTCAAAATAGATGATTTGGAAGGTTCCTTCCTGCTCAGAGTGTCCACACCATTTTTCCCAACATAAGATGTCAACTTTATTTCTAACAGTTAAGTTCAAAATCACCTACAGGCAGGATCTGCCATGAGTTCGTAATCATAGTAAAAGCTATTATAGGTGACTGAAACGTGTTTTTTAAAAGGACTAATTTAAATTTAAAAGGGTAGCTCCGTGAAAGGTGTTAGTGACTTTTTTTTTCCAATTAGGTCAATTTTTATCAATGGTTTTCATAGCACTTAAGAACTTAGACTGTAACTTAGACTAGAAGTGATTTTCTATTACAGTATCTTACTTTAACATTTGAGACGTCTTTTTAAAATTTCCCACTGAACTGGAGAAAAATGACATTCTGTAAAGCTTCTTGCGCTGAGATATCCTGGGGTGATTACAGGCAGAACACACCAGCCTCGCTGTGGCCCTGCCAGGCTGTTGTTCTGCGCCCTGCCTGTGGGGGCGCTGGAGAGCAGCCCACCACCTCCCAGAGCGCCTCACTCGGGATCAGTGGTCCCATCACAGACCAGGTACAGGTACGAGAGGAACCGGCAGCTCCTGCTGCCCGCCCCCGAGACATCCCAATCTGTGTCTGCGCAGGGATGTCACACTGAGTGACAGCCGTCATCGATCTCCCTTTTTCTCTGAAGAGAGACATGTCTCAGAATTTGCCCAGTGAACATACGGACAGTTTACTCGGCTGTAGCTGGCTACAGTATTATATGCCAGTGTGGATGAAAATGCATAGATGTACTAAAAAGGGGAAACTATATGTTAATGTATATGCATGTATGTGTATTAAGATGTTTTAACAACTTAAAGTAGTAAAATTTTCCAAAGCAGTAGAGTGAATAAGATTCACTTTGTGGAGGTAAATCTAGTTTTTATATTACAAAGGATTCTTTGCATTCAGTACAACTGACATTTTTCTTTTAGAATTAATTGAAGCCAGAATTTACTCTGAAAAATGAGGAAGTGAAACCATATGATTTATACGTCTTTTAGAATTTTAGCATTTTAATGAACTTTATGCATCGGAAAAATTGAGATTTTATGTCTCATTAGCATTTCTCTAATAATTTATTTTGTATCACATAAGAATGTAAACATATGATATGATCAGTCTGGTTCAAAAAGTATATTTGTATCAGTCCAATATTGTAATAGCTCCATTTATAAGATTTACATATAATTTACTAGGATTTTTTTTTTTTTTTTTTTTTTTTTGAGATGGAGTCTCATTCTATTGCCCAGACTGCAGTGTAGGGAGCCATAATAGCTCATGCAGCCTCAAACTCCTTGGCTCAAGTGATCCTCCCACCTCAGCCTCCTAAGTAGCTGGGGCTACAGGTATGCGCCACCATGCCTGACTAGATTTTGTTTTTATTTTTTGTAGAGACAGGTCCTGCTATGTTGCCCAGGCTGGACTTGAACCTCTGGCCTCAAGTGATCCTCCTGTCTAGGCCTCCCAAAGTGCTTGGATTACAGTTGTGAGCAACTGGTGCAAAAATTTGTTGTGGCCGAGTGTGGCAGCTCACACCTGTAATCCCAGCACTTTGAGAGGCCAGGGTGGGCAGATCACCTGAGGTCAGGAGTTCAAGACCAGCCTGGCCAAAATGGCAAAACCCCATCTCTACTAAAAAAAACTACAAAAATTAACCAGGCATGGTGGTGGGCGTCTATAATCCCAGCTCCTTGGGAGGCTGAGGCAGGCAGAGTTGCTTGAACCCGGGAGGCGGAGGTTACGGTGAGCCGAGATTATGCCACTGCACTCTACACTGGGCGACAGAACAAGACTCTGTCTCAAAAACAAAATGAAACAAAACAAACAAACAAACAAAAAAACTGTTGCTCACAAGAATTTTACTCTCTCTGGGCTAGGATAGAAGTCATGAAGGTGTGTCTTGCCTCTCTATCAATTGTGATGTGTTTTCCCACAATAAGCAAAAGGATAACAGCACTTCATCTACTCGAGACTTTTTGGCTTTGGAGGCCAAGAAATATGCTGATCCTTGTTGTTGTGACTCCTTCCTCTGCCTAGCACAAATTAGAGGTCGATAACTACACATCTTGAATGAAGACACAGATGAATTCTGAGTGAGCGTGTAGGAAGTGATTCCCCGTTTAGTTACAGACTGCTGCGTGTGCCTGCCTTGGTTTCACGGAAATTTACTGCTATGCAGATGGGGTGACTTTTGGGTACTAGGGCTGTTTGCCCTTCCTTGGAACTAAGAGTTGGCTAATTGAAAAGATAAACACTGAAGAAGAAATGAGTGCATGCCTATTAATCTTCGTGGGACAAGTTAAATTACCAGCCTGCTTGCCTTTTGCTGCAACTCACAGAATTAAACTCCCGTGAGGGCTCTGCTGGCTACCTTGGGCCCCAGGCGTGTGTCCTGGACTCGGCTCCACTGCCTCTCCCCTTGACCCTGTGTCCCCCAGGTCACTTATCAGCACAGGGACTGCTCTGCCCGTCATCTCACCCGCTTCGCCCTCCACCTCATCTCTCAGCTGTAATACTGTCTCCACCTCCGCCCCCACCCCACAGGCACCAGACTGACCACGCGTCCCCACCACATGCTTCCTGGCATCAGCCCTATGGTGAGGCTGCACTCGGCTTCTCTCTTCCCAACAGCCAGAATGAGTACCTCGGGGATAGACGTCTGTTTCATCCGCCTAACCTGACGTGACATTGGAGAAAGCTCATCTCCATGGAAAGCATCCTGCACCGAATGCATCCTGACCCCCACCATCTTATGTGATCCTCAGAGGTCTCACCTGGTGTCCTCCACGGCACACATTCTATGCACGTGTGCTGCTGCCAGCCAACAGGGAGCAAAGGCGTGAAGGCCCTGCAGGCTCCAGCGCCCGGGCGGTACGGGGAGACCCTGTGAAGCCCTGACACCTCCTGTGCTCAGCACGATGATAACACTTCAGGAATCCCGGGTGAGTCACCTGCTCCCTGAGTTCCAGTGCTCTAACATGGGCTTCATCAAGTGTATTTTACAGCGTTTGTGAGGATCCCTGACAGGAATGCTCGTGAAGTGCCCCAGTCAGCACACAACAGTCGACAGTGGGCAGTTTATTAAGGTCCTTTTGTAACATGATTTACTAAACCTTTGAGCTTTCTTTCCAATTCTAACACTGCATCTATGGATAGACTCAGTGAAATATCAACTATAGAGACAAATAATTCAAATACAAGAATAATAAACAGAATAACTATAAAATGTAATTCACTTACCACTTCTTCATGAGTTGCATTTTCTACATGTATGCCATTAACCTGAACAGATGACAAAGTAAGAATGTTGAGAATAACGATTGATTAATACAAGTTAAAAATAAAAATGCAATCAAGTTAAGGATTAACGTGTACAATACTGACCTGGAGAACAGCATCTCCTACGAACAACATCCCTGTCTGGTCAGCTGCAGGGTGGCAAAAGTGGCAACAGTTTTAAGAGAAATCTCAGTGACATGCTTTGTTATGACAGTCATTTAAGCACAGGGCTTGCAGTAGCTGAAGTGGCCACGTGTGTGTGTGTGTGCATGTGTCCACGTGAGCAGATGTGTGTTTGTGTGTGCAGGTGCAGATGGGTGTGAATGTATGCATGTGTGTGCATGTGTGGGTGTGGGTGGCATGCATGGGTATTTGCGAGTCTGAGTGTGTGGATCTGTTGATATGTGCATGCCTGTGTGTACACATGGATGTGTGTGTGCATGTGTCCACGTGAGATGTGTGTGTGTGCAGGTGCAGATGGGTGTGCATGCGTGGGTGTGGGCGGCATGCACGGGTATTTGCAAGTCTGAGCATGTGAATCTGTTGATGTGTGTGCCATGGATGTGTGTGTGCATGTGTCCACAGGGGTGTGGGAAATGTGAACACATAGCAATAGGCGGCCACTTCATAAGGAAAGCTAGATTGGCCTCTTCATAAGGAAAGCTAGATTGATTTACGTGCATTAAGAGAGCTGCCTTCCAGTCACAGAAGACTTGTTTAGTGTGGAAAACGAATGTCACTTCCTCGTAACAAAGGGTTTCATTACAGGATATGGAAAGTCTGATGCACATTTTTCGTTAAGTGTGCAATAAACAAGGAATTCCCTCAGCCACTTAGCATTTCCCCTCATTCTCATAAGCAAACGTACAGAGACGGCTCTGATCAAAACAACTGTACCTAGAATATTAAAGGCAACAAAGAGAAAAACTTTGTATGAGAAAGTTTGACTATAATCTATGCAGCATGTTTTCACTTAACCTTTCCATTGTCAGAGAGGCAGACAGAGCCCCATTCAATACAACTGAACAACTCTGCACAAAAGCTAAGGCTTTTTTCCCCAATTTTTGCCTTCACATAGGTTTGTTTCAATTTTAAATCTTTGTTTAAATAGTGGAAAACAAGTAATAACCTGTTCTTTGAAAGTGGGAATGCTCTTGACAAACTATATACAGATTAACTGTCAATTCTAAATATTACTTCTAGTGTTTAGCAAATATTAAATCATGTTGAAACTATAGTTTTCATATCAGTGTACGTAATGGTACCGATTCTGTACAGCAATGGTACTGATGTTAAGCGATCCAAACAAAGTTCTCATTTGCACCGAAACTGTGCATGGCAAAGCTGCTGTGGCCCATGCATTGGTGGCAGCTCTTCTCCCCTGCGCCGTCTCCCTGTGTTCAAACTGCCCCCCTCCCTCTCGGTGTCTCTCACTGTCTCTGTGTCTCTCTGTCTCTTTCTATCTCTGTCTCTCAGTTCTTCGCATGCTGTTGTTCCCCTCTCTAGCCACACGAGGGTAGGCTGCATCCTGAAAACATGTATTGATTATCTGGAATAATGGACTCTCAAGCCGGGGCCTCAGAAGCATTACAAACCTAAATTTTAAGGGAATCAAAGGCTAACAGAAGAAAGTACACACAGAATATGTGGATTCCATGTGAAATTACACATGTGGTAGAGATTATATAGATCATATCATTAATATGGATGCTATAAAAGTGCAGAAAATTGCATATGATAAAAACAAGGTCCAAATCAATTAATCATCATAATTCTCAATATTTAGTTTAAGAAGCACCATCTTTATCAAATACCTACCTGACGCATGGGAAACTAAGCTTCAGCTTGTCTAACAGTATAGGGATAAGGTTGTTCTTATCAAAGTATTTTACCCCATGGTCTGAATGGACCTATAGAAAATAAAAATCTCTGTGCATTTAGACGCATTGATTTTTACAAAACAAACTTTAGCTACTTATGGAAAGTAGTCATTGTCATTGAACAAGTCCAGTGCAGGAGATAATGTCTTTGTTTTTTTGTTTTGTTTTGAGACAGAGTCTTGCACTTGTCACCCAGTCTGAAGTGCAGTGGCGCGACCCTGGCTCACTGCAACCTCTGCCTCCTGGGTTCAAGCGATTCTTTTGCCTCAGCCTCCCAAGTAGCTGGGATTACAGACATGCACCACCACACCCTGCCAATTTTTTTGTATTTTTAGTAGAGACGTGGTTTTGCCATGTTGGCCAGGCTGGTCTCGAACTCCTGACCTCAGGTGATCTGCCCGCCTCGGCCTCCCAAAGTGCTGGGATTACAGGCGTGAGCCACCACGCCTGGCCGAGGTAATGTGTTTTTAAAATGATACCTATGGTAATCACACAGTAAATGACTTAACCTCTTTGTTTAATGAAGGTCAATGAAGACGCATCTGACTCTTCTAACCTAAAGCAAAAAGTGGCATTTTGTTTTGTCAACAAGCCACATGTGTGCCTGAGATCCTACAGAACAGCAGAAAAAAATGACTGTCCAGAGCCAGGCACCAAAATGCATAACCAAATTCCCAGAAAAGAATGGTATCTAGAGTTTTCAGAATGGAGCTGCCATTTCTTGTCTGGAACTAACGCAGTGAGGTCTATTTTGCTCTAGAGTTGGTCAGAAGCCGCCTCCAGACATCAGAAAAACGCACATAGGGCAGTGCTGAGCCCATGGGTCAGCAGCCTCCCTGGACCCAGACTTTTTTGCAGGGCCTGGGGTTTAATGAGATGACGATGAATTGCAGCCCAGCGTCTGTCTCAATGAGGGGCTTAGCCCCCTGGCCAGCGGCTGCGGAGGGTGTACTGGGTCCCCCAGCAGTTCTGGCCCACCGGTGTTGCGCTTGATTTCTCTCGGGGCCTTAGCTGCCTCCCCGCGGGGCAGGGCTCGGGACCTGCAGCCCGCCATGCCTGAGCCTCCCCCACTCTGTGGGCTCCTGTGCGGCTGGAGCCTCCCCAACGAGCGACGCCCCCTGCTCCACCGTGCCCAGTCCCATCAACCACCCAATGGCTGAGGAGTGCGGGCGCAGGGGCAGGACTGGCAGGCGGCTCCACCTGCAGCCCCGGTGGGGGATCCACTGGGTGAAGCCAGCTAGGCTCCTGAGTCTGGTGGGGCCTTGGAGAACCTTTATGTCTAGCTAAGGGATTGTAAATACACCAATCGGCACTCTGTATCTAGCTCAAGGTTTGTAAACACACCAATCAGCATCCTGTGTCTAGCTCAGGGTTTGTGAATGCACCAATCGACACTCTGTATCTAGCTACCTGATGGAGACTTGGAGAACCTTTGTGTCGACACTCTGTATCTAGCTAATCTAGTGGGGAAGTGGAGAACCTTTGTGTCTAGCTCAGGGATTGTAAACTCACCAATCAGCATCCTGTCAAAACAGACCACTCGGCTCTATGTAAAATGGACCAATCAGCAGGATGTGGGTGGGGCCAGATAAGAGAATAAAAGCAGGATCCCGGCGCCACCAGTGGCAACCCGCTGGGGTCCCCTTCCACACTGTGGAAGCTTTGTTCTTTTGCTTTTTGCAATAAATTTGCTGCTGCTCACTCTTTGGGTCCACGCTGCCTTTATGAGCTGTAACACTCACCGCAAAGGTCTCCAGCTTCACTCCTGAAGCCAGCGAGACCACAAACCCACAGGGAGGAACCAACAACTCCAGACGCACCGCCTTAAGAGCTGTAACACTCACCACAAAGGTCTGCAGCTTCACTCCTGAGCCAGCGAGACCACGAACCCACCAGAAGGAAGAAACTCTAAACACATCCAAACATCAGAAGGAACAAACTCCGGACACGCCATCTTTACTGTAACACTCACCGCGAGGGTCCGCGGCTTCATTCTTGAAGTCAGTGAGACCAAGAACCCACCAATTCCGGACACAAAACCAATCTTCTTAAGCAATTTTGGTTCAGTGAAAGGGAGGAGGAAGAAGAGTCATTCCCAGTTATTAAATGAAAGGTAATTACAAATACTTTCCAACTAAATCTGTGAAATGTGTTTCAGCTGACGGACACTTTTAGCCTTAAAAAAAATTAAAAAGTGGTAAAATGGGTGATAAAATAAAATCATGAAAGCTTGATTTTAATTCGAAATTTTAATTAGTGATCCTAAATAAAATGAACTATTTGGTCAGATTAGGCAAGGTTTGTTGATTTTAGCTGAAAAGTGATTCTAGTTCATCCCTACGGTAATACAGCCACTGCCTCATTATACAAAATGGAAATACAGCATAATGCATTTTAATCCATATAAATATTCAAACTCCTGCAAAATGCTGTAATGAGGTAATACTTTATTATACTTGCTTTATCAAGATAAAGTAATTATAGGGTTATCTGAGGTCATGTAAAGGTAATATAATCAAGGTTTGGAACACAACTGTGTTATCGTGAACATAATTGTGTTTTCTTGAAAATTAATTAGAATTTGTAAAGACACTTCTGTTAAATATTTATTCATATATACATGTGGGTAGTGTTATATAATGATAATATTTGTTACCAAGTCTTAATATTAACTGAGTTAGATTTTATTATTTATTTGAATTAATAATGACTAAAATTACTGAGCATTTCTTACAGGTCAGACAACCTTCATAGTCCTTATGGACGTATTTAAACCACATCACAACCCCATGTGTAAGGCATAATCATCACCCCACAGGTGAAAATTCTGGGCCTCAGAGTCAAAATTCAACACCTGTGCATGTCTGATTAGACACTGAGCAGAGAATGTAGGGCAAAGAAGACATATGGTACGACTTTAATTACTGTGACGTTCAAAACCAAGCAAAACTAAACAATGTGTTGTTTGGGGACACATATGTGGCCAAACTGTAGAGAAAGGCAAATGCATGGTTCTCACTGAACTCAGGAGAGAAGGGGCAGGTGCAGGGCATGGGGCCCTGGGAGGTGTTTAGCTCTAAAACTGGAGGGAGGGTGAGTGGGCGTTTCCTCTAGTCTGGTTAATGGATCGTATCATGTACACTCAGCTAACACATGGCTCAGCTTCTTCCACAGCTTACACTCAGCTTACACAGTGGAGGATGGCTAACCCGCCTAACAGCGGCGGACCTGCAGCCAACCCCGCAACTCCGCTCAGAGTCACCCCCTCAATCCCTACCCACTGCCTCCAGAACAGACAACCTAGAAACAGAATCGAGGTTTACTTACTACCACGATGACACATGATCTTTTGACACATAATCAAAAGATAACATGACAAAACATAAGGGAAAATTGCCTACATCAAGAGAGAATTTTTTCTTTACAAGTAGTCTGCGTGGTGTCGAAACAAGAGCAGCTGGGGTGATCTGAAGTCATACCTTCTGCAAACTCAATTCCAGGCGTCTGGAAAGGAGTGCTGCTTTTACTCAACTTCCCCGTGGCTCTGAATGTATTTGTGTTCTTGGGTGTTGCAGATTAAATGCATGCTGTCAAACCTATCAACCTGTGCATGTATGTGTGTATGTATGTGTGTGTGTGTGTGTATATATATACACACACATATATACACATATATATACACATATATATACACACACATATATATGGAGATTATCTGATTAAATAAGCTCTAATTTTATTTTTAAAATGAAAGATTTCTGAAACTTTAAGTTTACAGTTCAACTTATTGTTTTGTAAAACAATGTAGCAGAGACTATATTAAAATCCATATGAGAATGTGTATTTGATAGTTTAGTGAAAAGCTGTTAGCCTAGGATATAGGTGCAAGTAATGGAAACATTTTCACATTAGGTGAAGAGCTCAAAAGAAAAAGGATTAGTGGCCAGGTGCGGTGGCTCACGCCTATAATCCCAGCACTTTGGGAGGCTGAGGCGGGCGGATCACGAGGTCAGGAGATCGAGACCATCCTGGCTAACACAGTGAAATCCCGTCTCTACTAAAAATACAAAAACTTAGCTGGGCGTGGTGGCGTCGCCTGTAGTCCCAGCTACTCAGGAGGCTGAGGCAGGAGAATCACGTGAACCCGGGAGGTGGAGGTTGCAGTGAGCTGAGATCACACCACTGCACTCCAGCCTGGGCAACAGAGTGAGACTCTGTCTCACAAAAAAAAAAGAAAAGAAAAAAAAAGAAAAAGGATTTGCAAACAGGTTAAACGGGACCCTCATAAAGGTGTGAACTAGAAGAACAGGAGAGTTTCTGCATTTTCTCTGAAACTTTACACTGAGGGAAATGAATAGTGTGTCCCATGTTTGTGCTCATTTTCAAAAGAGCTCACTTTAACGATCTGTAGATTCCAAGGATATCACTAAAATACATAATCTGACAGGATGGAAGTCAAATGGATTTGCCAAAAACAACTTGAAGCTTGCACACCGCAGGCCAGGGTGTGGCTGAATCCATCCCCTGAGCATGACTCTGGAACTTAAATTGCCTTTTTACCTCCTGATAAGAAAGAATAGCACTCCAGCACCTAAATGTTTCTACCAAGAAAGAAACACTAGCCGAACACAGACACCAAGAACTGTCAGTCAAAACACATCTTCTAATTAAAACTGACTTCAGCAAATTCACCCAGGAATAAATCAGACAGTGCATGTATGATCTTAACAGACCAGAATGTCTTACAGTTGGAAACCTGCGTCAACCCCACAGAAAGCTGACTGCATCTCATTAGCAGGACACTTTACAGTTTGGCCCAAGGCTGTGTCTTGTCTGGGGCTCCTGTTGACTGTATAAATCCTATAATCATTGCTTGAATTTACATTGTGTTACCTGATAAAACAAAGGTCATTAAATTTGCTTTTATTACCATTTAGTCAAAACTATAGAAAAACTACTATGGTATTGATGATAGGCTGCAGGATTTAGCTATCTGCGGCGAATGAAACTCTAAATTGACAGTGCCAATGTGAACGCCTAAGTTTCAACAGACTTTCTTTACCTCTGCAGAGTACCCAGTGATGACCGACTCATCACGAAGGGCCATGAAAAATGCTTCTCTACA
Source organism: Homo sapiens (assembly GCF_000001405.40). NCBI lineage: Eukaryota > Metazoa > Chordata > Mammalia > Primates > Hominidae > Homo > Homo sapiens. The sequence goes on along the minus strand of NC_000002.12, from coordinate 1,130,765 downwards.
CAGAGTTTTTAATCTCCAACACTGTACTCTAGCAAATGAATCAAGCCTCTTGGCAAGAAATACATGCTTTGTGACTTGGGCACAAGACTTTCTCAGGTTACTCCAAAAATGTGGACCTGGAACATTCTTTTAAATAAAATAAAATGTTTGCAGGAGTTCTTGGGGAGAGGGAATAAATGTTGAAAGGATGGACAAGCCATCTAGATGGAGTTCCCACCAGCCCGACTGTGATGATGTATCAAAAAGAAAACTTTAATTGTCATTTCTTAAAATAATTTCAGCAGTGTTACAGTTCTTTTTGAATTTTTCTAGCTGGAAAAATTGTAATGCAAAAAAAGATTTTATTATGTAAAATATCATTAATCTGAAAGGAAAAATTAAAATTTATCTTCTTTATCATATACATTAGTTGGTTTTATTCAACTGAGGAAACCATATTGCTATTTTTAAACTGTGAGTTTATTCTCAGAGTTTGCTAGAAAAAATTATGCAAAAAATTATGTTGTCACTTCACCAAATGGCTCCAAAGAATGTCATCTATGAATCTGGGATGTCCATGTCCATGATGAGTGACAGCCTATTTACTCAGGAGAAGCAGTAAAGGAAGCCAGAGACTCACAGACTCAGAAATACTTTCATTGCTCATATTGTGTAAAACAAGCAAGAAAAATAAGACAGGCACATATGGCTTTTAAGTTTTTTGGCCAAGAATGTAAGATGAATGAGTTCTTTTGCCTGTAACTCTTATTGTCAGGAACTCTACAATAAGAAGTAGACTTGCTCCCTACAAATGTTAAGTGCATGTATGGCCTGCAAGAATTTTTATTACAACTTGTGAACACCACCTTCAAATATTTTATATATTAAATTCCATGAAGATGACATGTTATAAAATATTAAAGAGGTATTTAAAGGCATTCTCTTGATGATAAGAAGCCACATTGTCCAGGCTCAATAAACTTTGCAATGATGTATTATTGATGGCAGAGTCTATTGCACAGCTCATCAGAAATCCTCCAAGCCCTACTCAACACCATGACAACCAGAAGTGGTTGAGGTTTCCAGTTTCACTTCAAAAGGATTAAAGGTGAAATGCCGTAAGTTATATGCATATTACAATTGCTAAATTTAAAACATGGAACATTAAGGACTACTTAGAATGACAAATAATACATACAAAGTTAAATTAATGCGGTCACAAACTTGACCTTCTTATTTGACTTTATGGTTTGGCTCTATGGTTTGTCTCAGATGAGACAACCGTGATGAAATTATTAATTTCCAAATTTATCCAAAATTGTATATTTGTGTCTATTTACCAGAAGAGACACATTTCCCTGGGAAGGAATTCTCAAATAATGATATAGACCTTTATATAAAAGAAACGATGTACCATAATGGACACTGAGTTCAAAAGCATGTTTGCAGGACATGCAGATACAAACTTCATCTTGTCATTTATCATAAAGACTTCTGGTAAAGGCCAGTGACTTTCTAAAACAGCGTCAAAGAAGGATGTTCTGCAGAGGAGCTAAATAGTGAGAACCACCTGTAGTTTTCTTAGGAAATCATTTGTTAGAAGACTTAGAAAAATGAATGAACGAATAGCAAATCCTTTAGCTTATCTCAAGAACCAACTGTCTCATCTCACTTTTGGTACTTTCTGAAAATGGCCTGCATAAAATGTATATGTCGTTTATTCGAGGTCGATTCCTCTGCTGTATAACATTTTTCTCTGAAGATGGAAAGGCTAGACACTTATTCCTAGGTGTATGATCTCCCCTTCAGCACTGGAAGTAGATGAGTAATCATTTCCTAATCATAAACTGAATTGTTTCCCAACAGTTTCCAAGTCAAAAATGCAGATTTCATTTTTAAAAAATCAACTGGAATAACAGAAAGTCACATTAAGTGGCTGTGAAAAGACAAACTGAGCATTCCCTGTGCACTCTCATCCTGGCTGATGGCTATCAGCCCTGGACGAGAAGATTTCCAGTGTCTGTTAGTCCAGTGCAGAACCTGTCCACAAGAAAACACCAAGCAGAAGTCCTAGTTTCTAACACAGTTTTCACCCTCCACCATATCATGGCAGTATATAAACAATATTGAAAGTTGGCACAGGAAACTCAGATTAAACTGTGACGGTCTGAGAGAAGCAGGGAGACCAGAGCTTGTATTCATTTATCAAACACTTACTATTTCTGTACTGTGCATTTTGTGTTGATGGAGGCATCACTTAAACGAAAGAGAAATAATGAAAGTTATGAATAAATGTGTAAGGCAGATATTCATTATGTTGCAAAGCCTGTTGAAAGAAGAAAACTTCCATAATAACACAAAGGTAAATTCAAATCCATGGAATACATTTTTCAAATTTTTTTATGTATTCATATGTATAATAAAATGTATATAATTATTTTGCTCATTTTTAAAAAGCAATTTTGTCTTTATACAGCCCCAAATGGTGAAATGAATAGACTCGAGATATAATCTTGATTCCATTATTCACAGTATGCGAAAATGAATAAATTGCATTCCTTATAGAATGGCAAATTAAAAACCATATGATCATCTAAATAGATTCAGAAAAAAAAAGCATTTAATAAAATTTAACACTTCTTCATGACAAAAACTCTCAGTAAATAGGTACAGAAGAAAAGTACTTCAAAACAATAAAGGCCACATATGACAAACCCACAGCTAACATTATGCTTAATGGAAAAGCTGAAATCTGGAACAAAACAAGGATGCCCACTCTCACCACTCTTACTCAACATAGTACTGGAAGTCCTAGCTAGAGCACTCAGGCAAGAGAAATAAATAAAGGACATCCAAGTTGAAAAAGAGGAAGTCAAATTGTCCCTTTTTGCAGATGACATGATCTTGTATAGAAAAACCTAAAGGTTCTACCAAAAAACTCTTAGCACTGATAAATGAATTCAGTAAAGTTACAGAATACAAAATCAACGTACAGAAATCAATAGTGTTCTAAGTACGAACAATGAACTTGCTGAAAAAAATCAGTAAACCAATCCCATTTACAATAGCCACACACATACACACATACACACACACCCCTTGGAATAAATTTAACCAAGGATATGGAAGATCCCTACAAGGAAAACTATGAAACACTGATAGAAAAAATTGATGATGACACAAAGGAATGACATAACGTGTTCACAGACTGGAAAAATCAAGACTGTTAATATGAACATACTCCCCAAAGCGATCTAAAAATTAAATGCAAACCCTATCAAAATACCAATGACATTCTTCACAGAAATAAAAAAGAAAATTGTAAAATTTGCGCAGAACTACATGAAGCCCCAAGTAGCCAAAGCAATCCTGAGAAACAAGAATAAAGTTGGAGGTATTACACTTCCTAAGATTATATTATAAAGCTATAGTAACCAAAGCAACGTGGTACAGGCAAAAAATAGATACAGCAATCAAACAAGATAAGTATCCCAGATATTAATCCATGTATCTACAGACAACTGATTTTTTTTTTTACAAAGGCACCAAGAACATACATTGAGAACATTTTCTCTTCAATAAATGGTGCTGGGAGAACTGGCTATTCACTTGCAGAAGAAGGAAACTGGACTCCCATCTCTCACTTTGTATAAAAAAATCAACTCAAAATAGATCAAAGATCTAAATGTAAGACCCAAAACTATAAAACGACTAGATGATAAAAATAGAGGCAATGGTTCTGGACACTGGTCTGAGAAAAAATTGTATAAAACCTCAAAAACACAGATAACAAAAGCAAAAATAAACAAATGGGATATATCAAACTAAAAAGGTTCTGCACAGCAAAGGAAACAACAGAGTGAAGAGACAAGCCACGGAATGGGAGAAAATATTTTCAAACTATTCATTTGACAAAGGATTAATATCAGCATATACAAGGAACTCAAATCTCTCGACAGCAAAAAACAAATAATCCTACTGAAAAGTATGCATATCAGCTGAATAGACATTTCTCAAAAGAAGAAAAATGACTAAATATATGAAAAAATGCTTAAAATCACTAATCATCAGGGCAATGCAAATAAAAACCACAATAAGATATTATCTTATCCCGGTTAGAATGGTTATTACTAAATAGACCAAAAAATGACAAATGTTGGTGAGGGTGCAGAGGAAGGGAAACTCACACTGCTGGTGGTAATGTAAACTGGTATAGCCAACATGAAAAATATGGGCTTTCTCAAAAAAACTAAAAATAGAACTACCATATGATTCTGGCAAACCTGCCACTTTTATCCAAAGGGAAGAAAATCAGTATGTCAAAGATATATCTGCACCCCATGTTAATTGTAGCAATATTTGCAATAGCCAAGATACGGAACAAAGCTAAGTGTCCCACAACAGGTGAATGAATAAAGACAACGTGGTGTATATACACAGTGGAGCACTATTCAGCCACACACAGAATGAAACACTCCCATTCGTGGCAGAGTGGGTGAACCTGTAGGACATTACTTTAAGTGAAGTCAGCCAGGCCCAGGAAGTTAAACACTGCATGTTCTCACTCATATGCGGAAGCTGGTCTCATAGAACTAAGGAGTAGAATAGAGGTTACTAGATGTTGGGAAGGGGAGGAGGTAAGAGAGATGTGGAGAGATTTTTTTAAGGATACACAGTTACAGCTAGATAGGAGGAATACTTCTAGTGTTCTATAGCACTGTAGAATAATGATAGTTAGCAATAATATATTGTTTATTTTCAAATGGCTAGAAGAGAGCATATTGAATATTCCCAACACAAAGAAATAATAAATGTTGGAGATGATGAATATGATAATTATCCTGATCTGAGCACTATAAATTGTATGTATTGAAGCATCATTATGTACCCCATAAATATGTACAATTATGTGTTAATTAAAAAAAACACAGCTTCACCCTATCCCTGTACACCACACCCTACTGTCTACTTCTGTCATTCATTCTATCATCATATCCTGTTCTGAAATTTACTAACTGATCTAATGTGTTACTTTTTGCCCCAAGAGAGAAAAAGTTTCTCAATTGAGAATAAATTAAGCAAAACACACATCAAAATTAAAACAGCTGACATGTATTTACTGTAAATCTTTAATTGTAAATCTTTAAGAAAAGTAGCATGTCCATCTAAAGTATGCTTTCCTTCTGTGATTTATATTTACAATAACTCATCTTAGAAAACAATTCTGTTTTGGAGGTATGGTAGTTATTAAGGGTTTTGAATGACTAACACCAAGATATTAGAAGAAAGCAGCAAACTTCAAACCTAAGGATACAAATAAAAATATGCACAAATGCATGGGTGCTTTGAAGGCAAAGGAAGGGAGGGAGAGGGAAGAAGCAAGAGGAGGACAGGAGGAAGGGACAGAGGAGAGGAAAACTCAGCTTCCTGTTACACACTCTTGATTTAAAAAAGGACAAAAAATCTCTACTTTGATAATAAAGTTCATAAATGAAGAAATGAAGTTTTAATATTATGAAATAAATATGCTATGCAAGAAATCTCTCGAGCAGCCAGACTTTAGTAGCTATTTATAGTAACTGAATATTTAGCGTATTAAAATGAAGACTTTTAAATAAAAAGTTTTATTTAACATAATTTGAAGGTTAATGCTGGTGTTGATTCAAATTGTGAATGTCCTGTGGGTGTCCAGTAGATTTTTGTTACTATTAATAATAACAGTATGTCTAAGGCATACAAAAAGATGTTATAGATAGTAAAATGGTTACTATAGTGAAGCAAATTAACATATCCATCATCTCACCTGATTACCCATATTTTTGTTTTGTTTTGTTTTGTGTGTGTCAAGAGCAGCTAAAATGTAGCAGGAATCCCCAACACGGTATGATTGTGTGACCTTCAGTCCTCATGCTGAGCACTGGACCTCTCAACTCGCTCGCCTACTTGTGCACGGCTTTGCATCCTCTGACCTCCAGCTCCTCATTCCTCCCCACCACCATCTCCTCACTTCTGGTGACCACTGTATTATTCTCCTTCTCTGCGTGTTTGACCTTTTCGTCAGGTTCCACCCATAAGTGAGGTCATGTGGTATTTCCCTTTAATGTCTGGCTTGTTTCCCCTGGCATAGCGTCCTCCAGGTTCAACCCTGTTGTGACAAAGGGCAGGACCTCCTCCTTCTTTAAGACTGAGTAGGCCGGGCGCGGTGGCTCACGCCTGTAATCCCAGCATTTTGGGAGGCTAAGGTGGGAGGATCATGAGGTCAAGAGATCGAGACCATCCTGGTTAACACAATGAAACCCCGTCTCTACTAAAAATACAAAAAAAATTAGCCGGGCGTGGTGGCGAGCACCTGTAGTCCCAGCTACTCAGGAGGCTGAGGCAGGAGAATGGCATGAACCTGGGAAGCAGAGCTTGTAGTGAGCTGAGATCGCACCACTGCACTCCAGCCTGGGCAACAAAGCAAGCCTCTGTCTGAGAAAAATTAAAAAAAGACTGAGTAATATTCCACCCTATATATTTTCAAATTGTAATTGACAATTTATAATCATATAAACTTACAGGGTAAAAATAATGTTATGATTTATGAATGCAATATGGGATAATGAAAGCAAGCTGGTTAACATATCTATGACCTCAAATACTTCACATGTTTTTATAATGAAAACAAGATAATTTTCTTAGCAATTCTGAAATGTACAATAATCTATTAAAAAGCTATCTTTGCCACACTGTGCAATAGAACTTAAAAAAAATTCTTCCTGCACAACTGAGAGTCTGTGCCCTCTGACCGTCATCTCCCCATTCTCCAATCCCCAGCTTCTGTGACCATCATTCTACTCTCTGCTTCCATGAGTTCAATTGTTTTAGATTCCACATATAAGTGAGAGCATGTGGCGCTTGTCTTTCTGTATCTGCCTTGCCCATTTTTAATTGGTTTACTTGTTCTATTAACCTGAATGAATTCTTCATAAATTTTGAATATTAACCTCTTATCAGATACATGTTTTGCAAATATACTTTCCCAATCCATAGGCTGCTGGTCTTGTTTGCTGTGCAGGAACTTCAGTTTGATGTAGTCCAATTTATCTATTTGTGCTTTTGTAGTCTGAGGTTGTGGTGTGACAGCCAAGAAATTATTGCCAAGGCCAATATCAACGAGCTCTTCTCCAACGTTCTCTTCTAGGAGTTTTATGGCTTCTGATCTTACAGTTAAGACTTTCATCCATTTTTGGTAGGTTTCCTATACGGTGTAAGACAAGAGTCCAATTTCACTCTTTCACATGTGGAAGTCCAGTTTTCCCAGCAACATTTATTGAAAAGACTATACATTCTCCATTGTATCCTCCTGATGCCCTTAGTCCAAAATTAGTTGAGCATGTACGTTTAGTTTTACTTCTGGGCTTTCTATTCTGCTCCACTGGTGTAGGTGTCTGTTTTTTATACCAACACCATACTGTTTTGATTACTATAGTAATATAATCTAAATCAGAAAGTGTGATGCCTCCAACTTTTTTTTTCTTAGAACTGTTTGGCCATTCAGGGTCTTTTGTGATTCCATATGAATATTTGAATTGTTTTTTCTGTTTCTGTGAAAAATGTCATTGGGATTTTGATAAGGATTACACTGAATCTATATATAACTTTGGCTCATAGATATTTTAGCAATATTAATTATGATGAGCCCAGACATGAGCCCAAAATATCTTTCCATTTATTGGTATCTTCTTCAATGTTTTGAATTGTCTTCATCAATATTTTACAGTTTTCATTGTATAGGTCTTTTATCTCCTTGGTTATACTTATTGCTAAATATTTTATTTTTTTCTGATGCTTGCATTAATAAATGGGATTGTTTTGATTTCTTTTTCAGCTATTATTTGTGTATGACAATGCTATTAATTTTTGCATATGAATTTCATATCCTGAAACTTTACTGAATTATTGGTTCTAACAGTTTTTCTGTGGAATCTTTGGGGTTTTTACAAATAGAATCATGCCATCTGCAAATAGATAACTTTACTTCTTCCTTTCTTATTCGGATGCCTTTTTTTTTTTTTTTTTTTTGTCTGATTGCTAATTGCAAGTACTTCCAGTGTCATGTTGAATAAAATCGGCAAGACTGGGCATCCTTGTCTTGCAGAGGATCTTAATGTTAAAGCGTTTGTTCATATTGATTATAATGCTAGCTAGGAATTTTTCATAAATAGCTTTATTGTGAACATGCTGTCTATACCTGAACTGGTGAGATTTTTTATCATAGATATTGGGCTTTGTCAAATGATTTTTCTGCATCAGTCTGTTAATGTGATGTGTCACATTGGTTAATCTGAAAATGTTAAACTGGCCTCACATGCCATGGATGAATCCTACTTGGTCATGACATGTAATCTTTCTAATGTGCTGTTGGACTTGGCTTGCTAAAGTCATTATGAGAATGTTTCTGTCATTTGTTCATCAGAAAAATTGGCCTGTAGTTTTCATTGTTAGTGACATCTTTGTTCAGCTTAGGTGTCACGGTGATGCTGGCTTTTAAAAATGTATACATAATTATTCCCTCTAGATTTATTTGTTGAAAGAGTTTGAGAAGTATTCATATTATTTCTTCTTTGAATATTTGGTATAATTCAGCCATGAAGCCATCTGGTCCCATGCTTTCTTTTGTTGAAAGGATTTGATTACTTTTTCTATGTCCCTATTTGGTTTTGGTCAGTTCAGTCTTTCTATTTTTTCCTGACTCAAACTTGGCAGGTTGTATTTTTCCACAAATTTAACCATTTCCTCTAGGTAGTCCAATTTTCTGGCATATAATAGTTCATAATAGTCCCTTATGATCCTTTCATTTCTGAGGTGTCCATGGTAATGCCTTCACTTTTTTTATTTATTTGAAACTTCTGTTTCTTAGATTATAATATGGTTAGGCTTTGTGTTCCCACCCAAATCTCATCTTCAATTATAATCCCTGCAATCACCCTGATCCCCACGTGTCAAGGGAGAGAACAAGTGGAGGTGATTGGATCATGGGGGCAGTTTCCCCCATGCTGTTCTCATGATACTGAGTGGGTTCTCACAAGGTCTGATGGTTCTACAAGTGGTAGCTAGTTCCTCCTGCCTTCATTCTCTTTCCTGCCACCTTATGAAGAAGGTGCCTTGCTTCCCCTTTACCTTCTACTATGATTGTAAGTCTTCTGACGCCTCCCCAGCCATGCGGAACTGTGAGTCAAACACTTTCCTTCATATAAATTACCCAGTCTCAGACAGTTCTTTATAGCAGCGTGAGAACGGACTAATACAGATGAAGAGTTTGCCAATTTTATTTTTTTTTAAAAACAATTCTTAGTTTTACTAATTCTTTTTATTGTTTACTATTGTCTGTTTGACTTATTTCTGTTCTCATCCTCTTTCCTTCCTTCTGTAAACTTTTGGTTTACTTTGTTGTTCTTTATCTCATTTCTTGAGGCTTAATGTTAGGCTATTTAGGATCTTTGTTTTAATGTAGGTATTTATCACTATCAATTTCCTTCTCACAACTGTTTTTGCGGCATCCCAGAAGTTCTGGTAGGTTGTATTTCTGTTGTTGTTTGTCTCAAGATAGATAGTTTTCAAATTTCACTTTTGATTCCTTCTGTGACCCATTGATTGTTCAGGGCAATACTGTTTAATTTCTACCTATTTATGAATTTTCCAAGATTCCTCCTGTTACTGATTTTTAGTTTCCTTCCATGTGGTCAGAGATGATACTAGATAGAATTGCAATACAAAATTTGTTAAGACTTGTTTTATGGCCTAATATATGGTCTATCCATGTGTGTGTTCCATGTGTGCTATAGAAAAATGTGTATTTTGCTGCTATTGCATGGAAAGTTCTTTATATATCTGATAAGTCTTTTTGGCCCAAAGTGCAATTCAAGTCCTGTATTTTCTTATTGATTTTCTGTCTAGTTGAACTATCTATTGTTGAAAGTGGGGTGCTGAAGTCCCCTATTACTGTTGTATTGCTATGTATTTATCTCTTTATGTTCATTAATATTTGCTTTATGTATTTAAGTACTCCAATGTCGGATGCATATATGTTTATGATTGTTATGTCCTCCTGATAAATTATCCCCTTTTCACTAGATAAAGGCCTTCTTTGTCTCTTGTGACCAGTTTGATTTAAAGTCTGTTTTATCAGATGTTAAGTTTAACTACCCCTTCTCTCTTTTGGCTACCATTTGCATGGAATATTGTTTCCCTATCTTCACTTTTAATATGTGTGTGTCCTTAAAGATAAAGCGGGTCTCTTATAGCCAGTATATAGTTGGGATCATCTCTTTTTCAGTCTACTTCACCACTATATGTCTTTTGATGGGAGAATGTAATCAATTTATATTCCAGGTGATTATTGATAGATAAGGAATGACCAATGTAATTCTCTCATTTTCTTGTTGTTGGTAATATTCAAGGTGATTGATAGATAAGGAATGACCAATGCAATTCTCTTATTTTCTTGTTTGTAATATTCAAAGTAATTATTGATAGATAAGTAATAACCAATACCATTTTCTTCTCTTGTTGTTTTGTAATATTCAAGGCGATTATTGATAAAGAATGACAAATGCCATTTTCTTATTTTCTTGTTTGGAATATCCAAGGTAATTACTGATAGAGAAAGAATGATCAATACCATTTTCTCATTTTCTTGTTGTAATATTCAAGGTGATTATTGGTAGATAAGGAACGATCAATGCCATTTTCTTATTTTCTTGTTGTAATAGTCAAGGTGTTTATTGATAGAGAAGGAATTATCAATGCCATTTTCTCATTTTCTTGTTGTTTGTAATATTCAAGGTGATCATTGATAGATAAAGAATGACCAATGACATTTTCTTATTTTCTTATTTGTAATATTCAAAGTGATTATTGATAGAAAAGGAATGACCAGTCATTCTCTTATTTTCTTATTTGTAATATTCAAGGTGATTATTGACAGATAAGAAATGAGCAATGCCATTCTCTTATTTTTTTTGTTGTTTGCAGATCCTCTGTCCCTTTCCTCCACTCTCGTCTGCCTTTGTAACGTGATAATTTTCTGTGGTGCTCAGCTTTGATTCCTTTATTTTCACCCTTTGTATGTCTGCTATCATTTTGTTGCTGTTGTTGTTTTGTGGATATTATGAAGCTTATGTAAAATATCTTATAGTCTACTATTTTAAGCTGCAGACAACTTACATTTTTTTATACAAAAAAAAAAAAAACGAGCCTTTAACTTCTCCTCCACAGTTTATGTTCTTGATGTCACGATTTGCATCTTTTGACATTGTGTATACCTTAAAAAGTTATTATGGCCTTAGTTTTACTGTTTTGACTTTTTACCTTCATACTGGAGACATGTATGGGTTACACACCACCATGATGACACTGGACTATGCTGAATTTGACTACGTACTTCCTTCTACCCGTGAGTTTGGTACCTTCAAGTGTATTTGTGATAGTGATTACACTTTTCTAGCTGCTTGAAGTACTCCTTTAAGCATTTCAGATACAGCAAGCATAGTGATTATGAAATCCATCAGCTTTTTTCTTTTTTTTATCTAGGAAAGACTTACTTTCTCCATTTCTGAAGGGCAGCTTTGCTGAGCACAGAATTCTTAGCTAATGGTTTTTGTGTTTGTTTGTTTTCCCTGTAGGTATCATACTATTCTTTCCTGGCTTTCAAGTTTTCTGCTGAGAAATCCACTGATAGACTAATGGAGATTCCTTTATATGCAACTTGACACTTTTGCTTCATTTAAAATTATCCTTTTTTTGCCTTTGACTTTTGACACTTTGATTAAAACGATCCTTGATGAAGACCTCTTTGGGTTGAATATGTTTGGTGATCTTTGAGCTTCATGAAATTGAATGCCCATATCTCTCCCAAGACTGAAAACTTCCAAGTTTTCAGTAATTATTTTATTAAATAACCTTTCTGTCCTTTTTTTCTGTTTTTGCTCCTTCTCAGTCCCATAATACAGAACTTTCTTCATCTGATTGCTTCCTGTGAGTGCCACAGGCTTTCTTCACTATTTTTATTCCGTTTTCTATTCACCTCCCCAAATGAGTCATTCCAAAAGACCTCTCTTCAAGTTCACAGATTTTTTTTTTCTGCTGCTTAATCTAGGTCTGCTATTGAAGTCCTCTACTGAATTTTTTTATGATTTCATTGAGTTATTCAGCTTTGAGATTTCTGTCTGGTTCCTTTTTATGCTATCTGATTCTTATCTCTTCTAATTTTTAAGTAGTGCCTTTTGTAGGGGAAGATTTTCACATACAGATGGGCCTGAGGGTGCTGGTTGGACAGGGTGCAGGGGTATAGTCTCTGTGCAGGTTCTTCAGTTGTAATGAATGTCAGGAATGACTGTGGGTGTCTAAGTGGCATAGGCTGCAGGAATTCAGGACAATGATGGTGGCAGCATAAGTCTAGGGTCCTTGGTGGCAAGGGCTTCATGTATCCTACTACTTTTGACTTCTCTGTAGAGGGGAGTCTCAGCTGAGGGGATCTTTCTCAGCGCAGGGTCTGACACGGCCCACAAGCAGCTGCAGTGGCACTGAGATCCAGGGCACAGGTGCACAGGGCAGCTGTGGAACCAGGGCCCTGGGGTGACGTGAAGCCCTTGTGGCATCCGGTGCTCAAGGTGCAGATTCACTCTCTGGGGCTCAGGTGGCTTCAGATTGTCCACAAAGCTGGGGTCTGTTGTTCTGAGGCAGACTCTGGCAGTTCAGACCTGGGGGGCCAGGTTTTAGCTCTGGTTCTGACCCTGGGGGGCTGGACATAGCACTGTCATGGCCCTGGGAGATAAGGGGTTCTTCAGAAGCTCAGCTCTTGGGATACAGGGCACAGCTGCAATCCTGGACCCAAAACCAACAGGGCACAGCAGCAACTAGAGCCCAGGAGATGAGGTGCCACACACTAGTGACTCAGGGATGGCAGGACATGGCAGTGGCCCAGGCCCTGTGAGGCCAGTGCAGCAGCAGCAAAGACCCGGGAATGGCAAGATGCCAGCGCAGCCTGGGGCCCACAAGGTGGGGAGCAGTGCAGTGAGGACTCCATGCCCTGGGGAGGCAGGAACCTCTGTAGCTTGAACTCTGGGGAGCTCGTCCAGTTTCAGGGAGCTGTTGCTGTTCACCCTGGAGGCTGGGGTGGCACAGCTCCGCCTCGGTTCTGATTCCTGGGGAACTGAGCTACCTCATCTGCTCAGCCCCAGAAAGCACAGCCACACACAGGACTCCGTGAGGGCTCCAGCTCCCCAGGGGCAGGAGGCCGTGCCTGCCCTGCACGCCATGTTATATTTTAATTGATTTCATCTGTTTTGCTGAATTTGATGTTAAGTCTTCATTTCAACGAGAAAGAAAAAAAGGAAAGATAATAGTAAAAGTTGTTTCTATTAAAATTAAATGATATTTTGCAGTGTATTAATATTAGGAACTTGTTTAAAATTACAGTCATCTCAGACACCTTCTATGGTTTATGTTCTGCCATGTCTTCTCTATTAAACAATCCAAGGCTCTCTGAAACCTTAAAGTGCCTTTGGAATTAGAAAAAGACTCAATCATCTTGAGTGATGTTCTTACCTAACTTTTGGAAAATAAACCTGCACATCACAGCATCCATACAGCAAAGCACCCACGCACCAGAGCACCTACACACAAGAGCACCCGTACACCGGGGCACCTGTACACCGGGGCACCCACATATTGGGGCACCCACACACCAGAGCACCCACACACCAGGGCACTCACACACCAGAGCACCCACACACCAGGGCACTCGTACACCAGAGCACCCACATGCCAGAGCACCCACACGCCAGGCACCCACACGCCAGGGCACCCACACGCCAGGGCACCCACACACCAGAGCACCCACACACTAGGGCACCCGTACACCAGGGCACCCGTACACCAGAGCACCCACACACCAGGGCACCCATACACCAGGGCACCCACAGACCAGGAAACCCGTAAACCAGGGCACCCACACACCAGAGCACCCACACACCAGGGCACTGACACACCACGGCACCCATACACCAGGGCACGCACACACCAGGGCACCCATACACCAGAGCACCCACACACCAGAGCACCCCCATGCCAGAGCACCCACACACCAGGGCACTCATACACTGGAGCACCCACACACCAGAGCACCCACACACCAGGGCACCCGAACACCGGGGCACCCGTACACCAGGGCACCCACATACCAGAGCACCCACACACCAGGGCACTCATACACTGGAGCACCCACACACCAGACCACACACACACCAGGGCACCCATACACCGAAGCACCCACACACCAGAGCACCCACACACCAGAGCACCCCCATGCAAGAGCACCCCTAATTCTGGAGAGTTTTGCGTGAGCCAGGGCCACGGGTGAGCAGCCACAGCCTTGCCTGAGTAACTGGAGCTGTTTTCACACCTGCTTCCCTGGCAGCTTCTGTTTCCTTTCCAATGTTGTCAGGCTGATAAAGTGTTCTAGTGAATAAGAGAAAAACATTACAGACTCACACAATCTTTTCAATTAGGTAGCAATCGATAGCTCTGCTTCTCAGAAAGAAAGCCCTAAAACCCGTGACCACCAAGCTCCCTTAACTCACAAGCACCCTAAGCTCTGAAGACGCCACATCCAACCACCTACGATTACATCCCCATTGTGTACGTGAACTGCACAAACGTAAGGTGTTTCAGTCATAAATTTATCATGATATTCCCTCACTAGTGTGTTGGTCATAAGGAAACTGATACTGTTTCCACCACAGTCTGTTAGAAGAGGAACCCGTTGGCCCCCACCTCCGCCAAGGTCCTGGAGGGCAGGCCCTGGGCCATCTCGGGGCCACTCAAAAGGGCAGAATGGGGCTTGAACATTGACCTGAATTCATTTCCAAAATCCTGTTCTTTTAAAATTCCTAGACTTCCCCAAACTTCAGTGACTGTCCCTGCACAAGGGAGACTCTTCTTATCCTCCTCAAAGGACTGTAAGGGTTAAACATCACTTAGTACACACGATCCTTCTCAAAGGACTCTGAGGCTTAAACATCACTTAGTACACACGATCCTTCTCAAAGGACTGTAAATGTTAAACCTCACTTAGTACACACGATCCTCCTCAAAGGACTGTAAGGGTTAAACCTCACTTAGTACATACGATTCTTCTCAAAGGACAGTAAGGGACAAACCTCACTTAGTACACAAGATTCTTCTCAAAGGACTGTAAGGATTAAACCTCACTTAGTACACATGATCCTCCTCAAAGGACTGTAAGGGTTAAACCTCACTTAGTACACACGATCCTCCTCAAAGGACTGTAAGGGTAAAACCTCACTTAGTAAACACAATTCTCCTAAAAGGACTATAGGGGTTAAACCTTAGTACACACAATCCTTCTCAAAGGACTGTAAGGGTTAAACCTCACTTACTACACATGATCCTCCTCCAAGGACTGTAAGGGTTAAAACTCACTTAGTACACACGATCCTCCTCAAAGGACTGTAAGGGTTAAACCTCAGTACACGAAATTCTCCTCAAAGAACTATAGGGGTTAAACATTAGTACACACGATCCTTCTCAAAGGACTGTAAGGGTTAAACCTCACTTGGCACACACGATCCTCCTCAAACGACTGTAAGGGTTAAACCTGATTTAGTACACAAGATCCTCCTCAAAGGACTGTAAGGGTTAAACCCCACTTAGTACACACGATCCTTCTCAAAGGACTGTAAGCGTTAAACCTCACTTAGTACACACGATCCTCCTCAAAGGACTGTAAGGATTAAACCTCACTTAATACACACGATCCTTCTCAAAGGACTGTAAGGGTTAAACCTCACGTAGTACACAAGACCCTCCTCAAAGGACTGTAAGGGTTAAACCACACTTAGTACACACCATTTTTCTCAAAGGACTATAAGGGTTAAACCTTACTTAGTACACACAATCCTCCTCAAAGGACTATAAGGGTTAAACTTCCCTTAGTACACACGATCCTTCTCAAAGGAGTATAAGGGTTAAACTTCACTTAGTACACACAATTCTCCTCAAAGGACTATAGGGGTTAAACATGAGTACACACGATCCTTCTCAAAGGACTGTAAGGGTTAAACCTCACTTAGTACAGAAGATCCTTCTCAAAGGACTGTAAGGGTTAAACCTCACTTACTACACACGATCCTCCTCAAAGGACTCTAAGGGTTAAACCTCACTTAGTAGAGAAGATCCTTCTCAAAGGACTGTAAGGGTGAAACCTCACTTAGTACACATGATTCTCCTCAAAGGACTGTAAGGGTTAAACCTCACTTAGTTCAAAAGATCCTCCTTAAAGGACTGTAAGGGTTAAACCTCACTTAGTACACATGATTCTCCTCAAAGGAGTGTAAGGTTTAAACCTCACTTAGCACACAGGATCCTCCTCAAAGGACTGTAAGTGTTGAACCTCAGTTAGTACACACGATCCTTCTCAAAGGACTGTAAGGTTTAAACCTCACTTAGTACACACGATCCTCCTCAAAGGACTGTAAGGGTTAAACCTCACTTAGTACACAAGATCCTCCTCAAAGGACCGTAAGGGTTAAACCTCACTTAGTTACACACGATCCTCCTCAAAGGACCGTAAGGGTTAAACCTCACTTAGTACACACGATCCTCCTCAAAGGACTGTAAGGGTTAACCCTCACTTAGTACACATGATTCTCCTCAAAGGACTGTAAGGGTTAAACCTCACTTAGTACACACGATCCTCCTCAAAGGACTGTAAGAGTTAAACCTCACTTAGTACACACCACCCTCCTCAAAGGACTGTAAGGGTTAAACTTCACTTAGGAAACACGATCCTCCTCAAAGGACTGTAAGGGTTAAACCTCACTTAGTACACACCATCCCTCTGAAAGGACTGTAAGGGTTAATCCTCACTTAGTACACACGATCCTTCTCAAAGGACTGTAAGGGTTAAACCTCACTTAGTACACACGATTCTCCTCACAGGACTGTAAGTGTTAAATTTCACTTAGTACACACCATTCTTCTCAAAGGACTATAAGGGTTAATCCTCAGTACCCATGATCCTCCTCAAAGGACTGTAAGGGTTAAACCTCACTTAGTACACATGATCCTCCTCAAAGGACTGTAAGGGTTAAACCTCACTTAGTACACACGATCCTCCTCAAAGTACTGTAAGGGTTAAACCTCACTTAGTACACACGATCCTCCTCAAAGGACTGTAAGGGTTAAACCTCAGTACACACAATCCTCGTCAAAGGACTGTAAGGGTTAAACCTCAGTTAGTACACACGACCCTTCTCAAAGGACTGTATGGGTTAAACCTCACTTAGTACACATGGTTCTCATAAAAGGACTATAGTGGTTAAACCTTAGTACACACGATCCTTTTCAAAACACTGTAAGGGTTAAACCTCACTTAATACACACGATCCTTCTCAAAGGACTGTAAGGGTTAAACCTCACTTAGTACACACGATCCTTCTCAAAGGACTGTAAGGGTTAAACCTCACTTAGTACACACCATCCTTCTGAAAGGACTGTAAAGGTTAATCCTCAGTACACACGATCCTTCTCAAAGGACTGTAAGGGTTAAACCTCACTTAGTACCCACGATCCTCCTCAAAGGACTGTAAGGGTTAAACCTCACTTAGTACACACGATCCTTCTCAAAGGACTGTAAGGGTTAAACCTCACTTAGTACACACCATCTTTCTCAAAGGACTGTAAGGGTTACACCTCACTTAGTACACATGATCCTTCACAAAGGACTGCAAGGTTTAACCTCACTTAGTACACAAAATCCTCCTCAATGAAATGTAAGTATTAAACCTCACTTAGTATACATGATCCTCCTCCAAGTACTGTGAGGGTTAAACCTCAGTTAGTACACACGATTCTTCTCAAAGGAGTATAAGGGTTAAACCTCACTTAGTACTCACTATCCTTCTCAAACGACTGCAAGGGTTAAACCTCACTTAGTACACACGATCCTCCTCAAAGGACTGTAAGGGTTAAACCTCACTTAGTACACACGATCCTCCTCAAAGGACTGTAAGGGTTAACCCTCACTTAGTACACATGATTCTCCTCAAAGGACTGTAAGGGTTAACCCTCACTTAGTACACATGATTCTCCTCAAAGGACTGTAAGGGTAAAACCTCACTTAGTACACACGATCTTTCTCAAAGGACTGTAAGGGTTACACCTCACTTAGTACACACGATCTTTCTGAAAGGACTGTAAGGGTTACACCTCACTTAGTACACACGATCCTTCACAAAGGACTGTGAGGTTTAAACCTCACTTAGTACACAAAATCCTCCTCAATGAACTGTAAGTGTTAAACCTCACTTAGTATACATGATCCTCCTCCAAGTACTGTGAGGATTAAACCTCAGTTAGTACACACGATTCTTCTCAAAGGAGTATAAGGGTTAAACCTCACTTAGTACACAGGATCCTCCTCAAAGGACTGTAAGGGTTAAACCTCACTTAGTACTCACGATCCTTCTCAAACGACTGCAAGGGTTAAACCTCACTTAGTACACACGATCCTCCTCAAAGGACTGTAAGGGTTAAACCTCCCTTAGTACACACGATCCTTCTCAAAGCAGTGTAAGGCTTAAACCTCACTTAGTATACATGATTATCCTCAAAGTACTGTAAGGGTTTAACCTCACTTAGTACACACGATCCTCCTCAAAGGACTGTAAGGGTAAAACCTCACTTAGTACACACGATCCTTCTCAAAGGACTGTAAGGGTTAAACCTCACTTAGTACCCACGATCCTCCTCAAAGGACTGTAAGGGTTAAACCTCACTTAGTACACACGATCCTCCTCAAAGGACTCTAAGGGTTAAACCTCACTTAGTACACACGATCCTCCTCAAAGGAGTATAAGGGTTAAACCTCACTTAGTACACACGATTCTTCTCAAAGGACTGTAAGGGTTAAACCTCACTTAGTACACACGATCTTTCTCAAAGGACTGTAAGGGTTAAACCTCACTTAGAACACACGATTCTTCTCAGGGAGTCTCTCTAAGTGGCCTTGGGAGATTATTTATCATTGATAACAGGGAAATCTAAATTCTTGAAGTAATTTGAAGGACACTGGACATTTTGAAGTGTTATGTATATTTAAATTAAAAAGTATTTTTCATCTTACAGGAAGGTCCCCTTTGGTGGATGCTGACACCTGCCATAACACTGGCTGAACTTGAGGAGCAATGGCAAAGTAGATCCCAGGACAGCATCTTTGGGGCCCGAAGGATTTGTTCTTCAGGCACTTTCTAAAGCAAAACAACTGGATTCTCTGCTGCACACCTGCGGTCCTAATCTCAACAGCAGGGACCCTGCAAAGGTAAGAGGGGCCCGGCCGTACGCTGACTCCCCTTCCTGCTTCCAGCTTCTCCTGAGGAGGAAGCCTCTTGTTACTCAGAATTTAAATTTGACCTGCAGTGCACAGCACGCACACTTCAGGGCTTCTGATGTTTCTTGTGATTCTTTTTGAGGTTTCGGCATTTCTCATTCAGCTACTAAGTCCATTTTATATTATCCTTGTCAAGTTCTATTTATACTTTGATAGCTTTAAAACCATGCCTTTCATTGATTCATTAGCAATAAAGCAGTAACACCAGAATATTCTTCATTCAATCTGCTGTACCTCTGTCTAGATCTGGGGATTGGAAAATGGGACTCCCTTCATTCTTACGGAAAGCTAACTTGAGACAAAAAGCAGATTTTGGCTTGTGACAGAAAGCACAGTTAGGAAAGTTAGACCTAAAAGTTACAAATTGAATTCCACATCCACCCACCGCCAGGTGAGAAAAGATTTCTGACATTGTGTTTCTGCACACATGTAGCCAGATCCAGGTTCAACCGTCTAAAATAGAAGGACTCTATCAAATATTTATAGAGCTCCAGAAGAAAAACCAGATAGTATCTGACTTATATATTAGTGCAGGCACATTGGCCTGAGTAGTTGTATCACATTTTGAATTTCAAAAGCCATTTTTTAGAGCCTAGAAAGGAAGATATGGCAGCACAGCAGACATGATGAATGGCAAAGGCAAAGGCCCAGCGGTGTGAGGAGCGGATGCCAGAGAGGCAGTGCTGTGAAGGATTCCAGCTCTGGGAAGAGGCATCTCAGCTGCTCAAGTCTCTGCTTTCTGAGGGACAATGGGGGCATTCATCACGGGTTTCTCTATGCCATGTGAAGGGCAGGACCTTACATTAATATAAAGACATCTAAATCAATATTTACATGGGAGGGAGGGAGGCAGAGGAGAAGGTATTAGGGGAGAAAGGCTTCACAGCAAATTCAGCAGAACAGGTGAAATAAATTTAACACAGAAAGAAATTAATCACAGATCTGGCATAATGAAGGCATGTGCATGGCACTAAGACACCAATAACAGGTGAAAATTCTAGAGAACAATAAAATACAGGTGGAGGCCCATGTCATGGTGACCCCATCACACAAAGCTCATAAGTCTCTGTGACTTTGGTATGAAAAGGGTGATTCTTCCTGTGTTTACAGGTGTCCAGGCCATGACTTTAGACGACGACAGGATCCAGACAAAACTCCGCCACAGCCGCTGTGCCACAGAGACCTGAACAGGGAGCTTTGGGACCTGGGTTTTGTGTTCCCTTTCCTTCCCCACCAAATGTAGTATATATATTTGGTTATAGAAATCGTCGTTCTGTGTCAACATCTTCATGAGTAACAGTGAGCCTCGTGTCCAACCTGACATTCCCACTGTAGCTCAGATGGCCTCTGTAAGAACCCGCCCTTCAGCTCAGGATACTTCCTGGCGCTGAACGATGAATACTCCACATGAGAACGACTGAAGGTTCGCGTTCGTCTTGCCTTTCTTTCGGGGACAAAACACCCCTTCCTTTCTGTGCAATTTTCTGAGTATTTTCTAATTGTCCCATTTGTCTCCCGAATATACACATCAAATTAGCTACAGGGCCCAGGCCTATCTTACAGATAAATTCTTACGAAGCATTATTATTTATTAAATTATTTATTACCATTAATTTATTTAAGTGGAATTAAACTGTGGCTGTGAATGAATTTTCTTTGTACCTAATGAGATGATATGCTATAGTAGGAAGAACTGGATTTCGAGGGAAAAATCTAAGTGTACAAGTAAAGGACTCTTTATAAGCCCTTGTTAGCGGAGTAAAACTGGGCAACTCATAATTCCTGTTTATCTGCTGCCCTATGAAATGTGAATAATCATGCGTCCCTTGCCCATTTCATATGTTTTTTATGAAGATCCAATGAAAAAGGAAGTTATTTTCGTATGACAAGTATCAATGTCAGGAATTCCTATGCAGATGGCACCCTCTGACTTCCACATCCTTTTTCAGCATGTGGTTTTCATCATCCTTTCTCTGTGTGTTATATGGAGCCTGGCTTCGGTTTCGAAAGTTTTGCTGTGTTGGAAACACCACATGTAAATTCCATCCAGTCATAGAGGAGAGCTTCATTCTTCCTCATTTCATTAAGTATGAACTGGGTGATCACCGAGAGCAAACCACTGTTAGGGGGAATAAAAGGGGCTTAGGGGACTTCGCAAGCCGCTTTTGCTTTCCGAAAGTATGACATGTCATGATGAAGCTGTGCATCCAGCTCTCCATACCCTGCGCCCCAGTGACAGCGTGCGTCCACTATTACCAAGGAGCTCTCCATACCCTGCACCCGAGTGACAGCACGTGTCCACTATTACCAAGCAGCTCTCCATACCCTGCACCCGAGTGACAGCATGTGTCCACTCTTACCAAGGAGCTCTCCATACCCTGCACCCGAGTGACAGCACGTGTCCACTCTTACCAAGGAGCTCTCCATACCCTGCACCCGAGTGACAGCACGTGTCCACTCTTACCAAGGAGCTCTCCATACCCTGCACCCGAGTGACAGCACGTGTCCACTATTACCAAGCAGCTCTCCATACCCTGCACCCGAGTGACAGCACGTGTCCACTCTTACCAAGGAGCTCTCCATACCCTGCACCCGAGTGACAGCACGTGTCCACTATTACCAAGGAGCTCTCCATACCCTGCACCCGAGTGACAGCACGTGTCCACTCTTACCAAGGAGCTCTCCATACCCTGCACCCGAGTGACAGCACGTGTCCACTATTACCAAGCAGCTCTCCATACCCTGCACCCGAGTGACAGCACGTGTCCACTCTTACCAAGGAGCTCTCCATACCCTGCACCCGAGTGACAGCACGTGTCCACTATTACCAAGCAGCTCTCCATACCCTGCACCCGAGTGACAGCACGTGTCCACTCTTACCAAGGAGCTCTCCATACCCTGCACCCGAGTGACAGCACGTGTCCACTATTACCAAGCAGCTCTCCATACCCTGCACCCGAGTGACAGCACGTGTCCACTCTTACCAAGGAGCTCTCCATACCCTGCACCCGAGTGACAGCACGTGTCCACTATTACCAAGGAGCTCTCCATACCCTGCACCCGAGTGACAGCACGTGTCCACTCTTACCAAGGAGCTCTCCATACCCTGCACCCGAGTGACAGCACGTGTCCACTATTACCAAGCAGCTCTCCATACCCTGCACCCGAGTGACAGCACGTGTCCACTCTTACCAAGGAGCTCTCCATACCCTGCACCCGAGTGACAGCACGTGTCCACTATTACCAAGGAGCTCTCCATACCCTGCACCCGAGTGACAGCACGTGTCCACTCTTACCAAGGAGCTCTCCATACCCTGCACCCGAGTGACAGCACGTGTCCACTATTACCAAGGAGCTCTCCATACCCTGCACCCGAGTGACAGCACGTGTCCACTCTTACCAAGGAGCTCTCCATACCCTGCACCCGAGTGACAGCACGTGTCCACTATTACCAAGCAGCTCTCCATACCCTGCACCCGAGTGACAGCACGTGTCCACTCTTACCAAGGAGCTCTCCATACCCTGCACCCGAGTGACAGCACGTGTCCACTATTACCAAGGAGCTCTCCATACCCTGCACCCGAGTGACAGCACGTGTCCACTCTTACCAAGGAGCTCTCCATACCCTGCACCCGAGTGACAGCACGTGTCCACTATTACCAAGCAGCTCTCCATACCCTGCACCCGAGTGACAGCACGTGTCCACTCTTACCAAGGAGCTCTCCATACCCTGCACCCGAGTGACAGCACGTGTCCACTATTACCAAGCAGCTCTCCATACCCTGCACCCGAGTGACAGCACGTGTCCACTATTACCAAGCAGCTCTCCATACCCTGCACCCGAGTGACAGCACGTGACCACTCTTACCAAGGAGCTCTCCATACCCTGCACCCGAGTGACAGCACGTGTCCACTATTACCAAGGAGCTCTCCATACCCTGCACCCGAGTGACAGCACGTGTCCACTATTACCAAGCAGCTCTCCATACCCTGCACCCGAGTGACAGCACGTGTCCACTCTTACCAAGGAGCTCTCCATACCCTGCACCCGAGTGACAGCACGTGTCCACTATTACCAAGGAGCTCTCCATACCCTGCACCCGAGTGACAGCACGTGTCCACTCTTACCAAGGAGCTCTCCATACCCTGCACCCGAGTGACAGCACGTGTCCATTATTATCAAGGAGCTCTCCATACCCTGCACCCGAGTGACAGCACGTGTCCACTCTTACCAAGGAGCTCTCCATACCCTGCACCCGAGTGACAGCACGTGTCCACTATTACCAAGCAGCTCTCCATACCCTGCACCCGAGTGACAGCACGTGTCCACTCTTACCAAGGAGCTCTCCATACCCTGCACCCGAGTGACAGCACGTGTCCACTATTACCAAGCAGCTCTCCATACCCTGCACCCGAGTGACAGCACGTGTCCACTATTACCAAGCAGCTCTCCATACCCTGCACCCGAGTGACAGCACGTGACCACTCTTACCAAGGAGCTCTCCATACCCTGCACCCGAGTGACAGCACGTGTCCACTCTTACCAAGGAGCTCTCCATACCCTGCACCCGAGTGACAGCACGTGTCCATTATTATCAAGGAGCTCTCCACACCCTGCACCCGAGTGACAGCACGCATCCACTATTACCAAGGAGCTCTCCATACCCTGCACCCGAGTGACAGCGTGTGTCCACTATTACCAAGGAGCTCTCCATACCCTGCACCCAAGTGACAGCACGTGTCCACTGTTACCAAGGAGCTCTCCACACCCTGCACCCGAGTGACAGCACGTGTCCACTCTTACCAAGGAGCTCTCCATACCCTGCACCCGAGTGACAGCACGTGTCCACTCTTACCAAGGAGCTCTCCATACCCTGCACCCGAGTGACAGCACGTGTCCATTATTATCAAGGAGCTCTCCACACCCTGCACCCGAGTGACAGCACGCATCCACTATTACCAAGGAGCTCTCCATACCCTGCACCGAGTGACAGCACGTGTCCATTATTATCAAGGAGCTCTCCATACCCTGCACCCGAGTGACAGCACACATCCACTATTACCAAGGAGCTCTCCATACCCTGCACCCGAGTGACAGCACGCATCCACTATTACCAAGGAGCTCTCCATACCCTGAACCCGAGTGACAGCATGTGTCCACTATTACCAAGGAGCTCTCCATACCCTGCACCCGAGTGACAGCAGGTGTCCACTATTACCAAGGAGCTCTCCATACCCTGCACCCGAGTGACAGCAGGTGTCCACTATTACCAAGGAGCTCTCCATACCCTGCACCCGAGTGACAGCACGTGTCCATTATTACCAAGGAGCTCTCCATACCCTGCACCCCAATGACAGTGTGCGCCCACTATTACCAAGGAGCAAGGTGAGAGGCCTCGGGGTCAGGGGCCACCAGGTGTGCATCCTGACCTGGCTGTGACACGCGGGGGAGGCTGATCTTCCAGGTGAGGGTGGAGACTTGGGGTGCCATCCTGTGCCATGCATCGGAGCAGGGAGGAGACAAATGTGGCTGTGGGACCCAGGATGTGAGGTGAGCTGGAAAGCCCAGCCTGCACCTCGGCTTTTCCGTAAGCAATGAAGTCGTGGATGATTTCTGGGCCAGGGGCAGCAGGGTCCTGAGGAAGAATCTCATAGGAGGGAGAGTGAGCAGGAGCTTGGTATCCTCAGTACTGAACCATGCTCAGAGAAATCCAATCCTCATAAAATCTATGTATAGAACGGTGTCAAATCCAATCGCCCATGGTGATTTTAGGTATTAAAACAGATTTTTTGGAGAGCGGTTGCTAAGTAGGCTGAAGGCTGCCTTAAGGAGCACGTACGTGTGTGGTTCCTGACGTGTGAGCCTTGGCGGGTGCACACACCTCACTAAAGCGGTGAATTAAAGTGTGAAGGACACCATATCTAAGAATTTAAATGTCTAAGCACCTAAGGTGGACCTCATGCAGAACATCATATGGCAACCACCCTTATCTAAGTTGTAAGCCCTGCAGCAGATGCCTGAAACCATGGACAGAAACAAACCCCAGCCAAGACCCTCTGCATGGCACAGCTGGCAATGACAAAATGCAAGTGGGGCCACCCCACACTCACCCCACCCCCACCAAACCCTCTCAGCCTTGTGGCAGAGCCTGGCCTGCTCCCATGGTTCAGCAGAGGGCAGAGTGTGTTGCTCTCAGCGAATGGAACCCCTGCATTCCCCTAAGGGAGTGGCAAAAGGCTGTCCAACAACTCATGAAGAACTTGCTCCCTCAGCCTTTCTGAGGGTGAACTTGGGTCCGGTTCCAGTGGGTGGATGGAAATGAAGGAATACCATGAAGGCTTTCCTTCCCGGAGATGGAACCACGGTGCTTCTTCAGGGGTGGTGCCCCATTTCCCTTCTTTCCTACCTAAAAAGAAGATATGTTATCTTGAAATACAGCCACCATTTTGCAAATATAAGGCAATGAACATGAGGATAAAACCCACAAGCTAAGGATGGTGCCACGGGAGGACGGAAAGATACTGGGAGAAAACCACAGCAAACAGCCGGATTTCTCGTTCAGTGAGAAGAGCAAGCCCTATTCACTCAAACCACCGTAAGCTGAGAGGATTTCACAGCACACACGGCCCCTCCTGGACGGAGTCCCCAGGTTTTCACAATGCCAGCACCCCAGGGCCACACACGCTGACAAAAGGACCCACGGCAGGGCTTGGGCCACGCTGACAAGTGAGTTTTTCCTTTCTCCATTTGTGTTTTCCCTGAGGTACATACATGCAGAAACCTAAAACTTAGGTAAACATGTGCACATTAGAAGTCTATTGACTTAACAAAAGAAGTTCAACTATAAAAAGAAAGCTTGATACAAAGTGTTTATTTTTAAATTATCTTGAGAGAATTAATCAAATCTCGTATCACTAATCAATAACCCATGCATCAAAGAACAGACCCTGTCACTCAGCTCGTCTGAAAAGACACTGCTTTTTCCTTTTCAGGTTTAATAATTTCACTATTACTACACTAGGAAGTTATTAACCCTAGGCAACACCAACATAGAGCAATAACCGAAGAAATGTGTAAAAGTAAAGAATAAATGAAAAAACGTCGTAACCACATTGCACTGGTTCTTTACAAACGTTTGAAAGAGGGGCAGCACCGGACGATGACCCAGAGAAGGGTCTTGGGGGTCACTCCCCGGCTCTGCCATTTGCATGTCTGTCCCTGTGCAAACTCTTTAACATATATTTGCCTCAGTGTCCTCATCTGTAAAATGGGAATGAAAATCCTAGTCATCATCTCATAGGGTAGTTAAAGGTCATAGAATGCCTGAAAGTATTAGCAAAAATGTAGCTATATTTTTCTCCCTAGTCTTATCCATACCTGACATAATAATTTCATTTGTATCTTTGCTTATTATCTTCTCCGACTATAATGTACATGCTCTGAAAGCAAGAAATCAGTCTATTTTTTGCTTCTCTACTCTCAGCACAGAGGACAGTGCTTAGCACTCAGGGGTCTATAACGTTTGTTAACCTAACAACCGATTCAATGAGTGTGCGCCTGCAATCACAGCATGCACGGAGGCTTTGTCTGGTGTCTATGAAGTTTAAAATCATCAAATGGATCATTGGTAGAAATTTATAATCATGGCCAGGCGCGGTGGCTCACGCCCGTAATCCCAGTACTTTGGGAGGCCAAAGGGGGAGGATCATGAGGTCAAGGGATCGAGATGATCCCGGCCAACATGGTGAAACCCCGTCTCCACTAAAAATACAAAAATTAGCCGAGCGTGGTGGCGGGTGCCTGTAATCCCAGCTACTCAGGAGGCTGAGGCACAGGAGAATCACTTGAACCTGGGAGGTGGAGGTTGGTTGCAGTGAACCAAGAACTCACCACTGCACTCCAGCCTGGGCGACAGAGCAAGACTCCATCTAAAAAAAAAAATAAAAAAAAAAAGAAATTTATAATCATTATTTATTTGAAAGGTTAATGAATTGAAAGAATTAAAATTTGTGATTGATATTTAATGTCAAGAAAAATTATATTTAACCTTTCAAATGTAATATTAACAAATTTCCCATTAAACACAATAAAAATAATTATAGATCTCCCCAAAATATACAATCTCACTAGGTATTAAACAATGTCTAGACATATGTGCTCAACCCTATATCTGCACTGAGGAGAGTCTCAGACCTATCTCGACCTCCCAGCCTCTCCACACCCATGACGTGGACCTGTGAATCCTGAGTCCCCTGTGAGGAGTGTGAGGTCTGAAGGTCTCCACATCAGAGGGACCAGGGGGCGGGGGCTCCAGGGTGTGGAATCCTGCACGCAGGCCGCACCTCAACGGTACAATCAGAGTCTTGGCTCTGTCATGCTCTGCAAAGCTGCTCAGGCAATTCAGAGGCTCACGAGCCACTTCGCGAAGAATTCAAGGTGCGAGTGAGCTGAGCTGGGCTGCCTGGCTCCACTCGGACATCAGGCAAGTGTCCAGCCTTGGGCTGTCCACACTCCTAACTCAGGCCTCAGGCACCTTCTCCTCTCCACCTACAGCAAGTCTCTGGGGAAGCACCTCAGTGCCATTCACTTAATTTAAATGCCTCTCTTTAAAAATTCTCTTACCCTGATATCGTCCTCTGAACCTCTCACAGGTACACTCCACTGGCCAGCAAATCAGCCCTGAAACGCAGCACGGAGCCCCTGCTGTCCACGCTCTGCTTCTGACATTCACTCAACAACCCAGGACCTGTGTCGGCCATTTCATTAAACGCACCATCAGCCCCCCTGGTGCTGAGGCTAAAAGGAAACCTCAACCTGGCCTGAGTCCTCCTTCCTCTCAGACACGCAGCCCACCCTTCAGCAGCATGTGACGTGGAGCCTCCAAGGACATCCGGCTTCTGGCCACTTATCTACAAATTCACCAAAATCCCAGAAGGGCAGGGCACGGCAGCCCCTCCTGCACCCTGCACTGGCTCTCCACCTTCCTCCCTGCTTCCTGGAACAGCCTCCTCACAACAGCCAGGGTGACTTTTCTTAAATGAGAAGCTACCCTAATCACACTAATTTTAAACCAACTTCAGCTGACTCTCTTACTCACAGGATAAAAGCATTAACCACATTACAAAAAACAGCGCCCTCTCCCCGTCTCCTCTGTACCACGGTTTCGCTCACTCCACAGGAGCCGTCATCTCTGCAAATGTATCGCACACGTGTTCACTGCCTGCCTTCTCCAGTTGTCTACAAGCTCTGCAATGGCAAGAATTCTGCCTTGGTCTCTGCGGATGGCCCGAGAAGCGTCTTATCTGTAGAAGTTGTTTATTAAATATGATTGGATAAACTCATGGATAAATAAGCACACTAATAATTTTATATTTTGCACTGATCTAACATCTTACAACTGCCTCATTCTTAAAAATGAGCGAGGTGAAGCCTCGGGCTACCTGGCTGCTCTGGTGTCCCTGGAGAATGAGAGCTGGAGAGCTTTCCCACCTGTCCCGGCCTCTCATCACCTGGGGATAACTGCAGACCTGCTCATCCAGAAGAGGATCTAAAATGTGGAGGAATGCAGACAGCTTCTCTTAGCATCCGTAGGTATTCCTAGTTCTAACTGATCACCCCGCATTTGGTTTGTCTGCATCCCGCCCTATCTGGCAGCGCTGTGCTCCGTGGGGTAGAGGGTATGCTCTCCTGGGCTCCAGCACCGAAGTCCCACAGCCCTCCTGCACTCCCTTCATCCTGAGGCCAGACTCCTGTGTCAGTTTAACACAAGACATTCAGGACAACCCAGGGGCTCTGCTTCCTGCAAAACATGCATTCTGTGTTTTACATGGAATGGAAGACATAAAATAAATGAGACCAAGCTTCTGATCCCTAAAAACTCCCAATTCATTGCCAGGACTTTCTGTTCCTGAATGTGCATAAAACGAGGATATAAATGTGTCTCTAAAACATGAATTCTGGCACAGCTGATGAAATGGATCCCAGTGGGGAGAGGCAGGTGCAGGGAGGAACCATGTAAGTTCATCTCCAAGTGCCTGCTGAGGTCGTGGGCCTGGGCCTGGGCCTGGAGGGGTGGTGAGGATGGAGACAGGCAAGCTGGCTGGGGGAGGGGGCAGCAGGGGCAGGCAGGCAGGCTCTGGGTGGGAAATCTGCAGGAGGCACAGAATGCGAGCCTGGGAGCAGGCCTGGGAGGAGCGTGGGGACCTCCCACTGGGGCTACCACACTGGAGTTACTTGTGAAGCTTCCAATGTCAGAAGAGAATGGCATCAGCATGGTCTGAAGACTGCTAAGTTTGGAATCTCCTGGGTCCCAGTTTCTCCTGACCACACTCACCAAGCCTTGGTTGCCTGAGGCAGGGATGAGGCTCGGGAGGGCACACGGGCTACAACCCCAGGGTCACGTTCACACTCCAGGGAGTGTAGCCTTCTTGAGCTGTTTCTCCCCTACAGGTAAAATGGATTTTCCTTCTGAATTGACCATAAACATCCTTTACTGAACGTTACCTACTGGCTAACCTTACTGTCTTATTCTCTTTTCTGAGACTTTTCATCATATCCACCAATTAAAAAAAAACCCATTAATGAAAATAACTGAAAATGTTTGCAAAGAGGACAGGAACAGAGCTGCATTGGGCCATGCCTTCTTTCCACTATCCATCAGTCAGCCAGATGGCTTCAGGGGTGCAACAAGAACCAACCACGCCCGACACAGCAACGGTGGACCCACGGCGCCCGTGTGGAATCCCACTTTATATGAGCCAAAGCACTGGGCCCTGCCAAGCTCGTCAACACCGCCATTATAACACTTGATGTAATACATGCAACAAAATACTGTAGTTCAAATGAATCATAATGTTTCTTTTGAAATGCTCGAAAAACCTCAAAAAGAGGCTGGGTGCGGTGGCTCACGCCTGTAATCCCAGCACTTTGGGAGGCGGAGGCAGGCAGATCACCTGAGGTCAGGAGTTCGAGACCCCCGCCTCTACTAAAAATACAAAAATTAGCCAGGCGTGGTGGCGGGCACCTGTAGTCCCAGCCACTCGGGAGGCTGAGGCAGAAGAATCGCTTGAACCTGGGAGGTGGAGGTTGCAGTGAGCCGAGATCGCGCCTCTGCACTCCAGCCTGGGCATCTCAGTGAGACTCTGTCAGTGGGGTGGGGGAAGAAACCAAAAAAAAAAACCCTGGAAAAGAATCGTCCTTTCATTCAGAGGCCTGCATAGCTCTCTCACTTTTCCCGCCATCTTGGTTACAACTAACCTGTATTTCTTATCACACTTAAATTTCTAGGTTTCCTTCTGAACAGCACCTGCTGCCTCTGAGGCTGAGACTGCCTCTGGGTTTCGGGGCTTGCTGGCCCCTAATTCCTGATTAAATGGAATCCCATCTGCTGCAAGTTTAACGGCAGGTTTGTAAGCTTGCTCAAAAAGGAGAAAAATGTGTTGCTGACCTGACTCTTAAATGTCCTTCTGCCGAAAAAGAATCTTTACCCGGATGCAAATTTCATGGCAACGCATTCTGTGGAAACCTCTCTTCCCTGAGAACGTGTTCACAGCTGCTGTGGGGAATCCAAATCCCACTGGGGCAATCTCTGCAGCAAAACATGGTCTCCTGCACCACACATGGCTGACCTGACCATGACTGCCCTCACCACAACTGCCCTCACCACACCCACCTTCAGATGACCTGACCATCGCTGCCCTCACTGCACCCACCTTCAGAGGACCTGACCATCACTGCCCTCACTGCACCCACCTTCAGAGGGCTCATGGTTAAGGCTTCCCCAGCCTGGGACCTCCAGCCTCTTCAGGGCACTCTACCTGCATACTGGGCTTATGGTTTGGGTAAAATTGGGTGAAATGAGTAAGAATGTTTAGAGAAAAAGTATGAGCTTATTCTGTGCTTTTCACCCAGAACCTCCACATTTCTGGTGGAGCGTGGAGAGAAGCATGTCCCCTCCAGGGACACAGCCAGGGGTCCCCTGCAGTGGCTGTGCTTTCCGGTGTGAGGCACATGAGGTCATAAGGCCACCCGCTTGCCCACTCTGTCTTGCTTCCTGTTCCCCTGCAGGCCTCAAGGACATAAGCTAACCGCCCCACCCCCCGACACGGACCGCATGTCCAGGTGCCCCTTGCTCTGGAGAGCAGGGGAGGAGTGGCCTGAGGCTGCACACCCAGGAGCTGCTGGACCAGGTGGGAGGAGGCCAGCCACAAGGATGCAGAATCCTCCCGATAGGGAGACAGATGCATGGAGTTTACCGCAGGGGGTTCATTATGTCCAAAATCGAATTGTATGAGAAACAGTCTACCCGATAGTGGAA
Source organism: Homo sapiens (assembly GCF_000001405.40). Taxonomy (NCBI): domain Eukaryota; kingdom Metazoa; phylum Chordata; class Mammalia; order Primates; family Hominidae; genus Homo; species Homo sapiens. The sequence continues at coordinate 1,099,016 of NC_000002.12, read as the reverse complement.
TGTGTGGCCAGAAATCCCACCCTCACTTTTCGATTCTACACAGAGTAATCTCTCCCTATGAATGTCAGTTATTCTTGTGATTATTCCCATAGCCAGTGTTTCATTTCAGGGATGGAGGTGGTAGTCAGTGCAGTACCACCAGCTGCCAAGTGCAGAACGGACGGCGTTTCAGCCCCACCTGAGCGCGGTCAGCTAGTCCTGCAACAGGCTCATTACGTTCTTAGGCTCAGAGACTTGTGTATCAGATACTTCAACGAACACCATGGACTTCTCCATCTATATGTAATTCTCCTCGATTTTTAAAATACCTTAAAATCAGCATTCAAACCCCTGAATCATCAATATCTTTAGAGGGGGGATAACCTGATACCTCAAACAGAGAATTAGTGTCTCTCTTAAGGGCCAGAGGGATCAGCAGAGGTTAAAAAGGGCAGCCTCAGATCAGGGCATAAGAAGCATCCTTTGAAACAAGACACAGCTACAAAAATAAAACGGAAGTTTAGGTAATCGAGCAAAACACATATCTGCTGATTTTTATCATTTTCAGTAATTTGTTATCTCACAAATGGCTGTGATGCATACACAGGTCATTTTGGCTGTTTTTACCTGCTTGGTCTTCGAATATTTTTGATATGACGACAGGGACGTTGTGCTCAGAACCTCCCTGAAAGACAAAGCCATCAGAAAGAAACGTGGTTATCATGATTCACACTGGAAAGTTCTTCAAAAATAAAAAGCAGGAATAGAGAAAACCATTTCCATACCTTTATACTCAGGCCCAAGCCGCCAACTGGCTGTCTGCGGAGTGTAACAGTTCTGCGCTTTAAAACATTTTAGAAAACAAACCAAGTTTAGGTTAAAATGCACTATCAGAAAGTGAATTCAAAAGAAATTCTTCATTTAAACCCAAATACGTGTTAAATTATATTTCCAAAGCAACTTTGGCTAAATATGACAGTAATGACACTATTTCAAATCTTTACTCCGTGGTATTGCACGTATGAAAACGAAGACAGTGATAAAGAATAGGCCCCATTCCAGGCATTGTCTGAAATCCAGGAAGAATCCCCACAGAACTGTCATCCCGTCTGCATTCTGCTTGTGAGGAACGGAGCTCCATGAAGAAACGAGGGGTCCACCTTCTCCCAGGTGGTGAAAGGGAAGTGGGGCGGAGCACTCAGTCCTGTTTTAGAACCGCTCTCTACCCACCAACCCCAGGACCGGCTCACGCTTCACTGTACGTCTCTGCTGAAGTCAGCCGTGTTTAGGACAATCTTCAACCAATATTAATTCATGAATGATCCATTTTTTCACGTCCTCTGACCACAGATGTCTGGGATATTTAAGGGTAGGTTGTGATAAAAAGCTAAAAGCACAATAGGCCTTTAACTGGCTAGTGAAATGGTAAAAAATCTCCAAATCTCTTGCGCATTAAGCCATGCACCTATGTTTTGCTGTGGTCTAATCTGATGAATGCGACTGTTGCCAACTTCAGGTAGACATGAGTGACTGGTGCTGCTCTGAGGGGGCGCACAGAGGCAGCCTGGGGTAGACGGACAGTGGCCAAAGGGTGCTTTTACCTCAAAAATACACTACAGGAAAAACAGAAGTGACAGACATTCTTTGAGTTCTAAGAGGAAACATGAGCATGTTCAGGCTGAATGGCTCTGAAAGGAATCTGCTGTGCAAAGCAAGGACAAAGAAGTAAAAGGGTGGCAGAGCCCACGCCGAAGGGGGGACCTGGGAGCTCCCGCCCCGGCCAGCGGTGCAGGTGCAGATGCAGGGAGGCTGCTGTGAGGGCTTCCGCAGCCTGAGATACCCCAGGAATGTCCTTCTTAGGGGGAAATACTTCATAAACTCAAAGGAAAGAAACCAAAAATTAGAGCAAATATACCTGTGTTAAAGTGTGTATATGGGGACACAGCAAATAATACTTTAATTGGAAATTTTACCATTTCGATCCTTTTTGGACATATAGTATTTTTAACTGACAAAAATAATTTTATACACAGAAAAAGAGCCGTATTTCGGGGGCTTTGCTACAGAGTGATCGTTTTGGCTTTTTCTTGGTGTTAGACTGTATTCCAGATACTGTGAACAGCAAAGTCAGAGCCACTCCTGGGACATCCATACCACGGGCTCTCATTGCATCCACATTCTCAGTATTTACCTGAAATGCCACAGATGCTTCCCAGTGACACTGCACCAATGGACAGAGTAACAGGCTCTTAAACCTGCTCATCAAAGCATTACTGACAACAGCCAAGATATGGATACAACCCAAGTGTCCACCAGTAGATGCGAGAATAAAGAAGATGCAGTAGATACACCGAATGGAACATCCTTCAGCCATAAAGAAGGAAATCCTGCCATCTGTGGCAACATGGATGAGCCTGGAGGACACTGTGCCGAGTCGAATAAGCCAGGCGCAGAAAGACAAATACCACACGGTCTCCTGCATGTGGAATCTAAGGATGTTGAACGCAGAAGCAGAGGGTAGAACCGTGTTTACCAGGGGCGTTCAGGGTTGGGGGGCGGAGGTGCAGGCCAAAGGGTGCAACATTTCAGCTGTAAGGTAAACAAGTTCTGTGGCTCTAATGGAAAGCATGGTGACTATGGTTAATAATACCATATTTCCTTAAAATTTGCTAAGAGAATAAACCTTACATGTCCTCACCACAAAAAACAAAGGTAACTGTAAGAGGTGATGTATGTATTAGCTTGTTTGTAGTGTGCATTTCACAATGTATATGCATATGAGAACATACCCTGTACACCTTAAGCATGTACAATTTTTATTAGTTGTAGCTCAATAAAGCTGAATAAATAAATCCCATTATGTGGACAGAGGGTTTCCAAGGATATCCTCTATAGAGGAGGGAGAGGGAGTTACTCCTGCATGTGGGAGGCATACCGTTTTCCTCCTCAACACATGGACGGTTGACTTTGCAGGCCAGAATGCATCTCACAATGAATGTGGACTGCAGAACCAAGGGGGGGTTCATTCCCTCCCTCAGCAGACGCTAAATTCTGTAGTGTTCATGGCCAACTGAGGGAGTGGGGAGAAAGGCGTCCGTCCACCTGCCAGCTGCTCCTCTGTGTGCCACAGCAAACAGCCTTACGCTTCTGAGTTCTAAGGCTATGGAGGATGAGAAAATTGAATTATCTACGTCATAGTAACTGGAGGCCTCTCTGTATGGAATTTCTGAAAATGCTCAATAACATTTTAAAATTGTAGCTGTTAGTGTAAGTATTTGAAACTCATGCAAGCAAGTACAAGACGAGAGAAAATACATTTTGAGAAGAAACAAGTTAGTTTCTGCCTTGATAGACTGCCAAAGAATGACATTTTAAAACTGTCATTTGACTCACTTATACATGTCAGGAAGATATCCTGAAATACCCTAAAATATCCTTGATATTTCAAAGAAAATATCAAGAAACTGATCACCTGTGGTAAAATCTGGACTAATATTCTTAACAAGATAGGTAAGAAAAAAATTACACCATTAACAACCAACATAAATATATGTTTACTGGAATGTGAAGGGCTTGTTCTCTATGATTTTAGCTAAGCCAGAATAATATTTATTTCATACCTGCTTTGTGCAGTCTCTTGAAATGTTCCTTTCTGTGTACATTTGTACTAGCCATTTAGGTATTTAGGTCTCTAAATCTCTCTAAAATCAAGTTTCTGCATCTGGAAAGTGAGAGCTGTACTGTGAGCCCTAATAGGAAGTGCTGGGAATGGGACTGTGTCCCCCTAAAATCCGTGTTGAAGTCCTGACCTCCAGTGTGACTGCATTGGAGGTAGGGCCTGTAGGAGGTAACTAAGGTCAGATGAGGTCATTCAGGTGGGCCCTATCTGATAGGGTTGGAACAGGAAAAGACAGCAGATACAGCGCTCTCTCTCTCTCTTTTTTTTTCTCTTTTTTCTCTCTTGCTCTTTCTCTCCCCACCCCCACCTCGCTGTCTCTACCATGTGAGGACACACATATAAGGCCTTTGCCTGCAGGCCAGGAAGCTGGCCCTTGCCAGTAACTCTACCATATGAGGACACACCTATAAGGCCTTCGCCTGCAGTCCAGGAAGCCAGCCCTTGCCAGTAACTCTACCATATGAGGACACACCTATAAGGCCTTCGCCTGCAGCCCAGGAAGCCAGCCCTTGCCAGTAACTCTACCACATGAGGACACACCTATAAGGCCTTTGCCTGCAGGCCAGTAAGCTGGCCCTTGCCAGTAACTCTACCATATGAGGACACACCTATAAGGCCTTCGCCTGCAGTCCAGGAAGCCAGCCCTTGCCAGTAACTCTACCATATGAGGACACACCTATAAGGCCTTCGCCTGCAGTCCAGGAAGCCAGCCCTTGCCAGTAACTCTACCATATGAGGACACACCTATAAGGCCTTCGCCTGCAGTCCAGGAAGCCGGCCCTTGCCAGTAACTCTACCATATGAGGACACACCTATAAGGCCTTCGCCTGCAGTCCAGGAAGCCAGCCCTTGCCAGTAACTCTACCATATGAGGACACACCTATAAGGCCTTTGCCTGCAGGCCAGGAAGCTGGCCCTTGCCAGTAACTCTACCATATGAGGACACACCTACAAGGCCTTCGCCTGCAGTCCAGGAAGCCAGCCCTTGCCAGTAACTCTACCATATGAGGACACACCTATAAGGCCTTCGCCTGCAGTCCAGGAAGCCGGCCCTTGCCAGTAACTCTACCATATGAGGACACACCTATAAGGCCTTTGCCTGCAGGCCAGGAAGCTGGCCCTTGCCAGTAACTCTACCATATGAGGACACACCTATAAGGCCTTTGCCTGCAGGCCAGGAAGCTGGCCCTTGCCAGTAACTCTACCATATGAGGACACACCTATAAGGCCTTCGCCTGCAAGCCAGGAAGGCAGCCCTTTGCCAGTAACTCTACCATATGAGGACACACCTATAAGGCCTTCGCCTGCAAGCCAGGAAGCTGGCCCTTGCCAGTAACTCTACCATATGAGGACACACCTATAAGGCCTTCGCCTGCAGTCCAGGAAGCCAGCCCTTGCCAGTAACTCTACCATATGAGGACACACCTATAAGGCCTTCGCCTGCAAGCCAGGAAGGCAGCCCTTGCCAGTAACCAAACCCACAGCACCTTGGTGTTGGACTTCCACCTCCCAGAACGGTGAGAAGGGAGTCCCTGCTGCCTAAGCCAGCCCACCTGTGGTTCCTTATTACGGTGGAGCCCAAGCTGCCTCAACAGGAGTGAAGGAAGATCACTGTGGAAAGCACCTTACAGACCATCAGGTTTAACAAAAATACCAAGGTGGTTAGTTTTATCCATGAAAAATCGTTATTTTAAAACCACCTCATTCAAACACCAGGACTTCAGTGTGTCAAAGTTGAGAGAAAAGGCTCAGCCAATTTGTGTTTTCACACTTTTAGAAATGAACATTATATAATTATGAAGGCTCTAACATTTTAACATTAGCATATCTAGGAACTTTACTTTTCAAACCAAGATTTATAAAACTTACTGGATGATAAAAAGTAAACAGGAAAACTTCTGCAGCTTCTAACTGGAACTTTTCACACAGCAGCCTGGCTGAAGTTATCCTGCCTCCTGCATCCTAATTATTTTATGACCCCAGAGGCAACCCACAGCTGATCACTTTAATTTAAGGTTCTGGGTAGCATTTCCATAGTGCTCTGTTAGCTGATATCTAGACAAACTAATGTCATCAAAAGGCATTTCTAATGCAACCAAAACAGTCCGCTGCCTCAATGCTCTCCCAGTACATACCCCTTAAAGTCAAGGACCCACAAGCAGGTGCGGATCGTGAGCTGCCCCGAGGCTCATTATGAATCTAATTTATGGCCTGACTCCCCTATTCCATGCGTTCCCCCATAATCACGGCCTCCTCACTTACCATACTCAGGGGCTCCAGGGACTCACCAAAGGAACAAATTCAGAATACAATCGAATGTATCATAAAACTTCTACAGAATGGAGGTTGCAATCTAAGGTAATTGTTCAATAAATTATTTTCAAAGTCAATCCTGCTTTTCTTTTCACAAACATATCAGATAAAATCTTTCATAAAATATTATTCTGCATTTTATCATTTAATCCCAAACTATGTTATGACATTTAATTAATGTTCACATCTTGGTAGCAGCATCATTATATTAATAATAGAACATAGCTATCTCCACATTATCTTCTGACCACATATTTTAAGAACGAGCTATTTTCTATGACATAGATAACTTATCAATTATACATTTCTCATCAACAAAAAAGTGGTTTGGGGGTATATAAGATCATATTTCTTATTCTGGTCTTCTAAAACATTGTTCTTCAAGTTATTACTGAATTACATGTATGAATGGGCCTCACAATTCTACTTCAGATATTTAAACTGTGGACTTAACACTAAATTTAAATTTGTTATGGCTGCAAACTCATGTTCAGATTTTAATACTGCAGTTTCCAGAAAGATTTCAATCAGTTCTACAGGTAAAACACTGCGCCTGTACCATGGCCACCAGCCAGGACCCTGCCCCCAGGTTTGTTCAGCCCAAAACCCTTCTTGTGGTGAGGACAGGATGACCTGGGGTGTTAATCCCCCTGCTCTCTCCCCAGGTCCTCGTCGATCCCCCTCCCTTCCCTGGAGGTCTTACTCCTCACACAGGCCTGGCCTCACTCTTGTAAGGAGAGAATGGAGATGTGGGAAAGGCGAGGGACCTAGAAAATAAGGGTTTTTTTTTCTCTCTCTAATTGAAGGGCTTGAAAGTTAAATTTTAAAAATTAGAAATTTATAGAAAAACAATTCTGAAGTATTCTATTTCACACCCACACATGAAAGATACTTTCAAAAATACTCATAGAGTTTTATTTCAGAAAACAATGTGCTAACAGACTTCGCCCTGGGGCTATGTGAGGGGGCTGTTGAGTCAGGAGGCATTGTTTCTTCCACAGAGTTGGACATTCCCTTTGCTTTAGCAAACACTCTATAAGGCATTTTTCAGAATGGGGCATTGAATCTCTCTCCACTTTTTAAAAGTAATTCACTCAAATAAAATTTCCTAAATAGGCTGAGGGAGCCTGGATTTGCCATCTGAAGTAAGTAAACTATTTCTCAGTGTCTGGATGCAATGATTTCAAACTAAGAAGAGTTACTTGAAAACTCTTGTGCATATTTGCTTAATTTGGATGTTAAATCCTTATTAGAAGGATTTCAATATCCTGGGATTAGAGTTTTGAAAAGTGTATGATAACTCCTAAATTTTAAAAATTCAATGATTCCATAGTATTCCACCTTCTTGAGGAGTTGGATCTGGCTTCTCACACCCAAAGCCCTGAGTATGAGTTTCTTCAGGTCTAAGCACAGGCCAGGAATGACAAAAGCTGCCCTTGGCGGGCTTCATGGGGGAGCGGCCCCGTAGCCCTAACCTGATGCGGGGACAGTGCACTGGGGTCTCTGGGAGCTGCAGTCAGGAACCAGGCCCCCGGCCGCCATGACCTTATGATGTTTGCGTCCTGGCATCAGAGTCTCTGGTCCATCTGGAGCCCCTGCCTCGATCCCTGATGGGGTACAGGAGGAACCTGAAGATGCTCTTCTCCTCTGAATTAGCTTCCAGGGCTTTTCCACCCTAAGCTGTCCTCCCCCAGCCCCTGTACTGATGGGCCTGGCCCTCCAGGGGAGCTGTCCCAAGTGGTCCAGGGACCTGGGGCTGGCAGCTTTCCTGGTCAGCCTGGCCTGCACTATCAGGGCAGGTGATGAGGAGCAGGGGTGTCTGTCCATGTCAGCTGCCTCTCACCTGCCAGCTCCACACCTGGCAGCACTGCTCTTGCCAGTCAGCTGGGCACCCACCAAGATTAGTCACAGATGCGAATGGGCCTGTCATCGCCCTTCAACTTCGCTCTTCACAACCATATCACAGAGCAGACATGAACAGGGCAGGAGATGGGCCCCAGCCCCAGAACGTCAGGCGACCATCAGGTGGTGGTCAGGTGGTTGTTACACTTTCTCTCTAAAATGATCATTGGGCACAGCCAGTACCAGGAAAAGGCAGTCTCCCGGTAGATAGAAAACACCTGAGGCTGGAGATAAGCAGCTTCCCGATAAGATCTCAGGAGCTGGGCAAGTGGCCTCAAGCATGCACACTTCAAGACAAAAGGGTGGTATTTAACTGGTCTATGACTTTCCTCTGGGTGGACTCAACTGGTGAGGGAAAAACGCCTCAAGTGAACATGTGCACAGCCCCAGGAAACACACAGTGCATGCGGCCCCTCCCAAATGCTGGCCGGCCCTGTACATGCAGACAGCCCACCCCGAAGGAAGAATCAGGGAAGGGGGGCTGCAAACCTTGGAACCATGTCAATGGAGAAAACCCCAAGTCAAGGGCTGGATGGGGCTCTTGATCTCTCAAGTCACCCACCGGCCCTTGCAAATGTCCTTCACTTCCTTTCATTCCTGCTCTAAAACTTTTTAATAAACTTTCACTCCTGCTCTAAAACTGGCCTCACTCTCTCCCTCTGACTTAAACCTCTTTCTGCCCCTCAACCCAGTTCTTTCCTCCAAGGAAGCAAGAATCAAGTTTGCTGCAGACGGTTGTGGATTCACAGCTGGTAACAAGAACTCACCACATATGAGCCCCAGATTAACTTCTAGCGAATGTACACATCATTGCAAAGTTAGGCTTATTAAAATAAATATGTTGGTAATATTGAAAATATAAATTTTTCTTGTGGGGACTTACATCCAACTAAGAATGTGCAGAAAACTTATCAACTTTGGACAGTTCATATAACAACTCATAGTCCTTAAAGGAATGGACTAAGTAGATCTACATGGAGCAGGTTTTATCTTCATGCATTGTAGATCCATTTAAAAAGCATAACGTTTGCAAAATGAGCACCTAATGGCATTCCATTTATCTACAATTGAAAAACACACAAAAAATATGTTGTCTGTGGAAAAATGCGTATGAAGGAAGAATTTAAAAATGTAAATGGAACAGTCGGTAGGAGCATCAGTACCGAAAGGCCAGTGAGGAAGCAGTCAGGCTCCAGATGTGGAGGCACACTTCACTCTTTAATAACGTAGACAGAGCCAAAGCAATCTAGTGCTATGTTGGCATATAATAAATATTAATAATAATTGCACAGGGTTCTGTTTGCTCACTTCAATTTTTTTAGGTTTGAAAAATTATATACTTAAAAAAATAAAAATGTTTGGCAGATTATGCAACTGTCTTTGCTGTTAGATTTTAGTTATTGAAAGTTCTACTTGAGTGACGCGCTATTTGATTTCTTTATAAAGTGTGCTTTTGTGTGCACACACCCTCGTACACAAACATATGTAAACTATTATTATTATTATTTTGAGACGGAGTTTCGCTCTGTCACCCAGGTTGGAGTGCAATGGCACAATCTCGGCTCACTGCAAGCTCTACCTCTTGGGTTCAAGTGATTCTCTTGCTTCAGCCTCCTGAGTAGCTGGGATTACAGGGAGCTGCCATCACACCCGACTAATTTTTGTATTTTTAGTAGAAACGGGGTTTCACCATGTTGGTCAGGCTGGTCTCAAACTCCTAACCTTGTGATCCTCCTGCCTCAGACTCCCAAAGTGTAAACTATTATTTTTAACTAAACCTTGGTGTAAACTTTTATAATGAATACGGCCAAACTGTTCATTATTTTAAGGTTTTCATATTCTTTAAACCAGAACTTTCCTTATTAAAGTGAACCCTATTCTGGGTACCATTAAATAACATTTTAATGAGCTAACTCAATAGTGTTGAAAATTAAGGTGAAGGTAAATTTTGTAAGAGTCGGCCACTATCCAAGTGATGACAGATAAATTCTAGATGTTTTGCTGACGACTGCATTTTGTTAATTGTTTCAGAAGCCTTTTCAGCAAGACTGTCCACTTTTCTCCTGAAGGTATGAATTTCAAAGCCCTGGTTCATCCTTGCAGCCTTCAGCCCCGTACCTGTGAAATTTCACAAATCACTTGCTTCCAAATTTATCTGCACTTTTCCCAGCACTTTGTGTCTTACAGTTTGTTTATGTTCCAATCATACTGCCTCGCCATGCCATCCTCCGCTGTGGAGACAAATCTTTTGGAAATAAATTCATCCAAGAAAAAGGCCAGTGGCCATTTTAAACACAAGAGAAATCAATTTCAAACAAGAATGGATGCCTTACAGAAGTGTAGTTAGTGATTTTCGTAAGAAGGATATCCTCCCACTTAAAGCCAGCCAGGCAATCAGCAAGACATCTGGTAGGCCCTGGGATAGAACATAACGAGGGAAGAATTCATATTACAGTTTGACTATGGACACACTCTAATGAGCTTATATGATTCTTCCACTGGTGGGTGAGTCACTGACAAATGAAAGCTCCGAATGCAGTTGTTTTGCTTTCTGTTTTCTACTTTCTAGGAACAGTAGCCAATTCTTCTTATGCAGTATTCCATTTGTAAACATGCATGTTTGCTCTACACTGATGAGCTCTGTGGAGCACAGGCCGAGGTGTCCATCAGACCTTCCCCTAATGGACTAATGAGAGCTCACATGCCCTGAGCAGGACCAGGGGTGCCAGGCGGAGTGGGACCCAACCAAGAAAGACAGGTTAGGCGACACACACAGGCATCAGAGCTGACTCAGTGCATGAAGAAGCACACAGAAACTGGTTTTCAGAAACTGGAAAGAAACAGATTCTGTGTTGGGATCTGAGAAAAATGGAAGAGTTAACAAACTAATAAATGTTTGTCAATAAAGTTATCAACAGAAAAATACATAATGCTGATAAAGTGTCCAATTAGCTTAAAAGGGTTCCTATTAAATTACTTGTATTTTGGCTGAATTATAAAATATTGTAAGGGAAATTGGTCATTTGCCTAATTTAAGGACATAAAATAATAAAGATTAAGGTTAGAATTTAAAAAAGTAAAGCAGAAGCGATGTCTACTCCTGATTTTGGACCCAAAGAATAAGAAGCAACTTGGGTGTGAAATATAGATATAAATTTAGATAAAGTAGCCATGAAATATTGACTGTATGACAAGCAAGTGTAGAATTTTGTATATTGTGTATAGAATTTATCATAAACTCCTACACGCTTGCAAGTGTGATGATCCATTCAACAATCTGAGAGACTTTAACTTCTTCAATTCAAATTCAAATCACAGATCTTGGGTTTCCTTCACGTTGGTTGTTATAGAAGCAATACACCTACATTTTAAAAATGATTTTCACAAGCTCAGTGGACCACTGTAATTGCCTGCCTTTTGAAGGCTCAAAGGCTTGAGACTGACTCGATTAGTACATTACCATACGTTATTTAATGGTCTTAATTTGCATATTCTAAAATATGTCTTTTTATTTACTTATGCGCTCAATCATTCAAAAATGGCTTTAGTCTCATTTGCACAGTTGTAAAGATACATATAGGAAACAGAAGAAAACACCATGGTCTTTGATGTTAAGCTACATATAGTCTAACAGAGTGGCAAAGTCAATATCACATACTGCAGCATCAGCAGAGTGTGGCCAGTGGCCTAACCTGCATTTACCCGGGAACAGTAAGAGGTTAGGTCAGGGCTAGAGCACGATGTACTTTGAATTCTGATAGTTAAGTCTACAGACTTACATTACCCTGACAAAGCCTTCCTATAGGACAGACAGAACAGCCATGCTACACGAACTCTTCTGGGAAGAAGAAAGAGAGGAAAGCCCTCCAAACTCTTCATGAGGCCAGCACAGCCATGAGGACAAGAGCAGGTGTGCACAACAGCAGGTGCGCATCACCAGAAGGAAGTGCCGCTGTCTTTTTATTTACCCCTCCTGCTATCTGTCGGCCATCTAAACCTGAGGGCTGCTATCTGCCAGCACTTACGTAGACTTGTCAGCCCTGCCTCCTTGACCTCCGTTTCCTGCCACCCTCCTTCTGCTCCTTAGCACCCCGGATTCCTCAAATGTCAGCAACCCCAGGCCACTCTCCAGGCCCATTTCCCTCCATGTTTCCCAGCTCTCTGTGCTCCATTCTGTGTCATTTCTTCAGCTCTGTTTATACTTCATGCTTCTCATTGGTACCTAACACGTTATTTAAATTGTTCATGGAGGTTCATTTCAGGTATTGTTTCTATTTTAATTTCTAGATATTATCTTGGTGTGTTTTCACATCTGCTGGATGACTTTTTATAGCCCCTTGTTCCTTTTTCATATTTATATATCCTATTTCATGTTTTGAAACATAATAAATCCAAGTACTTTATATTGTGAATCAGATCATTTTTAACCTGAATTGTCAGTGAGTCCGTTTCTGCATTAACAAATAATTTTAGGATCTCCACAGGGTCCTGTGACCTTACACTTGGCAGTGGCCTGAGGCCTTCATTAGAGTAGATTGTGCTGGAGAGAATGTGCATTTTGCTTCTACTTCGTACCTGGGGAACCTCCAAATCTGAAACATTAAACTTCATTTTCTGCTGGTGGTTTCTATGTCATAAATCTCAGCACCAAACCCCCATGAGGGCAGATGTGGGGTTGGGATCCTTCGGGATTTGTGTCTTTGTCTCTCTTCCAGGTGAATGTTCTGACTGTCCCTTTCTAAGGGACAGATTGTTTTTCAAGTTCACTCACAGAAGATCTGACTTTTTGGGCTTTCTGCTTCTATGCAGGAGAGAGAGAGACAGAGAGAGCGAGAGAGCGAGCCCGTGTCTTCCTCTCTGGCTCAGCCCCTGGGCTGTCCCCTGATGCACAGGTTAAATCACCTCACACCAGTTTCCGTGATTGAAGCCCTCTCTAAACTCACACTATTTTAATAGTCACCCAGCACTGTTTGTGTTGGTGCTGCTTGTGGTTGTCTGTTTCTTGTGTGGTCTTCACTAACTTATCAGAGAGCATCCCTTAGATTATAAATTAGCAGAGCTGTGCCCATTGCTGTCTTAACTATGTGAGTAACTGTAATATTAGACGCATACCTTCTTCTTCCTGAATCTTAATTTCCTAAATAGTAAAATGAAGATGTGAAATTTTCTAAAATACTTTCCAACTGCAAATCTACCGTGACCTAACATAACAAGTGTAATATACAGCATCCCACCCCATTAATTCAAAGTACCAACATGGACTTATAAATTAAAAGAACATCTAATGCACAATGACAATTATAAAAGAAATAAAGCAATCTAAATGGAAATTCTGAAAGGTAAGAGGAAGCCGGCTCTCCCGTCCTGAAAGCCCACACTGTCTCTGGGAGACAGAATCCTGAGATCCTTAAACATCGACACTTCATGTCACTATAAAGGAATAGGAAGTAAAATAATACATCAATTCAGATTCTGCACTGCTGGATACACGGACAGAATTTAGAGACCTGTTGGCTTTGTTAAAGGTAAAGCTAGTTTTGCTCTTTTTTGTTTTATGGTCATCTATCATTAACGGATAATGTGGTTCTATTTTCAGCAGGTTCAAGAAAACAAAACACACATCTATCCGTTAATGTTGTCTTCTCCAATGTGCAGGTGGGAATACAAATATAACTAGAGGTTTGGAGTCAATAATTCACCTAAAACTGTACGCATAAGTCTATACCTATGAGCATAGGCCCATTTTTCTTAAGGAGTCTTTCATTTTCACCAATAACCTAACTTTTGGTAGAGAACCTGATGCTATAGACTTTTAAAATGTAATTTATTTTTTTCTAGCCAATACAGCATAAAAACATTTAGTGTTTTTACTTTGAGATTTTCTATAGTTAAAAATCTCTATTAAGCAGGGTAAGTTTAAAATGATTACGAAAGCTTCCTTGATTTTTTTCTTTGCTCAAGCCCACTCTTATTAGGTATTTAGAACAAGTGGAGGAAAAAAAATAATGGTTAGTGATTAGACGACATAAAAGCAGACATGCGATTTATCTACATGTCGGGGAAAAAAAGCCTCAGGGTTGTGGGAATCTTGTATGAGCCCGTGAAGACCGACAGTGGCCTCTTGAACGCAGAGGCCGTGGTTGGGATGTCTGTGTCTCCCCCAAAGCTCACGTGGAAACTTACTACCCAGGGCAGTGGTGCCGGGGTGTGGGCTGTGGGAGGTGACTGAGCCATGAGGGCTGTGAGCTCATGAATGGGGTCAGGTGCCCTCACACGAAAGCTTGGCGGAGAGATCTCACCCCTTCCTCCTCCCGCCACCCAAGGACACAGTGATCGTCCTCTCTGGAGGATGCAGCATTCAAGGCGCTGTCTGGAAAGAGAGCAGACCCTCACCAGACCACCCAGCCTGCGGGCACCTTGATCCTGTGCTCTGAGCCTCCAGAACTGTGAGCAATGCATTTCTGTTCTTTGTAAATTACCCAGCTTGGGGATTTTGTTACAGCAACTCAAACAGACGAAGACAGATGCAGTCCTGGAGCCAGAACGAAGAGGGCACGTGGTGGGATGTGGTTCTGGGGCTGGGGTTCCAGGGAAGAGCAACTGAAAGGGGGACCCTGCCCCCATCCCAGAGCCTTCGCCTCCTTGAGCCACAGGGGACATGTTGGGGAGCAGGAGGGCGGACCGGGTGCCAGCCACAGAAGGAGGGGCTCCAAACTGAAGGTGTGAGCCAGGATGTTCACAGGAGCCACTTGTACACGATACACATCAACAGCAGAACGGTTTACGGTGGGATCTTTGTGGACCTTCTCGGGAAACCCGTCATACTTTGCTAACATCTGCACCTCTTTCAGAAACACTGATCACAGGATTGCGAGTAAGGGGGGAAATGCCCCCTTCATTTTATTTCCAAGGTAAAGGACAGGAGGACTCAGAAAACCAAATAGACACAGGGTCTCCTAAGCCTGTGCCCCCAGAAAGGGCCAGCCTAGAACGTAGGAATGGAAATGGTTTTTGGAATATTTTCAAAAACACACTGAAAACATTCCACATCTCACATGGTGGCTTTTGGGGGTATTTCTTTTTCTTTTTTTCCTTTTTTTTTTGAGATGGAGCCTCGCTCTATTGCCCAGGCTGGAGTGCAGTGGTGCGATCTTGGCTCACTGAAACCTCCGCCTCCTGGATTCAAGTGATTCCCCTGCCTCGGACTTCCGAGTAGCTGGGATTACAGGCACACGCCAGGATTGGGGCTATTTTTTACGTAAAGCTTTACATGGAAAATGTATTGGCAAATAAGAAAGTCAGGGAGAGAGTAAATAATACAACCTTAAAAACTGTATTTTGTGACACAGTGAAAGCCAGTAGTTGGGGATATTTAAATAACGAGTAGCAGCTTTTGCTCAGCAATCATTCTTGAACCACACTTTTCAAAGACCGTTCATGGGGCTCGTCCGAAACACTCCAAGACTTCCCTGAAGTGATGGCACTTACATTCCTGCCCTGGTGGCTTCCGCCCACACAGACAACATCTTGTTTCTGAATTGTCAGCACCTCTTTCGTCAGCTTCAGCCGGATGTCATAGGCATTTTCGGACTCTTCATCATACAACAGAGCAATAGTGGTTTTCGTCTGTAGGGACAAAGTGGAAACACAAAAAAATGGTGTGAGGGCAGGAGCCAGGGGTGGGGATAGGTGACGCACGCCTCCTGCTCAAGACAATCCTAAAATGCACGTGTAGTGCTCGCGTGTGCACAGATCTGTGCTCAACCGATAAGGATTTGATTCATTTATGCAAAAAATAATAAAATGTTGAATAATTGTTCCTGAGCCGTTTTTGTAGGATTTATATAAGGCATGTTTTTAAAAGAAAATTAGCCAGGCGTTTGTTTTTTTTTTAACTTGTGAAGTTTTATAGTATTTTATTTTAATAATTTTTCCCACTTCCAAATATATATATATATATTTTTTTAGTTTAACTAAAGTTATTTGAATAAAAATGATAGTTTTTAAGATTCATAAAATATCTGTGTGAAGGTTTGTTGGCCTGGAGTAGGAAAGGAACACATTGGAAGTAACGACAGCCGAGGAGGAAGCGGCCTTCTCAGAAGGGAGCAGGTGGGCGTGGCCCAAGCTCCTGCAGGGGCTGCTGCTGTGTCTTGGGAGCTGGGGAACAGGCCAGGCCTGTTGTTCCTGGACAGCAAGCAACACAATGTGGAATTGCTAGGAAGTATTGATCAGGAGGGAAGTTTAATTAGTCAAAGAAGATAAATCTATCAGCTTTGTCAGCAGATGAAGGAAAGACAGTTCAGAAAGACACCTTTGGATCATTAGAAACGTTGCCTCCTCCTCCGGGAGAGTCAGGGAAAGCCACCCTGGGGGCTCCAGAGCAGGCCGCCGGTCAGGCACAGGGCTTGGGCGTCCCACAGGATAGCAGTTATGCCCGGCCACATGCCCAGTGCCTTGTCGGGACCCAGCCTCCGGAGTGCAGGAGCAGGGGTGGCAGCCAGGGCACTTGGTCCTCATGCCACGTGGCGGGGGAGAGGGATGGGCACAGCTGGAGGCCAGTGGCCCAGCAAGGAGGGCTGAGACTCCACCATCCTCTCTGCCTAGAGCCCCAGTGCTAATCAACCCTCACATTCAGAGCCATACATGAGGGCAGAGCCTGGCCCACGGACGGGGAGGTCCCCACGTGTGAAGGATGAGGCTGTGGCCACATAGGACCCTGCAGCTCTGCAACTCAGCTGCTGTGAGAACCAAACAGGGGGTTCAAGGAGCCCCAGCGCCTGCGTCTGCCCCAGAGATCCGGAGTTCATCAGGTAAGATCCAGGCTGAGCAAAAGGATTTAAAAAACCAACTCATCAAATAGCAAAAGGATTTAAAAAACCAGCTCATCAAATAGCAAAAGGATTTAGAAAACCAGCTCATCAAATGCCTCCATTAAGTAGCACAGTGCGGTAGGAAGGGCTTGTTGGGCTTGTTTCCACAGTGGAGGCCTCCTCAGCACTCATGGGAACCACAGACCATCGCCGAGGGAAGCTGCCAACCAAGCCAGAATCTGCTCCTCCCAACATCCTCAGCTGATCCCCACGCACAGGAGAGTTTCAGGAGGGTTCCAAGTGGTTTCCTCTGGCTTTCAATCACTCAACACAGCACAAAAAAGAGTGTGTGCCCCACTGCATTGCATCTGGTAATTTAACAACCACACATGCAGGACTGTGCTCACACACACTGTCACACGTGACTATCTGGCTGGCAGCCCAGGGACCGGCCACTGCAATCCACACCTCACCCAGCATAAGTAAAACTGCACCCAATGGGAACTCTAATGGTTTCTTCCCATCCCTGTGGGCACTGTGTGCTCCCACCCACTTCGCTGACCCCAGGGGGCTGTACACGGGTGAGATTGCCAGACCGGGTGGGTGCTGGAACTGGGAGTGCTGCCACGGCTCTGGGAGCTCACGGGACGTCTGTGGATCCACCAGCTCTCTGGAAGGGGCAGTGCCTGTGGAGGCACCAAGGGCAGCCGGGAAGGAGGCCCTGGCTATGTCCCAGGTGCATGGGGTGTGGCTGGACCCAGGCCCCCTGGCCCTTTGCAGCCTGACTGCTGGCCCTGCCTGACCGAGGGCTGAGCTCACTGGAGAGATGAAGAAATGTAGACATATCCCTAAGGGCAGGAAGACCCTCCTCAGTATTTCCCCATGAGTGTGTGTAACGTGTAACTCTTATAAGTGAACACTCGACTGGGAAAACAGAATTCTAGCTAACCAGCATGAAACAGGATGAAACGTAGGTGCCCGCAGCTCCCTGCCTGACTTTGATGTGCGTTCTCACCACACCTGTGAGGATATCTCACCATTGCCTCCCGCATTTACTCTCACACACGGGCGCCTGATGACAAGTGGGCATCCCCCACTCCGCTGCACACAGAGGGAGGCAAGGCCAGCTCCGCCACAGGGCTGCAAGCACTGAGCCCCTAGCCCAGGCGTGTGGGCTTGACAATGGGAGGGGCTGAGCGATGGGGCTTCCTCAGGACGCCGTGGCCTGCGGAAAGTCAACCTGTTTGCCGTAAAAGAGAAGGGCCCTGAGGCTTGGGAGAGGTCCCAGGTCCCAGTCTCTCTCCTTGCTTCTCCTGGGGCCATGGTTCTCACGCTCCCTGCCAGTTACTATGACTGACAGCTCTCAGGCTCTGAGAAAAGGAAGGGCCACCAGCGTTCTCGGTAATGATTCCTGCAGAATGGAGCTCAGAAGTATGTCCTTAATTGTTGACCTAGGCCACCCAAAAACACAAACACCTGCTGCTTTTATAGCATCCAGACCTTTCTCATGCCACCACCCAGGAAGCAGCCATGCCTCTTCCAACTTCCAACCTCCCCTCCCACATCCTATAAACCACCTGCACACACACCCACATGCAACACACATGGCCCACATGCATACCTCCACACATGCCCAAACACTCATGCACACACATACAGGGATGCATGCACACACACAGACACAAACACGGGCACACAGACACACACACACATGCAACACACATGGCCTACATGCATACCTCCACACATGCCCAAACACTCATGCACACACATACAGGGATGCATGCACACACACAGACACAAACACGGGCACACAGACACACACAAATGCATGCACACACATACACATAGGCACATACACACCACAGAAGAGCAAGTGTATCAATATGCTGAGGTCAGCACATGAATAAAAGTTTTAGCTGATACAGACCAAGCCTGGAGTTGTAAAGTTGGAACCCAAAACTCAAAGTAAAAGTCAAATTCCTATAAAAATAAGTCACAGGCAGTGTCTGGAAGGACGCACTCACTCTGAGTGCATACAGAGGCCATATCATCCTGCTAAACAGGCTTTCTCCATGATGACCTAGGAATCTCCCTAGCAATAGGAGCTCTGGCTAGCCTAATTTCTCCAGATCCCCCAGTGACCGATGCATCTGAGCACATTCTTGCTGCAGACTTTCACTAAGCCATCGCTTGTCCCCCAGCCACACCATTGCCCAGGACAAGTCCCCCTCGCCACCGCCCTGGGGGACCCGTGGGGCTCTCATGGAGGACCTCAGGGGCGGCACTAATAAGGAGCAGGACCCGGAACAGGGTGCAGAGACCCCAAGTGGCAGATGCGTGGTGAGCAGCGTCCACAGTGAGCAGTGGGCCACTCCCAGAGAAGCTCAGGTAGTGCAGCCGCCTTCGGAGGAAGGGCTTGCTCTGCTCTCGTTATTCAGGACAAGAACAGTTTTTAGTTCACATCAAAAAGATGTGATATTGATCGATGTTATATCTTGATGTAAAGTCCACACTCACATAGGATATTAACTTCCAACTAATTCATCACGCTGACCACTCACCATTGCTACCGGTTAATTGTCCTGGTGAGGACATTGCCTGCAACCCAGGGATCTAGGAATGGAAAACACTGAACTTGGTGTCCACAGAGAACAGTTTCCATGACCGAGGACACGGGAAGGGTGTGCCGAGCTTTAACAAATAAAACATAGTATTTTAAATATATAAAATTTTAAATGCTAGCTAAGGAAAGCAAATAAGATTCAACAAAGACCTCTAATAGATCATCTGTTGTTTTATTACACCGTGCGAACCAGATGATGCCATCTGAAATAAACCTAACTTCTGCTCAAAATGTTAAAAAACTAAAGTCAGGAACACAACCAGATTAGAGGTAATTAGGCGTTCCAAATCAAAGTTGCAATTTATGCTAATCCCTTTCTTCTATACTAACACACATTATGTCAAATTGGCCTTAGTTTTCCAGAGAGAATTATTTGCCGTAATATGCAGTAATATGCCCTCCAGGCACTGCTTTCTGTGCCCCTTCCTGTGCCCTGGAGACATCACCTGTAGCCCTCCAGGAAAACCTCTGTGGACAGCCTGGGCACAGAGGTGCTGAGATAACAGCAGGTCACTCACCAGGAGGAATAAAAGCAAGGAGAGGGGACGCGGGTTCCGCTGGGTCCTGCCTTCTCCAAGGCCCACATTTCCCACTGCTTAAGTGATTCTGGGTATTTAATGAGCTAATTGAATACATTTCCTTGACACATTTCTTGGAAATAAAATAGTTATTCCAACTCAACTTCTTCAAAAGTAAACTTTGAGTCTTTCCCATTCAAAACAAATAAAAATATTTAAAAACAAAAGCAAAACCCCTTCTCATCCAACGATTCCCCCAACCCCAGTGGGTGGCAACGGCATCACCCTGCTGTCTTGGTTGAAACTCCTCAGTTCCTGTGACCTTCCTCCCTCCTGACCCTCAGTGTCCAACTCACCAGCAAATCCCCTGAAATGTCTCTCCCTCTGCCTGGGGTCACGGGGTTCAGTTGCCTTCAAAGCTGCTTTACTGGCCTCATAAAAGACCTCCCTGTTTCCAGCCTTGTCCCAGTTCAGTGTATTCTTAAGGTCACAGCTGGGCGGCCCTGTTAAAATACGGTTCAGGTAACATCATTCTCTGAACAAAATCTCCCCAAAGTTTGCCATTTCTCAAAGGAAAAGCCAGTGTCCGGTGATGCCCTGTGAGGCCGGCACCTGCAGTCTCTCCCTGTCCCCTGTCCAGCTGTCCTGCAGCGCCGCCGTGCCTGCCTGGGGCCCATCCACCTGCCCTGCCCAGCTGTCCTGCAATCCTGCCATACCTGCCTGGGGTCTGTCCACCTGCCCCACCCACTCCTCTCCTGGCATCCTCATGTCCTGGGGTCTGGGCTGAGAGTCCCCTCCTCGGCAGCTTCCCTAACTGACCAGTTAAAATCGGAACTCCGCCATCCCCACTGCTCTTCATACCTCTTCCCAGCTTTATCTTTCTCCCTAGAACTTCTCAGAACCCATGTGCCGCTTGACAACAGAGCATGAGTTCCATGATGGAAGGGTCCTCTCTACCTTCTCCACTTCAGGGGGACCAGCTTCTACAGCCCAGCCTGGCATATCCGAGGGGCACAAGACAGTTCTCAAACGGAATGCCACAGGAAGCCTACTTCCACCCTTGTAACTTTATCCATGCAGTTCCAATAAAAATCCAGTACAGACAACTTTGAAGTGTAGCCTTACAATTCTAACAATGTGTTTAATGAAATAAGACAGCTGCAGAGAAAAGGACCTGCTACAGAGAGACATGAAAACATAAAATCCACCACGATGCCACAGCAGCCGCAAAACAGTGAGGGCCGTGAACCCGCGTCAGCACCAGGAGGTCTCGGGTACCTGTAGGGTGTATGACATCCCTGGAGAAAAAAAAACAAAAAACATTCCTACGGAGAAAGATCTTCAGACTACTGCTCAATGTAGTAATGCTTTGATAACTGTAAACATGGGTGTCATATGCCTCATTTCACAAAGTTCGTTCCAGAGAGATCAACAGTCACAGGGATGTAGAAAAACAAAATAAAAACCTGTGAGGAAATATCAGTGTGTGTGTGTTTGTGTGCGGGGATGTGTGTAAGCATATTGGGTTAGTGTGACTCAAAAGCCAGAAGTTCTTGAGTGAAGGATTCATTACATAGAAATAAAAAACCTTTCTGTAACAAAAATACCATATTCGAAACTAAATGCGTGCCGCAGACCCGGGGTTCATGGAGCCTCACATGAGGAAACACGAGCACCCTGTGAAAATTGAGCAGGGAATATAAAAGTCATTCCCAAAAGGAGAAAGAAAAGAAAATGAATTATAAATGTGAAAATACATGCAACCTCACTAGCCATGAAAAAACCACAGTCACTACAACATTAAGAATTTTAAACTACCAGGCAGGTAAATGTTTAAAAGGAATAGCAACACCGCACACCAGCAAAGACGTGCGGACATGGACGTCCATATGGTGTTGGCAGGTGTGTGTGAACGCACAGAATGTTCCCAGAAAACACTCAGAAACAGATGTGAACGTTGACTAGGCCTCGGTTTTAATGTGGCATTTTTACTTCTAAGAATTCATCCTAAACATACAATCAGACTTGGCACTGAGAGTGGCGGGCAAGGTGTTCATTTCACACCTTTCATTTTAAAGTGCATTATGATTTATAGGTGATACTGAGAAGCTGCTAAAAATATTTAGTTCAGCATCTGTTGATAAGGAGTCCAAAAATAACAAGCATGTGTGAAAAGCAGAAGAGTATGATAAAAACTAATATATTAAGAATTACGTACGTACATACATGTAAATATAGCATGTACATATATACATGTAAACATAGCATGGAGAAGACTCAGAATAGGGTTTCAAAACATTAATAATTTATGCAAATGTTTATAATTTTAAAATTATGAAAATGCATTATTTATTATTGATTATTTAAATCTATGAAGGTCAATTTTTTTATTAAGTCCTGATTTTTGTTACTAAAGTTGATTTACCTTCATAAAATTTAAGGTGAGTTTCTTAATAATTTAGAATAATCATAAATACTAAATTTACCTATTTTACTGCTTTTTAATTTATTTATGCAGCTGAGTGCATCTCTGCTGAGATCATTCTCGTATGTCTTTGTTGGAAGCATAGCACACTGATGCCTTCTAGCAGATTCAAACAGAGAAGGCTATTCTAAAACAGAATATACTTGACATAAAGTATCACACAGCATAACACTCACCAAATAATTATTGCTATTCTATAGATTCAAAGTGTGACAAAAATGTATGCAAGTTGTTATAAAGCATTGCCCCTTGTTTATCCAGAAGTCAGTATATTTCCTTCCCTGAATCGCTGGCATTGAGAGAATCAGTGAATGCATATCAGGTGCTGGAAGAAGCGTAAAGAGCCAGGAAGAGGCACGGGGAGGAGAAACTAACCACGCAAATTACTGGGCCATACGGGTGGAAGGAAGGAACAGACTTCCAATTTAGCCCAGTTTCTAGAAGTTAACAGCTAAGGGAGCTGTAAGAAGTGCTTGGTTATCAAGAATTCTAAACTTCTAATACTGTGCCTTCTGACTTGGTCAACTGGGTCTACCAAAGATTGAAGGTTGTATGGAAATACATCTGTATACTGGTGGTATAACTGGCATTGAAGATTTTTGCGTGACCAATGACTTTAGTCATATGTAGAACATAAGCCCCTGGAGGAGGTGGAGCGAGCCACAGACACGTCCGACGACGTCTGCCACGTGCTGCCTACACACAGGCGTGCAATCTGCCTCACCGCTCTGTGCCTCTGCTTCCTGATCTGTAAAAGGAGATAATTGCAACTTTATTCAGACACGCAAATGGGTAAATGAGACGGTATTTGTGAAAGTTCCTAACAGAGAACCTGTCACAGAACAGCAGTGGTCCAATACAATTCAGTCATTTTTCTGGCAGGTTATCTTTATGGATATTTTCATGTTAGTACAAATGAAACCATTTTTTGGCACAAGAAAGAAAAATAAACTCTCTTAATCCAGCAGCATATCCAACAAACAGAAAGAATGAAGACATCAACAAGTAATCTATCAGCAAATGTCATTTGAGTGAGGAAAATCCACACTCCTAGTTTTAGATATAAACCAAAACAATTCGGATAAGAAGAAAAACGAACGCCACTCAGTTAGTGTCCCACTAAGATCTACATAGAAACAATGACAGCTGCCCTTGGAAGGTTAAATGAAAGCAGAAACCTGAGCATGCATTTTCTTTCAGTGAACAATGACAAACACTTTCCACATTTTCTTCCAATGAACAATGACAAACACTTTCCATTGGAAAAATGGATAATATTCTGCCCATCAAAGTTAAGAGTTTGAAGTTTAGAGACATAAAATGAAGTCCCCATAAAAGCAGGGTCTTTGGCTGAGACTTGCTGGTGGCCACAGCTCAGCCCTGCAATGTGTGGTAGCTGCAAAGGACGTAGGAGCTGCCACTCAGGTCGTCCCCACTCACTTTGCATCCCAAGAGGCCAACAGTGCCTAGGACAGGCTGGGGACTCAGTGAGCACTTCTCCACTTAAAAACATGCACACATGTGTCTGTTTAATTATACTCCAACCCTCATCTGATCCATTTTTCTTAGTTATGTGACTTTGGCTAAGTTATTACTCTTTTATGTGCATTATTCTTGGCACCTGTAATGAGGAGAATATTGGATCTCTATGGTCCATTCTGTATAGTCAGATATGATTCCATGATTATTTTATGGATTTTTTACTTAAAATGATAAAATCTGATTCTTGGACCAACATCGCAGTGAAATAATAATTAAATTAGATTACACACGTAAAACTGATTCAAAAACTTCACAGTGCCATGTGAATCAAATGGATACATTCCTAAAAACTATTGTTTCTCTTAGGATAGTATTACTTAACATAGACTTGTTTAAAAAATAACTTGAGCCTATTATAGTCATTACATTTTTTTAGGTTCTGCTAATTCAACATTTGATAATTTCCCTTGAGTTGCTTTATAATTTAATACTTTGTTTACTCCTAGGCAAACATTTCCAGAAAAAGTTATAAGGTGTATAAATTGTAGGAGGTGTGTTTAATGTCAGATACAGAGTAAGCTTTGAATCTTAGGGGTGAATGAATTAAATTCATCAGGTAAAATGCAACGAATTACAAAATAGTCTTATCTTTTCATTTTTATAGAATTGAAATGCTGATTACTTAACAATACCTTTATCAAATTTCTCAAAACTTAGGAAAATTCTCCCTCAATGTAAAGACCACTGTTTATTCTACCTGTTTTAATTAAGATTTTATAAATATTCCTGAAAACTGCACACTGAACCACATCACTTCCTTCCTTCCAGTTTCCCAGGAGTGTGCTCCCTTTAGCAGGCTTACCTTAGTAGATTTAGATCAAAAAGAATGTCAGGGGAGAAACGCATCATCTCAGCCAAGGAGGTCACAGTGATTTACAGTCTGAAAAGGGCTACTTGGCAGTGTTCCTACCCCTGAGCAGGGCATGTCTGAGCATTCCCCCGGGCAGACGAGGGTCACACATGCACAGAGGGGCTACACTGCAGCTGCCGGGAGGCAGCAAGGCTGGAGACCAGAGTCCTCCCCGTGTCTTCACCCTGGTCCTTTCCACCTGGCTATGCTCAAACACCAGCCACTTACTGAGTCTGGGAACCTATCTGGGCGGTTTCCTTTTGAACCCACATATCAATATTGAGAGTCCATCCAACATCTTTATCTTGTCAAAATTAAGGTTCAACAGCCACATACGAGCTAAAGAAAAATAGGTTTTATAGACACCATTAAAAATTTTCTCAGGAAAAATATCTTTTTAAAATTCCCTCTTTCTACAAAATAGGCATATTAAATACTGAGACACGCTTTTAACATATAACCATTTAACTATTTGTTAATGAAAAGAATGCAAAGTTTTCATCATGCAACTTCACCCTAACCACAAAAGCAATTACATAAACTTATAATTTCAACAGCCAAAAACATTTAAGGGAAAAAAGGTTTTAATGTTCAATAATAGGGAACATTGGATATAATGTTATTACATCTACTTAAATGACTACTTTCCTATGTAGTGTGTGTGAAAGAAGAACAAGCAACCTCAAAGATATCACAGGTTTGGTTCTAGACCACCCTAATCAAGTGGATATTGCGATAATGCAAGTCACACAGTTTTTTGGTTTCCCAGTGCATATAAAAGTTATGTTTACAGTATACTGTAGTCTATTAAGTGTGGAATAGCATTACGTATAAAACAATGTATATACCTTAATTAAAAAAATACTTTATTGCTAAAAATGTTAACAATCATCTGAGCCTTGGCTGGGTTGTAATCATTTTGCTGGTGGAGAACCTTGCCTCGTTGTTGTAGGCTGACGGATCAAGATGGTGGCTGCTGAAGGTTGAAATGGCTGTGGTAATTTCTTAAAATAAGACAACATTGAAGTGTGCCACATAGATTAACTCTTCCTTTCATGAAAGATTTCTCTGTAGCATTTGATGCTGTTTGGTAGAATTTTACACACAGTACAACTTCTTTCAAAATTGAGGTCAAACCTCTTAAACCCTGCCACTGTGTCATCAACTAAGCTCACGGAATATTCTAGATCCTCTGTTGTCATTTCAGCAATGTTCACAGCATCTTCACTAGGAGTGGATTCCATCTCAAGAAACTACTTTCTTTGCTCATCCACGGGAAGCAATTCCTAATCTATTAATGTTTTATAATAAGATTGCAGCAATTCAGTCACATCTGCAGGCTCTGCGTCTAATTCTAGTTTTCTTGCTATTTCTACCACATCTGCAGGTACCTGCTCCACTGAAGTCTTAAATCCCTCATAGTCACCCATGAGGGCTGGAATCACCATCTTCCGAAGTCCTGTTAATGATATTCTGACCTCCTCCCATGAATCATGAAATGTACTTAGTGTACTTAGTGGCATCTAGAATGGTGAATCCTTCAATTTACTTTGCCCAGATCCATCAGAGGAATCACTCTCCATGGCGGCTATAACTTTATGAGATGTATTTCTTAAATAATAAAACTTGAAGTCAACACTACACCTTGATTCCTGACTTGCAGAGTGGATGTTATATTAACAGGCATGAAATCAGCCTCAATCTCCCTGTATGTCTCCATCAGAGCTCTTGGGTGACCATGTATATTGTCAATGAGTAGTAATATTTTGAAAGATATCTTTTTTTTCTTTTTGTCTCAGTGGATCACAACAGTGTGCTAAAAATATTCAGTCAACCACACTGTCAACAGATGTGCTGTCATCCAGTCTTTGTGGTTTTATTTATAAAGCACAGGCAGAGTAGGTTTAGCATTATGCTTAAGGGCCCTAGGATTTTCAGAATGGTAAAAAAAAAAAAAAAAGAAAAAGAAAAAGAAAAGAAAAAGAAAAAGAAAATCACTGGCTTTAACTTAAAGTCACAAACTCCATTAGCCCAGAATAAGAGAGTCAGAGAGTCAGCTTGTCCTTTGAAAATTCAAAGCCAGGAACTGACTTCTCCTCTCCAGCTATGAAAGTCCTGGATGGCGTCTTCTTCCAATAGAAGGCTGTTTCATCTACGTGGAAAATCTATTGTTGAGTGTAGCCACCCTCATCAATGATCTTAGCTGGATCTTCAGAATAACTTGCTGCAGCTTCTCCATCAGCACTTGTGGCTTCACCTTGCACTTTTATGTTGTCAAGATGGCTTCTTTCCTTGAACCTCATAAACCCACCTCCGCTAGCTTCCAACTTTCCTTCTGAAGCTTCCTCCCCTCTCTAGACCTTCACAGAATTGAAGAGTTAGGGCCTTGCTATGGATTAGGCTCTGGCTAAGAGAATGCTGTGGCTGGTTTGATCTATCCTGGCCATTCAAATTTCCTCCATATCAGCAAATAATACTATTTTCACTTTCTTATCATTTGTGTGTTCACTGGAGCAGCGCTTCTTAATTTCTGTCAAGAATTGTCCTTTGTTTTACCACCTGACTACTTGTTTGTTGCAAGAGGCCTAGCTCTCTGCCTATCTAAGCATTCAACACGACACCCTCACTAAGCTTGATCTTCTCTAGTTTTTTTTTTTTTATTATTATACTTTAAGTTTTAGGGTACATGTGCACATTGTGCAGGTTACATATGTATACATGTGCCGTGCTGGTGCGCTGCACCCACTAACTCGTCATCTAGCATTAGGTATATCTCCCAGTGCTATCCCTCCCCCCTCCCCCCACCCCACCACAGTCCCCAGAGTGTGATATTCCCCTTCCTGTGTCCATGTGATCTCATTGTTCAATTCCCACCTATGAGCGAGAATATGCGGTGTTTGGTTTTTTGTTCTTGCGATAGTTTACTGAGAATGATGGTTTCCAATTTCATCCATGTCCCTACAAAGGACATGAACTCATCATTTTTTATGGCTGCATAGTATTCCATGGTGTATATGTGCCACATTTTCTTAATCCAGTCTATCATTGTTGGACATTTGGGTTGGTTCCAAGTCTTTGCTATTGTGAGTAATGCCGCAATAAACATACGTGTGCATGTGTCTTTATAGCAGCATGATTTATAGTCATTTGGGTATATACCCAGATCTTCTCTAGTTTTTAAGGTAGAAGTGAGACAATGGCCACTCTTCCTTTCACTTAAACACTTAAAACTACCCGAGGCTTCTGTGTCCTCTGCACCAGTCCCACTGCCTGCGTCGAGTGTGGCCACCCCCCAGTATTGCCAACGCATTGAATGTGGCCACCCCCCAGTGACACAAAATGTCATTTGTTAAATGCACATAGAGGCAGGACGCAAGCCAGTTCACCAGCAGCAGGCACTGCACACCCTCATCAGGGATCACATGCTTGCTGCAGTATAAAATACCACAGTAAATACAGTCACTACAGACTCCACCAGCAGCAGGCACTGCACACCCTCGTCACGGTTCACCTGCTTGCTGCAGAAATTATCGTAGTAAAATCCAGTTACTAGAGGCTCAACAGAGCTGATAAGAAGCTTCCTTTCCGGACCTTAAACATGAATGTAACTCTCAACGTGCGGCTATTGTGAGGCAAGATAGATTTGATTTTATGAATTAATTTTGGCATTAGAGAAACTTGAATATAAATCCCTGCTGTGTCACTTTCTAATCTGCTGCATGTAAGTAAGATATTTAGCTTTTGTGAGCCGGACTTCCCTCTTGTGGAAAATGAGGCAAACATTGAAACGATATTAACATTAAAAATAATATGAGTAGCATGTATTATGTCGGAAACTCTGCTAAGAAGCTCATGAGCATTATTCCATTTAACCCTCATCAACGGCTAATGAGTAAGGTTTTCCTAAACACCCTCATTTTACAGAGGAGTGAACAAAAGCTTCGAGAAGTTCCACAGCTTGGGTGACGTGATGGCATCTGAACGGGAGCCCACATCCATTTGCTGAAGAGCTGCAATGTCATCAATTGCAATGTCCCACATCTACCTGTCAAAACTGTTGTCGAGATGAAATAAGAGAGAGCGAAGGACAGGTCAGAGTCAGGTGGGGTCTCCGGTGGGCTCAGGGTAATTCCCTCCCTGCTCTCCTGTCCTCTTGCCCCATCCCCCGCCCCTCAGACTGACTGGCAGAAATTGCCGACATCACTTCACTGGCACCGATGGTTTCGCAAAAAGCTCCAAGGTGGTGACTGGCTTTGCTCCATCCCCCTGCACACTGACGTCACTGCAGAAACACGTGGGGGGCCGCGGGTTCTGAAATGACTTGGAGGGAGAAACAGTGGCTGTGGGAACGAGCGTCCAGGGAACCTAGGCGGTGAGGAGTGGGCTTCCCGGGATTCCTGGGTGAGGTGCTGAAGGGGCCCAGAGTTCCCGGGGACATCTCTTGAGCTGAGTTATCAACTAGACAGCTTTCTAGGGTTGCTTTTTTGTTTTGTTTTGTTTTGTATTTATTTATTTTTTTTGAGACGGAGTCTTGCTCTGTCGCCAGGCTGCAGTGCAGTGGTGCGATCTCGGCTCACTGCAACCTCTGCCTCCTGGGTTCAAGCGATTCTCTTGCCTCAGCCTCCAGAGTAGCTGGAACTACAGGCACGTGTCATCCTGCCCAGCAAATTTTTGTATTTTTAGTACAGACAGGGTTTCACCATGTTGGCCAGGATGATCTCGATCTCTTGACCTCGTGATCTCCCTGTCTAGGCCTCCCAAAGTGCTGAGATTACAGGCATGAGCCACTGCGCCCAGCCTGTTTTTGTTTTTTTTTTTTTCCTAGCCTCAGTGGATATTTTCTTTCCCTGTTCCATAATCCACGTGCATTGCTTTAGACCAGAATTTTAATGAGAATATAGTTCAGTTTCACGCACAGGTTGGACTACTTTCAGAATGTAAATCAGAAGACAAGAGGTTTTTTTTTTTTTCATTTATATAAGAATTTTTTTCATTTATATAAGAAGCCTGGACTATTTTAATGCCCCACATCATATATTTTGGCATATTTGCCTGAGTTCAGCTCAGAACAAAGCAGCACAGTCTTGCAGGATGAATCTTTCAGACACGATTTTCGTGTTAAGGTGCTTAGCATCTTATAAAATATCAGAGATAAGACCAAAACAT
Organism: Homo sapiens; assembly: GCF_000001405.40. Lineage (NCBI taxonomy): Eukaryota > Metazoa > Chordata > Mammalia > Primates > Hominidae > Homo > Homo sapiens. Next base: position 1,069,143 of record NC_000002.12, on the reverse strand, counting down.
AGACTTGTTGTTTATGACTCGAGATAATAAACACCTTCCATCATAAACCATGTGCAACACATTCCTCACTGTGACTGGAAACAGAGCTAATGACACTGACACGTGTTTGAGAGATGTTATTACAAATTCCGTCTTTCAAATGCACATTTTTACTCAGCCTTTTAAGCTTTGTTCTAAGCAGCCTGGAGGTAAAAACTGGCATTTCTAGTCAATGAGTACGGCCCTACCATGGCAAAGACAAAGTGACAAACAGCTGGCGCATAAGTGACATTTCTCTGAATGATTAGAAAGCTGAATGTCCTTTTTAATTACTGTAAACATAGTACGTCACAAGCTGATTAGAGAAGATTGATTATTGCTATCTTTATGCCATTCTGAATATATAAAATAAAATCATGAAACTTCTGTGCTATGTGTTTCTTCAGTGCTTTCAGCATACAAATTTAAGATGAAATGTAATGGATTTTTAAGCAACTGTCAAAAGAGCTTTTGTTATTAATATTGAAGCTAAAATCCAACAATACGCGACAGTACAAAATATAAAATGGCTATAAAAATGAGAACACCTGTCTAATTGCATTTTAATGTATTTCTGATTTTCTTAAGCATTTTATCACTCATATTTTTAAGAATATGCCTGTAGGGAAATATCATGCCATGAAGGATGCAGGGCCAGCAGCTGCAATAACAGATCGTAACCCCTGGTTACTGGGCTCTGCCATTCCACTGTTACCATCTCGACTGTGGAAACCGTGTTAATTTGCTTCATGTTTCTACAACCTATTGAATGTCCAATATTAGGAGAAAACTCAACGGATCCGAGGAATATTTTATTCTATCTATATCTGCTTGAACCTCGACTTTCAAGAAAATTTTTAAAAACAAGGCCTGCTGACACAGTTACGGGCGCCCTGCTATGTGAGGATCTGTGGGAAAGTGACTCTCCCTCCTTGGATTATTGGGTGACACACTAGCTACTTCATACCTGGTGCCTGACCACTCTTGAAAAAGATACAGGTAAAATAATTATCAGTTGAAAGCAAGGCAATAGGATCTCTTAGCAGAAATGAGGATAAGCTCAGGTTGACACAGCAGACTGAACCCGGGGAATGCCTGTTGATTCCTGAAGGACCAACTCAGAGGCTACTTCTGTCCTCACCGTGCAGAGGATCTAAGTGTCACCCCAAAGCTCTAGCCCCACTCCCGAGGTCCGGGAGTCCAAGGACTGTGGGACCCATAAGCCTGCACTTCCTCCCGGGGAAAGCGATGCACTGTCCCTGGGGTTTGCGTACAGAAGCCTGTGTTGCACCCAGGCATGATTTACGGGTGGGGGTCATTTGATCTGCTATATAACCTCACTCGAATTTCCTCAGCCTTGGTTTCTCCATCTGAAAAATAAATGGGTGCCCTTACGTAGTTGGATAGCTTAGTTCCAGTGCTCAAGTTTTACCTCTTTGAGTTCGATACTGAGACGTGTGCTGCTCCAAGAAAAGAGAATGCTGACAGACTATGTCATGGGTCCCCTTGCTCTCTTTGAGCCCAAACTTCATAAACTCATTCTCTGACTCACTTTAGAAACACCAAGGAGGTTAAAAAAGAGGCTTAAGAACATTTAAGAAAAAAGATATTAGGTTTCCCTAAAATGTTATTAACTGATTTTACAAAAAAATATGTATTTTATCCTTTCCATGGAAGATTGTGAATGCTTAGTTCCACAGAAGCATAAGTGATCCATGAAAATCAGCTCTCCCAAATAAAAAGTGTAAATATATGTTTTTGTAATGTATGGTGAATAGAATATGTGAAGTACTAACTATGACATAGTGATAAACCGGTGATGTTATAAACATTAAATGGAAGTGATTTTATCTCATTACCCATTGGTGCAAAAGTAATAGCAGTTTCCGCATTGTTGGAATTTGCCATTTGATACTGGAATACATTCTTCGGTAAATGTGGTTATGTTACACAACATTTTAGTGCGCATTTCTCACTTTTTTTTTTTTTTGCTAGTGACTTACTACTTGCTGTTTTATTTTAGACTATGGAAATGATGTGAGACAAAAAGCAAATTTGAGCGATTTTCTTATTTGAGTTCAAAATGGGTCGTAAAGGAGAGGAGACAACTCGCAACAGCAACAATGCATTTGGCCCAGGAACAGCTAACAAACGTACAGTGCAGTGCTGGGTCACGAAGTTTTGCAGAGGAGATGAGAGCTTTGAAGATGAGGAGCGTAGCGACGCCATTGGAAGTTGACGACCAACTGAGAGTAATCGTGGAAGCTGATCCTCTTACAACCACACGAGAAGCTGCTGAAGAACTCAAAGACGACCGTTCTACGGTCATTCAGCATTTGAAGCAAACTAGAAAGGTGAGGAAGCTCGATAAGTGGGTGCCCCAGGAGCTGAGCAAAAATAAAAAAAAATCGTCGTTTTGAAGCATCGTCTTCTCTTATTCTATGCAACAATGAACCATTTCTCAATCAGATTGTGATGTGTGACAAAAAGTGGATTTTATATGACAACCAGTGATGACCAGCTCAGTGGCTGGATCAAGAAGCTCCAAAGCACTTCCCAAAGCCAAACTTGCACCAAGAAAATCTCCTGGTCACTGTCCGGTGGTCTGTGCCGGTCTGACCACTACAGCTTTCTGAATCCCGGCAAAATCATCACATCTGAGAAGTGTGCCCAGCAAGTCGATGAGACGCACCGAGAACTCAACGCCTGCAGCCAGCATTGATCAACAGGAAGGGCCCAATTCTTCTTCACAACAACACGTGACTGTACACTGCAAAACCAATGCTTCAAAAGTTGAATGAGTTGGGCTGCGAAGTTTTGCCTCATTTGTCATATTCACCTGATCTCTCACCAACCAACTACTTCTTCAACCATCTTGACAACGTTTTGCAGGGAAAACATTCCCACACCCAGCAGAATGCAGAAAATGCTTTCTAAGAGTTCGTCAAATTCTGAAGCATGGATTTTTATGCCACAGGAATAAACAAACTTATTTCTATTGGCAAAAATGTATTGCTTGTAATGGCTCCTATTTTGATTAATAAAAATGTGTGTGAGCCTAGTTATAATGATTTGAATTTCATGGTCTGAAACCACAATTTCTTTTGCACCAAACTAATAATGAAATCATTATTGCTACAGTTTCCTAAGTGACTGCTATATAAAGCATTTTAGATAATCTTGTGTGATTATTTTTGTAACCTGTAAGTTATCTTCATTTGGCAACAAAAACCACCAAAGCCAAACGAAGGTGAGTTTCTCACCAAAATCCAAACATCTTGTTAGAGGCTCTGCAGAGGCCAAAATCTACATGGAATTCAAAGCCACCAATCCTACAACACAAGACTCTTTCCAGAATATCTATTTAATATGGCCATTTAGCTAAACGACATACAAAAAATAACTGCAAATTTCAAATATATAAAGCTGAGCAGAGTATCATAAAACAGATGGTATTAGGAAGAAAGTTCATGATTTGCAACGTATTGCTAAATACAATTTTTTAACAAAAACAAAAATGCCTCCTTTGAAAATAATTTGAATATTTAAACTGTAAACATATATAACAAACATCATCTCATAATACAATGCGTGCTTCATAAAATAAGCAGTAAGCAAACATCCAGTTGATAATAGTTAAGAAATTTACTCGTTTGACCTCATCCAAAACACTCTCAGAGGGTGTGCTGGGGTAGGTTTGGGGGATGTCACCTCTCAGTTGCCAGGGGCGATTCCAATTATGCCTCTCATCTCAATGTAATCATGAATATGTTCCCTGTGACTATTTATGGTTTAGACAATTAACTATATGGTCACCCACCTAGAACAGAGGGCAGTCACTATGTCAGATGCCTTGTGGTGAAGGGTCTGAATACAGGCATCCCGGAAAAGCAGGTGGCCACAGAGCACAGTGCCTGGTAAGTCAGTGGGCAGGGGCCTCAGATCTCCATGAAGACTCCCTGTTTCTCAAGCTCATACTGGACTGACACCCCCACATCCCACATGGCTGTGTGGCTCCAGCTACACAGCTCCAGCTGACGTGTAACCAACGGACAGAGTGAAAATAAGCTGGCTATTTTCACACTTTTCTCATAAAATCTCCTTCCCACAATCCACCGCGTCTGATATGAAATTGCTCCACAATGTTGTTGATGCTTAGTATTGACACAGAGTATCTTCCCCAAACCCTTTCATTCTTTTTGTTAAATGTGTTTCTTGCAAACAGCATAAAGTTGGGTCTTGTCATTGATCCCCACTTTTTAACTGAAGTCCTTGTTCCTTTAACCTGTGAGGTAAGTTTTGATCTGGTTTCATTTGATTTCACCATGTTTGCCGTGTGTGTTCTGTTTGGATACTGTATTCTTTGTTCTTCTTTTCTGTCTTCTTTGAATGAATCAAATATTTCTTAGTATCCCATTGCATCACTTTTAATGTTTTTTCTAAAACATGTAGATTCTTAAAATTTCCTAACAGTTTCTCTAGCTGAGAATAAAAGCTTTTCCTATCACCAACTACCATCAAATATAGTATCACTTCATGAACGATGTAAGAATCTTCAAATAATTTAATTTTAGTAACTCCTCCCATCCTCTATAGTCACGCTGTCATGATTTTCATAGCTATAAGCCCCCAAATGTAGTACTTTATTTTTATATATATAAACTTAAAATTATATTTCAGTATATATACATATATATAATTATATATCAATGCATTAAAACATACATAAATTACATATGTGGATATGTGCTTTTTATATTTAATTTCAGGCACTTCATATTTCACCCTGCAGTTCACATTTCTATCTGCTTTCATTTCCTTTCAGTCTGAAGTACATCTTTTAACATTTTTTACAGTGCAAGGCTGTTTAAGGGTTTAATCTTTTTATTTTACTTCTGTTTGAATGGATCTCTAATACACGTTCATTGTTGAAGAATACTTTCACAGATACAGAATTCTAGGTTCATTATTTTTTTCTTTTAGCACTGTGAAGATATGGTTCTATTTTCTTCTCGCCCCTGTTGTTTCTAAGAAGTTGGCTGTCTTTTTAAATTATTTCTACGTAAGTATTTTATCTTTTTAATCTTCTGTTTTTAAGATTTTTCTATTTACTCTCACTTTCAGCAGTTTGATTATTATATGCTTTCAAAAATGATTTTGTTTTAATTTTATGCTATTTGGGGTCCAGTGAACTTTTCAGGACATGTACTGATAACTCTCACTGATTTCATAAATTCGTGGCCATTGTATGTTCAAATATCCCTTCTGTTCCATTCTTCTGGGAATCTACTTAAGTCGGACTCTGCTATTATCCATAAATGTGAAAGTTTTTTCTTTATTTAATGCACCTTTGATTCAATGTCTTTTCCCCCATGTGTTTCTGTTGAATTATGTGATTGATCTATCTTCAATTTCAGTATTTTGTTGTGTCCACTCTTCAGTTAAGCCCAATGACATAATTATTTATTTCTGACATGTTTTTCATTAATAACCTTTCTGCTTGAATTGTTTGTACTTTCTGTTTGTGAAATCACACATGTGGGTCATAGTTATTTTCCAGTCTCTTCAGGAGCACTCTGACATCAGGGTCATCCCTGGGTTTCCTATTCTTACACCGCATTTTACCATCCTGCTGAAAGCTTTCCTTCCTGGTGCTTTTGGAGAGAGCCAGCTGTGCCTGAGAGGGAACTCTTCTCTCGGCCCTGCTGCCCCACTCCCAGGCTTCTGCAAATGCCTCCTGCTTCTTTGAAGGGCTGGTGGGCAAATGCTCCTTGGTTGCAACTCCTGGGAAGTCTGTGCACCCCACTCAGCTAAATGCTGCTTTTCACAGTTTTGTGTAAGGTCCAGTTGGTTTCTCCTTAGCTCATCTGTGAGGAGCCCGGCAGCATCACCGGTGGATATCTGCTCCTCTAGGAAGGGTTTATACTTTACGAATTTTAAAAAAAAGTATGCTTCTTTTTTAGAAAGCTCTTGCATAGATTTTAAAGAACTATGATCTGAGAGTTTATCTATGTGTAGTCATGGTTTACAGTGGTTACTACAGTCTCTTGCTACTTGCCACATCTAAACACAAAGTGTAAGGACAATTAAGTTTTTTACAGTTATTTCATATCAACGAACAGTAGAAATGTCTATTTGTTATGTACAATGTGGTAGATCTTTTACTAAGCAAAGAAACAAAAATATGCATTGTAACCAAGCTGTGTGTGTATGTATGTATATGTGTGTATATGTATATATATGGGTTTGTGAGTGTGTATGCACACACACATATTTTTTCCATTTTATATAATACATCACTTACGAATACACCATGAAGTGTAGGTTGACATTTATTAAGTCTAATTTTCAAGCTTAATGTGGTCACATTTCCTTTTAAGGGGAAGTACTCTATAACTCACAAAAATCAAGGGAAAATTTGTACATGCAAAAATCAACTTAAAATCATGCTTAACTCAACATTTTATGTACCACAGAAGAGTCATAAGGTAGAGTTGGTGCCCAATACATTTTCTTATTTGAAGAATGACTGTTAATTCTGTTACACTTTGGAGATACAATATTACATCTCTTATTTTTCTTTTTTCTACTGGATTAACCCCACTTCATTTTTCCCACTTTCTGATCATTGATCCATGCATAGCTTGTTTTTATTTAGTCAGTTATTTGATGACATTTCTTTATCATTGTCATACCCAAAACCATGAGAAAAAATCTAATTCTAATAATATAGCCCCCACTTCATTCCTCTGCTCCCATCCACCCAAGGTTGCCAGGATTCTGAACCCTATCTTTTATCATTTCGTGCTTTTATTTCTATGTCTCCATCTAGACAACAACAAAAGTATATCCTTGGTGCACGGCTGAGAGTGGGCTTGATCATGTTCAAATTTAGGAGACAATGACAAACGTGGCCATCAGAGTTACTGTAGAGCCATTTATATTCCTACCAGCAACTTATATAATTCCAGTGAGTGCACACTCCCTCTAATTAAGCTTTTTATTTTCAGTCAAATGGTGTGAAAATCCTTCATTGTAGCATTTGTGTTTCTCTCCTCTATTACACTCATGTTTGTTATTAACATATTACTTCTGTGAAAGGCCTCTTATGTCTAATTCCATTTTTCTGATGTATAATTTGCATTTTTATTGTGATACATATTTCTTTGTTATAGATTTATAGTATATATTCATTTTTTCTTTAGTAATTGTTTTATTTATCTCTGCTCTTAAATACTACCAAGTAATATCCAAGAATAATGGAATATTTTTATATTGCTCCATTCCAAAGACGAAGTTCAGAAACCTGATCATTGACACCTGACAAGAACTGTGAGGGTTTTAAGATTTTACCTAAGTTCAAGCTAACACGTTATCCAGCAACAGCGCATGGATGCTGGCAGAAGACATGAGATGCCTGGCTTGGAGACAAAGGACTAAAGGACTTCGTTACTCAGAGACGAGCAGGACACAGAGCACCCACAATTTCCTTTATGATTTCTTGAGCCTGCTATCCCATGAAGCACCAAGAGGGCCAGATGATTGACAGCTGTATACCTGGTGGGTTGCATTACAGAAGAGAAACTCTGAACGTAGGAAACTTTGAAACTTTAACAACGTTCAATAAGCATGCCTGCCCTTTTATCAGAGGCAAAACACTTCCTCAACCTCGGAAAGCTGTTTGCTGCACAAACATCCTTGAAAAGGTTGTCTGGAACAAAGGCAATCAGCACTTCTGCACACAAGTTGTGCAGAAATGTGACCCCATTGATCATGATCTCACAATACCTTTCTATTATCTAATACACATATTCCATTTTTGTTAATTGCCTTAAAAATGTTTATCATCATTCTTTCCACCCCAGCGTCCAACCCAGGATCACACGGCTTTGTGCTGTCACATCTCTTTAACCTGTTCACCTTTTGTCATTCTTTCCACTCCAGCGTCCAACCCAGGATCACGCGGCTCTATGCTGTCATGTCTCTTACCTTTTCACCCTTTGTTTACCTTTCTTGATCTTGACTCTTTTTTTTTGGAAACATGGGTCAGTTATTTTGTGGAATGTTCCTCAGCTGAAGTTTGTGTGATTGTGTGAGGGTCACAAGTTTACATTTCTATCACTGTTGTCCTTCTCATTTGTGGTGTTAATTTTGATCACTTGGTTAAGTTGTGGACCCGCAAGTTTCTCCACCCTAATGTTACCATTTTTTCCTTTGTAATTTATACATAATTCAGGGGAGGACCCATTGGGACTGTGAACATATCCTGCTCCTGGTCTGACTTCACCCACTGGTTTTAAATCCATTGATAGCTTTTATTATAACTTCAGCATTTGTTTTCAATTTGTTAGTTGGCATCTAACTACAAGTACAGCTTTTTCTTCTTTTCCATTTATTTATTCACTTATTTCAGTATAAACTCACTATTTCATTCAAATAGTTATAATTTAGTATCATTCTTAGGTTCATATTTGAATTATTCGAGGCTTGGCCCATGGGACACTTTCAGGCTGACCTTTCTGCCCTTTACACCTGTCACTCTTCCAGATGAACCTTATACTTAACACAATGCTGGAGCCAGACTGTCCTCAGGGGCCCTGGTTCCCTTTTGTGAAGAAGAAGGGCATTTAGAATCCAAAGCCGGGAGCTGGGGTTCTCATGCTAGAGGGTGTCTTTGGTTCCAGGACTGCTCAGTGCTCCACGGTAGGACACTTCTATCTCTGTATCTATGCACTTCTCTCTCTCCAAACACACACACAGTACACACATACACACGTGTATTAATACCTACATATCCATTAGATAGGTATCAATATTAAACAACTGAGTTCACACTGGTATCGTTATTTCATTTCTTGAAAGTGAACCTTTGGTTTCCTCTGTGTAATTTTCAGTTTGTAACTTTTTACTTCCTTTAATTTAAATGTTTTATTTTAGTGTAATTACATTTATCAAACCTTTCATTTATCCCTAAAGTCTTTTAGTCTTGGTGTTAAACATCTTTCCTACACTAAGGCCTGCAGGTAAGAGTACATTCCAGTTTGTATTATTTTTTTGATATGATGTAAGGTAGGGATAAAATGTAATCCTACTTCATGTGGCTAACCATTCTTTCCATCTCTTTATATAAAATATTTTATTTCCACAGTGATCTGCCATGCCACTTTTCTTATATATCTCCTATTTCTGAGCTCTATATTTGATTCTACTGAACTTTTGTACCCCTGATCCAATATAACTCTGTCTTAGTTTATATAGATTTATGGTATGTTGTAGTAATTAAATGGAAAAATCTACCTTCCCAGTACTTTTTCAGATATGTCTCAGTTTGTTTTGGATCTTTAAGCTTTAATGTATTCTAGATTGTTTTTTAAAATGGTCTCTAAGTAAAGATTAAATTTTAAGAACTTTTGTCTAAGATTATTCATGTTATGCCCTCTGAGTTATGAGGGTTGAGGGAGTTTTATATTTCCATTGTCAAGGTTTTCCTTATACTTCAAAATTCCACAAAAGAGAAATTTATAAAATAAAAAAACGTATTTAGATGAAATAGTAAAGATTACAAATTACGTATCCAAAAGATTAAAGTTCCAAAAAATGTTCAAATCCAATTGTGACTCCAAGTTTCCATTAGAATCTCAGAACACACTTGTATTTATAAAACCTGTGGAATCCTTCTAGTAAACTTCACATTGTAGAAGCTTCATCATCTTCCAAATGTTTACACAGATATCTTGACTGATTATTATTATTTTTTTTTTTTTGCCCTTTTGCAGCTGAAAACTCAGTCCAGGAGGAGAAGGACCTGTGATATTTGGCTTTCCCAGGAAACTCCTACATTCCTTCTCAAGATCAAATCTAAAAACAGGTTTGTAGAATATTCACTCCAGCTCTAAGAGATGGCAGAAGGTGCCAGGAGTCCATTGCCAGGAACACACTTTCCTCAGTCTCGTAAATGAAACTGCACAGATGGCAAAGCTAAGCAAAGGGCACTGCAAGACAGTGGGCAATGCAGTTCAAAGACGAAGGTGAAAGATGTATTTGCTTTCCTGTTTTTCTACTGAAGCAGCAACTGGGACAAGGAAGGAAATGCTGCCCAAAAGTGAGCCCAGCTAGAAGACAAATGGCAACATTTGAAGACGGAGCCCAGGGGTGGTCCCATGGCTGCCATCCTGCTCTCCCTCCTGGGGAGACAGTTGTGCAGCAGCCCATCTCAGAGAGGGCACTGGACCAGTGACAGCAATGAGAGCCTTCAAGGAGGGCTCTGGCACAGGGAAGCTCAGTTCATCTGACTTTCATTAGGGGCCACAGGCTTGTGTGGCACAAACAGGTGCCATTAGTTAGGTACAACCAGATGTTTTTGATGGTGCTTGAGATGAACCATGAGCCTCTACAAAGACAGGCTGGTCACTTCTGATGAAAACTCCACCCTCTAGCCAAGGATGATGCTACTCCCATGCAGGTCCCCAATGTGGGGGACACTGGAAATAGCAACCAGGGTTCACCTTCTGCTCAACCAAACTTTAATCAGACAAAAGCAGACAGCAGCAGCTGAGGAGACACTAGGATTTTTGCATCTATGCAGTAACAGGTATTGTGGAATTATATGGAAAGCAATCTATTTGTCCATAATCCAATACAGAGCAAATTAAAATACTGCCAATAAACCCACTAAAACAAACATTATGTAAGATGAAAACAGGGAGAATTTCAAAGAAACAATGTCACATAATTTCCAGTGTCCTTTATTCATTTAACACTACTGGTGTGTTGTTTGCTTTTTTAAAAAAAAATCCAATGCCTACTCTGCCTGTACTTTTACCACATGCTGTGGACACAAAGGTCAGAGACAAGACAGAGACACTACCCTCATTGAGAAGACATACATCTCCATTCATTATCTTTTTTTTTCAAAAAACTGTACTCTAAATTTACGTGTTGGTAGAAAAATACTAATTTTTGACACACAATCATATCTCTTAGTCAGCAACAACTGATGAACAAGGAAGATAAGAGCAGAAAAGAATGCAGATACAAATATAAGTTATTTATATTAATTCAAATATAATTTTTTAAAGCTTTTTATTTTTTGTCTTTTTGAGATAGTGTCTCCCTCTGTCACCCAAGCTGGAGTGCAGTGGCGCCATCTCAGCTCACTGCAGCCTCAACCCCTGGGGCTTAAACAATTCTCCTGAGTAGCTGGGACTACAGGTGTGCGCCACCATGCCACCTAATTTTTTTTAAATCTTTTGTAGAGATGGGGTCTCACCATGTTGTCCAGCTGGAAGATTTTTTTGAAATGCAACTTTATACTAATTGTTTAAATATAGAAAGATCCTGTGCACATTTAGAGGCATTTATATTTTGCCACTTGTGATGGTTAATAGTGAGTGTCAACTTGATTGGACTGAAGGATGCAAAGTACTGATCCTGGGTGTGTCTGTGAGGGTGTTGCCAAAGGAGACTAACATTTGAGTCAGTGGACTGGGAAAAACAGACCCACCCTTAATTTCAGTGGGCACCATCTAATCAGGGCCAGTGCAGCCAAAATATAAAGTAGACAGAAAAACATAAAGAGGCTAGAATGGCTTAGCATCTTTCTCCCGCACTGGATGCTTCCTGCCCTCGCACATCGGACTCCAGCTTTGGGACTCGAACTGGCTTCCTTGCTCCTCAGCTTGCAGACGGACTATGTTCACACTTGTGAACGTGTGAGTTACTACTACTTAATATGCTCCCCTTTACATGCATGTGTCTATCCTATTAATTCTGTCCCTCTGGAGAACCCTGACTAATACACCAACTCTCCTTTCAGGCATACAGAAGAGAATCAGGAATATGAAATACAGCCAGAATAGAGATAAAAATGAAGTTGATGAGGTATAATTACAGAAAGCACAGTGCAAATATTAACACAGTCTTTTATGAATAGTGCCATGTTAGTCCTTAGAATAAATACATTACAGTTGTAATTCACAGCTTCTAGCAGAAATAGGCCAGCTGCTTGCAGGACAGGCCTGGCCCCAGCTCCCAAGCTCAGAAAGCCCCGTCCAACCCTGCACTCACAGGTCCTGGAGGAAGCGGCATGCATCGTTCCCCGCAGCACAGCGCTGCGCCGCCCTCTCCTCCCTCCCCACGGGGTGGCCCCGCGCTCTCCCTCCCTCCCTCCCCACAGCGGGGCGCCGCGCTCTCCCTCCCTCCCTCCCCACAGCACAGCGCGACGCTCTCCCTCCCTCCCCACAGCACAGCGGGGCGCCGTGCTCTCCCTCTCTCCCTCCCCACAGCGTGGCGCCGCCCTCTCCCTCCCGCCCCACAGCACAGCGCGACGCTCTCCCTCCCTCCCCACAGCGTGGCGCTGCGCTCTCCCTCCCTCCCTCCCCACAGCAGGGCGCCGTGCTCTCCCTCCCTCCCTCCCCACAGCGTGGCGCCGCCCTCTCCCTCCCGCCCCACAGCACAGCGCGACGCTCTCCCTCCCTCCCCACAGCGTGGCGCTGCGCTCTCCCTCCCTCCCTCCCCACAGCGGGGCGCCGTGCTCTCCCTCCCTCCCTCCCCACAGCGTGGCGCTGCGCTCTCCCTCCCTCCCTCCCCACAGCGGGGCGCCGTGCTCTCCCTCCCTCCCTCCCCACAGCGTGGCGCTGCGCTCTCCCTCCCTCCCTCCCCACAGCACAGCGCGACGCTCTCCCTCCCTCCCCACAGCACAGCGTGGCGCTGCGCTCTCCCTCCCTCCCTCCCCACAGCGGGGCGCCGCCCTCTCCCTCCCTCCCCACAGCGGGGCGCCGCCCTCTCCCTCCCTCCCCACAGCACGGCGCGGCCTCTCCCTCCCTCCCTCCCCACAGCACGGCGCGGCCTCTCCCTCCCTCCCTCCCCACAGCACAGTGCGGCCTCTCCCTCCCTCCCCCATGCACTCTCCCTCTCATCCACTTTCCTTAACTTATTCAACTCCTTCCTTCAGAATGAAGCTGGAGCCCATCCGCAGGGAGTCCTCCCCGTGCTCTTGGTGGTGTGGACCAGCTTCCCACCAAGATGGGAGCCAGAGGAGCCGCCTGGGTCCCAGCTGCCTCACCCCTTCTCCCTGTGTCCACTCTGAAACAGTGGGGACAAGGAGCCGTCTGAGAGATGAAGCTGCAGTCCCCGCGACCCACCGCATGTCCAGGACAGATCAGACCCTCCAGGAAATACCGCTGGTGAGATGAGACTGTCTTCTGTCTGGGCAAGGGCTAATTTGCATTCAGTCGTGCCCCAGCCTCACTCCTAAAGACACCTGCTCATTCTGCACATCAAGGGAGGGCTGGTGCTGCAACTGAATGGAAAATACAATTCAGAGCCATCAAAATAAAGGCACGGTCACCTTAGAAAATGGAAATGTTCACACTGTTAAATCCTTCATGATAACCCTAGGAGAATGGATAAGATCAATTACTGTTCCGGGTTTCTTCCAAATCTGAATTTCTGCAACATGGTTTGATCTCTATGAATGACTAACATTTTCATATTAAAACTGATAAATAGTTGTACCTGCTACTTGATAAAAACATTTCTGGCATCACACTGACTCAAAATTAGTATTTTTGTCTCGATGGGCATTCAGCACACTGATCTAGTGACGTCCATGAAAAATCCTGACCCACACAAGGCAGGTTGTGAGCCTCCACAGTGGGTGGAAATGCATTCTTTCTGTGTGGGTCATCAGACACAAGGCAGGTCGTGAGCCTCCAGTGAGAGGAAATGCATTCTTTCTGTGTGGGCTCATCAGAAAACGGTACCCACTCTAGGCAACAGCACTGGAAAAAGTCACCTACACAAAATGAAAAACTTACAGAAAGAAGCCCCGAGCAGAGCGGCCCCAAGCCATGAACTGCACAGTCAGGCAGATGGCCTGGGCCGGGGCAAGCTCACATTCCCACTCCTCTCACACAGCCCCTGTTTCGCTGCCCATGACATGAAGCCACTTCTCTCTTGGCTCCCTGCAGTCAGGGCCACGTCTACAATGTGAATGCAGAGTTAACAGCATTTATAGCAACACACAGCAGTACCTGACGTGGGCTGCACAGAGGAGGTAACAGCATTTATAGACTCACACAGCAGTACCTGACGCAGGCTGGATAGAGGAGGTGAGAGGCAATTGTTTTCTGAATGAAATAAAGACCAAAGGAATCAATAGGGAAAAAAAAACAAAAACAAAAACAAAACAAAAAAAGCCATCACCCTGGCAATATTTTTAACTTCTAAAATGGCTAATTTTCATCTCATGTATTTCAAATGCTTAATAGTAGACCCTAATTACAATTACATTATTCTGTTTTACTTTCTTCATTTTCCCAATTTAGATTTTTCATTTGAAAATGTACCTCTTTGAAAATCCAAAAATACATCAACATTAACTTCAGATAATATTAACAAGTGATATTCTGATCCAAGGTCTGGGGAAAAGACTTCATTAGCATGGGGCTTAATTATGCTATTGCTGTGTACCCTGGGGTGTCTCAGGAATGTGTCACCTCCAGGGGGTCCCAGAATCACCAAGGCGGCTCTGTGGGGTTCACAGGGATATTACTGAGACCTTCTCTAACATCTCTAGCCATGTAGGACTGCATCCTAAACCTGCTAGGAAGAGTGACAAAACCACAGTAGGAGCTTGGGATTTCCTTTCAGGAATCCTTCAAACTCAGTCAAATAGAGAGCCATACTGAAAATCCCCGAAGCCCTCTACGTAAACCCCTCATTAGAGTTAGATAATTAAAAATGCTAGATCCTAGAAGAATTAACCAATTCCTTGGCACGAAGAAGAGTGAACTCCTGGTGCCGTGAAGATGCTCCAGCCACAGCCCAGGTGTGGGCCGCCTCTCTTGGGTGGGAACGGCTGAGGTCTGACGCTTAGGGATGCAGGAGAAAGGGCCAATTTCCACCACCTGACAAGGTGGCAGAACACCCCCGAGCCGCACCACGGGAAACAACCAAAGGTTCAGGTCCGCCCGTCTGAATCAGGGTGGCAATGACACGGGTCCGCAGTGCCCCAGCAGACATGTGCAGGTGGCAGGCGTGGTGCCTGTCATGCTGGTGCAGCACTTAGAGGGCTGCACAAACAACAAGGCCAAGACATGCAGGTTAAATCCCTGTAATCCTGCACCTCACAGGGCCTGCAGAGGGAGGAGGGAACACGAGGTCTCCCACTCATATGGAAGCAAGAGGGGGGCGGGAGGGAGGAGAGGAGGGGACAAAGGGAGGGAGGGAGGAAGGGAGAAGAGGAGGTGAGAAGGAGGGACCATGGAAACAGAATTACCTGAAAGGGAGTCATCAGCTCAGAAAAGAATGGAGGAAAGGATAAGGAAGGTGAATGCAGGTTAAAGTAATCAGAATCAATGCCACAATAAAATGCAATAAAGTCAAATGAAAACAATCAAGAACCAGAGTCACCACATGGAGGCCTAACTGCATCACACAAATGAGGTGGGAAATGATGATGTGGAGAGGACGACAGAGATGGATGCCAAATGAACACGACCTGGATACCTAGCATGTAACTCATGTTTCCAAAGTGGAAAACAATAAAAAGGCATAGAAATAATACTCCTGGAAACAATTACGTCTCCGTGAAACTGACATCTGCCATCAAGGAGACACAACTTAGCTGCAAAGGGCTGGGGGGGTGGGGGGGGATGGAGTGATACTGATCAACAGTCAACACCAGAACACATCCTCCTGGAGTAGCTAGATTTTAAGAATAAAGAAACAACAAAATTATATGTTATTAAAGTTTTCAGTAATGTAAAATTGATATTTTTGCCAAAATAACTTTCATCTTCAATAAAAAAAACTTTTAATGCATTTCTAGAATCATAGCATATAATGAAAAACTCAGGAATTAAAAATAAGCCTGCTTACCTACATTTTAGAAGCATGAACAAATCAGCATTGCACTGATCTGAAAAGCACAGTGAAGGAATGGAAGCTGACTGATGTCTGTTGAACACTGTGCTCAGCAACAGCAGAACACCCTCCTTCCTACGTGGACAAAACGCAGGGTCATAAAGAAAACCTCAAAAATCTCAAAGGACTGAAGTCAGAGTATGTTATTTTCACATATGTGGCAATGGAAAACTACCAGAAAAAGATAACAGAAAATCTCCGCTCCTGAAAAGTTTAGCAACATACTCACAAATCACCACAGATCCAGGAGGGGACTCGCAGTGGAAACTGGAACGTGTTTTGAACAGATTGTGAGCTTACGACTTTCAAAACCTGTGAAGTGCAGCTGCAACTGAATAACTTACAGCTGGAATGCATGCAGAAACTAAAGGTGAAAATCAGCGACCTCATCCCAGGGTAGGCCACCCAGCATTCAGGTCCACCGCCTGTGTCTGTAAATCAAGTTTTATTGGAACACAGCCACGGCCCTTCACCTGCTTCCACGAAAGGATGGCAGAATTGTCTATAAAGGACGACATGGCCAGTGATCCTAAGGTACCATGTGGCTTTCAAAACACTTTAGAGACCTCTGATTTCAGTTTCCAAAAGCAAAGCAAGAAAAAGGAAAGAGAATAAAGGAAATAAGAGCAGAAATACATGAAACAGAAGACAAATCAACTAATGAACAAAGCCAAAGAACAGTTCTCTGGAAGAAGTGAGAAATAAGGAGAGAACACACAGAAGCAGCCAGATGAGGAAAGGGGGAAGCCACTATGAGTCCCGCAGATATGAAAAGCACACAAGAAAATAGCAAGAATGTTTTACCTTACAGTTTGTGATTTGTGTACAAAGGATGAACTCTTTAAAACATGCAATTTGCTAAAACAGATATAATATTAAATAAAAATATAAATATTCCTGTACGTAACTTAAAAGTTGAACTTAGTATTAAAATTATTTCACAAAGTAAGCTCTGGGCCCAGTGAATTCCTCTAAATATTTCATAAATAACATGGATACTATACAAACTTTTCCACAGAATAGAAAAACAATGACTACCAGTAAACTCATTTATACAACCAACCTAAGCTGCAGACCAGAACCTAACAAGAAGGTTATAATAAAGTAAAATTACTTATCAATTACCCCCATGAATATAAATAAAAAAAATCCTAAATAAAATATTATGAAATCTAATCCAAAAAATATAAAAAGCAAAATACTTTTAAAGCAACTACAATAAAAAATGTAAGGGTAGTTTACCATTTGAAAATCAGCGTAATTCATAACATGGAAGAGTTCTCTAATGTTGTGTAATAAAATATCCAACAACCAACAGCCTCTGAATGTCAGGATTCTGTGAGAGCCCAGCTGAGTGCTTCTGGCTCCGGGTCCTGCAGAGACTGCAGCCCAGCTGCTGGGGGTGCTGCCGTCTTTGAAGGCTCAGGTGTGGCCAGCAGATCTGCTTCCAGATCGCTCCTGTGGTGGCTGCCGGAGGCTTTAGTGTTTTGCCACGTGGGCCTCTCCAATGATAGTTCACAACATGGCATATACTGGAAAGAATGATCCAGGAGGAAAAATGCTTGCCCCCAGCACAGAAACTGCAGACTTTATAGCCCAGTATCAGGAATGGCAGATCATCAGATATGCCATACACCATGACAACAGAAGCTGCCCCGAGTACAAATCAGATGGGTTGCACAGGGGAGTGAATACCAGGTGCCTTCCTCCAGGCTGGCAACCATACCATATGAGCAAAGAACTTATATGATCATTGATTAATCTCAAAAAAGTGTTGACAAATGTTGTTACCTAAAGCCTTTTAATAAGAGAGCTTCCATAACTGGTTAGAGACGTCTACAAAAGACTTACAGCACATGTCATACTCAGCGTAAAGCTTGAAAATTCCTGAGAAAAGGAATGAGCAAAGGGTGCTCAACAGCACCACTTCAATACGGCATGGTACTGCAGCTCCCAGCCAATACAATCATAAAGCAAACAGGAAGGAAGGGAGGAAGGGAGGAAGGGAGGAAAGGAAGGAGGGAGGGAGGAAGAAAGGGGGAGAGGGAGGGAGGAAGGAAATGTGTAAACATTGAAAAAATAAAACCAGCATTTTTCATAGATGATATTATTGAGCATGGAGATAATCCAAAAGTATCTACGCATGTGATATGAAAACAGATAAGCAATTAATCTTTGAAATTAATAAAAATATCAGTTTATTATGTCAATATTTTTAGTGTCTCAACATATCAGCAACAAAAAATAGTTGAAATAAAAACATGCAATTTACAGTAGCATTAAACATATCTAGAAATAAATCTAATGAAAGATGTGCAAAATTTCTGTGATAAAAATTACAAAACATTATTGGGAGGAATTTAAGAAGACCTAAATGAATTACAGACTAGATCTTGTTTATGGATTTGATGAATTATTTTCAAGTTGTCACTTCTCCCCTAAGTAATCTACATATTCAAAACAATAATTGTTATTGGAAGCTGTTTAATAATAATCCTAGAATAAGTCATAAAAATTCATAAAGGGGCTCTAAATTTTAAATGGAAATGCAAAGGGCCAACTATAGTCAAGGAAATCCTGGAAGAAAACAAAGTTTAAGATTCATATTGCCAGATATCAGGAACTATTATAAACTTAGAGCAATTCAATCAATAGAAAATTTGCTCAAGGAAAATAGCCCAATGGAGTACAGAGAATACAAAGTCAAAAAAAAAATCCACATATGCAACTCCACATTTGTGATAAATGTGGTATTGCAGTGAAGTTTGGAAAGAATAATCTCTACAATAAATAGGAAGGAAACAAACTTTGAACCCTAATTCAGAGCATACAGAAGAAAAAACTCTAGCTGGAATTTTGATCTAAATTTAAAAGGTAAATCAATAAAGTGTTTAAAAGAAAACAAATGAAACTAATTTCATGACTCTGGAGTAAAGATTTATTGAAAAGAAGGGGAAAAGTTGTAATTGTAAATTAGCAATTGATAAACTAAGTCTACATTAAAAGGAAAAAAATTCTGTTCAGTGAATATTACCAAGAGAGTAAAAGGGAACCCATAGAGTGACAGATCTTTGTGTCTCATATGTTTGATAAAGACTCATACATATAACATGTAAAGAACTCCTAAATCGGTAAAAATAAAAACAAAAAACAACCCAGGAGAAACACTGGCAAGGATCCAAGTAGGCAACTGAAAAAAAGAGAATAACACAATCAAATTTCAAAGTCTGCAAAGATCTGAATAGATTTCTCATCAAATGATTCATACAGATGGCAGATAAGCATATGGGAAGATATTCAATAACATGTCACTGGAGAACTGCCAGTTAAAACAGCAATGGGATTCTAGCACACACCAATTAGAAGGGCTGGAATTCAAAACACTGACAATACCAAATGCCGGTGAAGATGTAGAGCAACAGGAACTCTCATTCATTGCTGGTGAGAATGCAAAATGGTACAGCCATGTTGGAAGACAGTGTGGCAGTCTCTCACAAAACTAAACATAGTTTCACCATATCATCCAGCAGGCATGCTTTTTGCTATTTACCCAAAGGAGCTGAAAACATGTCCACACAAAAGCCTGCACAGAAATGTTTATAGCAGCTTTATTCATAATTGCAAAAACTTGGAATCAACCAATATGAAGGTGAATGAAGAAACAGTGATTTATCCAGACAATACGATTTAGCATTAAAACAAAAGGAGAAGGCAAGCCACATAAAGACACAAAGAAAGCTTAAATTCATGTTAGTAAGGGAAAGAGCCAGTCTGTAAAGGCTCCATATTGTGCGAGTCCAACTATCTGACCTGGAAAAGGCACACTATGGAGATAGTAAAGAGATCAGTGGCTGTCAGGGGTTGAGAGGGAGGGAAGAATGGGCAGGTGGAGCACAGAGGAATTTTAGGGCAGTGAAGTGACTCTGTATGAAACTATAATGGTGGATACCTACCTGTCATTACAGATTTGTCCAGACTCATAGATTGTACAACACCAAGAGTGTATCCTCGTTTGAACTCCAGACTTGGGTGACAATGACTTGTCAATGGAGGTTCACTGATTGTAACAAAAGAAGCTTCTGGTGTGAGATGCTGATAGTGTGGGAGGCTGTTTGGGGAAGGGGGACTAGGAGTACATAGGAAATCTGTATATTTTATGTCCCATTTTGCTGTAAACCTAAAACTCTATAAAAAATAAAGCCTATTAAAATGTATAATACCCAAAATAAAAAGGCTATGTGAATGACTGATGACAAATAGAAAGGTGTGCAGCATGATTTAATCAGCAGAGAATGCAAACCAGATCCACAATAAAACAACATCACCTCACAAAAGAATGAACAAAATCAAAGAGGGTGAATGAATATCAAGGTTTACAAAAGGTGTGGTACAATCACAATTCTCATTTACAGTTGCTGGGTTTATGATGGTGCAACCACTTTGGAAAACTGCTTGTCAGTTTCTACAAAAGCTGAACATGTGCACATTCAAGCTGCAATTCCACTCTCAGGTTTTCGCTCAACAGAGCTGCACAAATATGTCCATCTAAAGACATATGAAAGGATGTTTAAAGTGTCATCTACTACAACCGAGACCACATAACAGCACCAGTGTCCAGCAACAAGTAGTACAGAGAAGTGTTGGCATCCTCACACAGCGAATACAATATACAAAGTGCAACTACAAGCAAAGTGTGGATATACATCATAAAATATTATGTGATATATATGTGTGTGTATATATATAGATATCTATCTATCTATATATGGAGAGAGTTTGGCATCAGGGAAAATTATCATAGTGAAGTTACAAGTCATTCACTAATTCACTCTTGACTGGTAGTGACTGACCAGATGTCGGGGTGTGAGTGCTGGATGTCGGGATGTCAGCGCTGGCCACATAAGGAGGTCTTAGTGAAAATTCACTGAGCTATTCATATGATTTGGACACTTTTCCCTTTGCATATTGTATATCAGTAAAACACTGACTAAAATAATGCATGTGTACACAAAAAGTAGGCATTTTGTAGAAACTTATCAATAGAAAGAGACAATGCGAATGACTATGATGAGGTGAAGGAAAGAATTGAAATAGGGATGAAGACTATAAGGAATAAATTTATACATTAAAATAACATTAAAATGTTAAGAAGTACAAAAATATTAAAAATCTAAATATATGGATAAATAATCATAAGAATTTCCTTGCAAAGTAGGAATAGATAGGAATTTCCTATATCTGTTGAACAGCACCTGGTTAAAACCCCTGCAATAAACATTATTCTAAGCGGTGACACTTTAAAATCTCTGCTTTTATGCTGGCATTCAGCATTTTCTGTGTGTGTACCTTAGTCTACCATAAGATTTAAAAAAAGTGTCAAGCTGAGATATACAGCCAACACTTGAATGGGAGAGGAGCCCATGCTCTCAGAACACTGAAAGGGAGAGGGCTGCAAACATGAGGAAATAAAAAGGAACCACGTGGCTGAGCAAGAGCCCACCAATCAGCAATGACACTTAATCACCACCTACTAGATTGCAGCCCAAACTGCAACACCAAAATACTTTGAGAATTTACTCCCATGTGAAACAAAAGGCAAGAGGTCAACTACAAATGAAGACCCAGCACAAAGCCTTGGCCCTCTGAAAACATCCAGAAATGAAGCCAACTGACTGTACACAAATTACACCACACAGCTGAAGGAGTATCAGCACACATCTCACCACATGGATGAGAAAGAACCAGCACAAGAATTCTGGCAACTCTAAAAGCCAAAATGTATTCTTGTCCCTAAAGCCCCACATGAGGTTCCCCAGCAATGGTTCTTAACCAGAATGAAATGGCTGAAATGACAGAAGTAGAATTCAGAATCTGGATGGCAAGGAAGATCATCAGGATTCAGGACAAAGTTGAAACCCAAGCCAAAGAATTTATGGAATCCAGTAAAACTATCCAAGAGATTAAAGATGAAATACCCATTTTAAAAAGAACCAAACTGATCTGATAGAGCTGAAAAACTCACTACAAGAATTTCATAACACAATCAGGAGTATTAACAGCAGAATACACCAAGCTGAGGAACAAATCTCAGAGCTCAAAGACCAGTTCTTTGAATTAACACAGTTAGACCAGAATAAAGAAAAAACTGAAGAACATCTCCAAGGAATATGAGACTACATAAAGAGACAAAACCTATGACTGACTGACATTCCTGAAAGAGAAGAAAAGAGAACAAGCAACTTTGAAAATATATTTAAGGAAAATAACAACAAAAATTTCCCCATTCTCGCTAGAAAGGTCAACGTTCAAATTTAGGAAATTCAGAGGACCCCTGAGAGGTACTATAAAAGATCACCAGCTTCCAAGACATATAGTCATCAGATTCTCCAAGGTCAATACAAAAGAAAAAATGTTAAAGACAGAGAGAGAGAAGAGGAAGATCCCCTACAAAGAGAATCTCATCAGGCTAACAGCAGACCTTTCAGCAGAAACCCTACAACCTAGAAGAGATTGGAGACCTATATTCAACATCGTTAGAAAAAATAAATTACAACCAAAAATTTCATATCCAGCAAAACTAAGCTTCATAAGTGAAGGGGAAATAAAATCCTTTTCAGAAAAGCAAATGCCAAGGGAATTTGTTACCACCAGACCTACTTTACAAGAGGTCCTTAAAAAAGTGCAAAACGTGGAAACAAAAGGTTGTTACTGGCCACCACAAAAACACACTGAAATACATAGACCATTGAACTATAAAGCAACTATTCAATCAAATCTACATAACAACTACCTAATAACACGATGACAGGATCGAACCAGCACATATCAATCTTAAACCTCAATGTAAACATGCTGATGTCCCATTAAAAAGGCACAGATGGCAAGTTGGATAAAAGCAACACCTAAACAAATGCAGTCTTCAAGGAACCCATCTCACATTCAAGGACGTCCATAGGCTTAGGGGAAATGAATAGAGAAAGATCTATGAAGCAAGCAGAAAACAGCAGGGTTTTCTATTCTTATTTCAGACAAAGCAGACTTTAAAAAACAATGATCAAAACGTTCTAAGAAGATCATTACATAATAATGAAGGGTTCAATTCAGTAAGATGACTTAACCACCTAAATATGTATATATGCAACCAGTACTCAAGGACCCAGATTCATAAAACAAGTTCTTAGAGACTCACAGAGAGTCTCAGATAACCACGGAATAATAGTGAGATATTTCAACACCCCACTGACAGTACTAGATCAATGAGGCAGAATACTAACAAATATATTCAGGATTTAAACTCAACACTTGACCAAACAGACCTAATAGACATCTACAGAACACTTCACACAACAAGAAAAATACATTCTCCTTATATGGACATGACACTCTAAAATTAACCACATGCTCAGCCTTAAGGCAATTCTCAACAAATTCAAAAAACCTGAACCATACCATCCACACTGTCATATTACAGCACAATAAAAGTAGAAATCAATATAAACAAGATGTCTCAAAACCATACACTTACACTGAAATTAAAAAATCTGCCCCTGAATGGCTTTTGGGCAAATAATGAAATTAAGTCAGAAATCAAGAAATTCTTTGAAACTAATGAAAACTAAGATATAACATACTAGAATCAGGGACAAAGCTAAAGCAGTGTGAAGAGGAAAGCTCATGGTGCTAAACACCCAAATCAAAAAGTTAGAAAGACCTCACAGTAAGAACCTAACATCATACCTTGAAAAAGAAAAAAAGAAAGAGCAAACAAGCCCCAAAGCTAGCAGGAAAAAAGAAGCAAAATCAGAGCTGAACTGAATGAAACTGAGATGTGAAAAACCATAGGAGATGAACGAAACCAAAAGTTTTTTTTTAGTGAATAAAATTGTTAGACCACTAGATAGACAAATAAGGAAGTAAGAGAGAAGATCCAAACAAACACAATCAGAAATGACTAAGGGGACATTACCACTATCTCCACAGAAATACAAAAAACCCTCTGAAACTACTATGAACACCACTATGCACACAAACTAGAAAACCCTGAAGAAATTAATAGATTCCTGGAAACTTGCAATCTATCAAGATTGAACCAGGAAGAAACTGAAACCCTGAATATACCAATGTTAGTTTCCAAAATTGAATTCTTATTAATAATTAACAAAAAAAAAACTGACCAGAAAAAGCACTGGATAAGATGTATTCACAGCCTAATTGTAACAGATGTATAAATAAGAGCTGGTACCAACGCTACGGAAACTATTCCAAAAAAATTGAGGCAGAGGGATTCCTAACTCATACTGTGAAGCCAGCATCATACCAAAACCTCTCAGCGACACATCAAAAAAAAGAAAACGTCAGTCCAATATCCCTGATAAACACAGATGAAAAAATCCCCAACAAAATACTAGCAAACTAAATCCAGCAGCACATTAAAAAAGTAATACACCACTATCAAGTAGGCTTTATCCCTGGGATGCAAGGTTGGTTCAACATATGCAAATAAATCGATATACTTCATCACATGAAGATAACTGAAAACAAAAAAACATATTATCATCTCAATAAACACATAAAAAGCTTTCAATAAAATTCAACATCTTTGCATTTTAAAAACCCTCAACAAACTAGGCATTGAAGGAAATTGTCTCAGAATATAAGAACTATCTATGACAAACCCACAGCCAACAACACACTGAATGAGCAAAAACCAGAAGCATTTCCCTTGAGAACCAGAACAAGTCAAGGATGCCCCTCTCACCACTCCTTTCAACATAGTACTAGAAGTCCTAGCCAAAGCAATCAGGCAAGAGAAAGACATAGAAGGCTTCCAAGAGTCAACCTATCTCTTTTCACAGATGATATGATTTTATATCTAGAAAATCTCATTGTCTCTGCCCAAAGGCTCCTAGATCTGAGAAACAACTTCAGCCAAGTTTCAGAATACAAAATCAATGTGCAAAATTAGTAGCATTTCTATATAACATTAATGTCCAAGCTGAGAGCCAAATTCACAACAGCCACAAAAACAATAAAATACCTAGGAATACAGCTAACCGGGGTGGGGGGGCAGCGGTGGTGAAAGCTCCCTACAATAAGAATTACAAAATGCTGCTGAAGGAAATGAGAGATGACCCAAACAAATAAAAAAGATTCCACACTCATGGATAAGAAGGATCAATACTGTTAAAATGTCCATACTGCCCAAAGCAATTTACAGATTCAGTGTTATTCCCATCAAACTACCAATATTTTTCACAGAATTAGAAAAACCAATTATAAAATTCATAGGAAACCAAATATAGCCTAAATAGCCAAATCAATTGTAAGCAAAAAGAACAAACCTGGGGGCATCACATGACCTGACTTCTAACTATACTACAAGGTTATAGTAACTAAAATAGCATAGTACTGTTACAAAAACAGACACACAGACCAATGGGACAAATTAGAGAACCCAAAAATAAAGCCACCTACCTATAAGCATCTGATCTTCAACAAAGTCAACAGTAACAAGCAATGGGTAAAGAACTTCCTATTCAGTAAATCGTGCTGGGATAACTGGCTAGCCATATGCAGAAGATTGAAACTGGACCTCTTCCTTTTACCACATACAAAAATCAACTTAAGATGGATTAAAGACTTAAATGTAAAAAAAACTATAAAAATCCTAGAAGAAACTTGGAAATACTATTCTGGACATAGGGCCTAGCAAAGACTTCATTACAAAAACTCCAAATGCAATTGCAACAGAAACAAAAGTTGACAAATGGTACCTAATTAAGCTAAAGAGTGTCTTCAGGGCAAAAGAAACTATCAACAGAGTAAACAGACAACCTACAGGATGGGATAAAATATTTGCAAACTATGCATCTGATAAGGGTATAATATCCAGAATCCATAGGAAACTTAAACAAATCTAACAAAAGAAACAAACAACCCCATTATAGGAAACTTCAACAAATCTAACAAAAGAAACAAACAACCCCATTTTAAAAATGGGCAAAGGACATGAACAGGCACTTCTCAAAAAAAGACGTATATGTGGCCAACAAGCATATGAAACAATGGGCAACATCACTAATCATTAGAGAAATGCAAATCAAAACCACAGCAAGATATCATCTCACAGCTGTCAGAATGGCTATTATTAAAAAGTTATAAAACAACAGATGCTAGCAAAGTTGTAGAGGAAAGGGTACAGGTACACACTGCTGGTGGGAATCCAAATTAGTTCAATAACTGTGGAAAGTAGTCTGTAGATTTCTTAAGTTACTTAAAATCACATTACCATTCAACCCAGCAATCCTATTACCAGGTATATACACAAGGGAATGCAAATCTTTCCACCATAAAGACACATGCATGTCTATCCTCATCCCAGCACTATTCACGATGGCAAAGACATGAAATTAACCCAGATGCCCATCAACAGTGGAGCAGATAAAGAAAATGTGGTCCATATACACCATGGAATACTATGCAGTCATAAAAATGATGAAATTCTGTGCTTTACAGCAACAT
The DNA here is from genome assembly GCF_000001405.40 of Homo sapiens. Classification (NCBI taxonomy): domain Eukaryota; kingdom Metazoa; phylum Chordata; class Mammalia; order Primates; family Hominidae; genus Homo; species Homo sapiens. Next base: position 1,042,677 of record NC_000002.12, on the reverse strand, counting down.
GGATGGAGCTGGAGGCCATTATCCTAAGTGAGTTAATACAGGAACAGAAATCCAAACACTGGATATTCTCATTTGTAAGTGGGAGCTAAATACTGAGTACATATGGACACAAATAAGGGAACAACAGACATGGGTCTTACTTGAGGGTGGAGAGTATGAGAAAGGTAAGAATCAAAAACTACCTATTGAGTACTATTATTACCTGAGTGACAAAATAAGCTGTACACCAAACCCCCATGACACAAAACTTACCCCTCTAACATACCTGCACGTGTACCCCCGAACCTAAAACAAAAGTTGGAAAGAAAAGAAAGAAAATCATTAAAGAAATACTAGTTAAATTGAGAAATATTTGTGAATAAGAAGATGCAATAAAATGATGGCAAATGTCCCAAAATTGATCAATAGTCAATGTAATTCCAATCAAAGCATGAATTAGTTTGAAACTTGACAAAAAAGGCCCTAAAATTTAAGGAAATGTAAAGTCCCAAGAGGAGCTAATCCACCATTTTAAAAAAGAAAATTTGGTATCTGTCGTTAGTTCTAATATGCATTCATAATTCAGCATCTGTGAAATCAAGTTCTATCATACAACAGATGTTTCAAATTTCATTTGTAGCCTTAGTTCTTTGTAGTGTTACATAAAATAATGGTGTATGTAAATGTTAATGGCATCTTAGAACTGAAGAAATATGGTATTATTAAGTCATAATAATTGGAACTCTGGGAAAAAGATGGTGCAGGCTTAGAAAATCAACCAAAAGAACAGAACAGAGGACCCCAAATCAGCCCCATCATTCCAAGGAGACTTGATTTTGACAGGTATTGCTGACGGCTAGTGTGTTAGGCTGTTCTTGCCTTGCTATAAAGAAATACCTGAGACTGGGTAGTTTATGAGGAAAAGAAGTTAACCAGCCCACAGATCTGCAGGCTGTGTAGGACGCATGGCACCAGCATTGCTTGGCTTCTGGGGAGGCCTCAAGGAGCTTTGACTCACAGCAGAAGGTGAAGGCAGAGCAGGAGCAAGAGAGAGGCAGTGGGAGGGGAGGTGCTGCTCATGTTTACTCAACCAGATCTCGTGAGAACTCACTCACTACCAGGAGGACAGCACCAAGCCACGAAGAATCGGTGCCCATGACCCAAACACCTCCCACCAGGCTCCACCTCCAACACTGGAGATCACAATTCAACTTGAGATTTGGCAGGGACAAATATCCAAACTATATCGGCTAGCAATAAAAATAAACTGTACTGAGGCAATTGATTATACACATGAAAAAACAACAACAACAAAAACAGTAGATTGGATCCTTACTTAAGTCTAGACATGTTAAAGACTTTAAGTTGAAAGCTTTTAAAATAAAGATCTTCCTGACTGTTGGGGCTTAGCAAAGTTTCCTTGCAGGCAGAAAAAGCAAACACCACGTGGTAAAGGCTGACAAATCCAACTATGGTTAACTGTTCTTTACACTAAGCACCGCACTGAGAGCAACACAAACAAAACTGCAGGTGAAGGTGTCTGCAGCACACACAGTGAGAATTCGCCCTAGAAAGTACAGGATATGTAACATGCTGCGGGACAGATGCAGAGAGGCCACTTTCCCTCTGAAGAGGAATCACACACCTTAGCATGTGCCTGACAAAAGGTATTCCCTTTTCTCTGCCAGTCCCGGAATTTAACATTAGCCTCCACCAAAAAGCCGTCTGATTCACTTGACTGAGGGCTTCACTGCTTCCACTGGACAGAAAAAGCAAACTGAACATGAAGCAAACTCAGAAATCAAACAGCTGCTCTGATGGCACAGCCGGGCTCCATCACACAGGCATATTTTTGAAGCATAATTAATATCAAACGTCAAGGGTGGCAGGACAGGGAGGATTTAGTTATTCTGCTACTTACACTGTCATTATGCGTTTTAGCCTCTTCAGAAATGAGGTTTCTTCATCACGTCTTTTGAAATGCTTCATACCATCAGGTATGATGTTAAGGAAAAACATCTAAATTGGTTTTTGTTTGAAGCATGAAAAAGGGAAATTCATGTTTCAGGAAGCAAAGTTTTTCTATTATCAACAGGTTAATGTGTTTGGTAGATCAATGTGGATTTCGGCAATGGCCGGCAGAAACTCCAACCAGAAAGACCCCTGAACTTTACTGACTTTCCCTGGAGGCCAGAGGAAGTCAGAGCCTTGGAGCCAGTCAGTGCAAAGGTGGGGCTGGACAGGGCAAGGTACTGAAAGCAGAGGTGGCGGGAAGGGGAAAGCTGGAGAAAGACAGGAGGAAAGAGGGCCATGGGAGCCGGAATCCGAGGAGAGGTTTAGGCTATAGGGAGGCGAGCAGGTGAGGGCCAGAGAAGGGGTTCTCAAACTGGGGTCCCCAGTGGAATGGCCTGGGAAGCTTCAAAACTCCCCATGCCTGGGTTCCGCCCACAGGGACTCTGGTGTCACTGGCGTGGGGTGCAGGAATTTATCCTGCCTGCAGGTGATTCTATGGGACAGGCAAGTTAACAACAATTGACTGTAAGAGAATGATGCAGGCGTAAGTGGCAGCCCCCACAAGCGTGCCTGGAAAGGAGCTGCAGGTGAGGACAGAGGCCCCAGTGTTCATGTGACCCGCACAGGCCAATCCTGCAAAGCAGATCTGGGATAAGAATAAGGAATGCCTGACCCCAGAGACCTTCTCTTTCAACTGAAGCCCTCTGACAGCCAGCTCAATCCCAGAGTGTCCCATCTGCTCAGAGCCAAAAGGAGCCCAGAGGTTCACAGCGTGTGCCCAGGACAGCCGCCAGCCTCCTGTCTGCAGAAAGATGGAGAAGGTTAAACAGGTCCCCCACAACCCTTCCAGAGCAGGGCTGACAGCCCTGAAGTGAGGCTGCACACACAGCTTCCCAGTGATGTTATTAGGAGCAGCTGCACAGCTTCCCAGTGGTGTTATTAGGAGCAGCGCTTATATTTTTCCATAATCCAGAAAAAAATGTCAATAAATAGGTCTTTTATGACTTGGCTTTAAAATTTGTAGAGAGCCAAACGCCAGTCATGATCATGCCGTACCATACCAGTGTCTGATAAAAAGAGACTGATTCTGCCATCCCCCCAAGATTGATGGCCCTCAAAGAAAACAAGGAAGACCAGTCAATAATGACCTACTTAGGGGGCATTTTCAAAGAAAAATAATGGTAGAACTTCATGCTGTTGAATGACTCCTATTTTTGTAAAAATGGAATGCTGAAATAAGTCACAAAGATCAAAAGACTTTTTAACAAAATGGCATAACATTTGAATAATCTGAATTTGACACACAGAAAGCATTTCAATGTTATTTAAAATAGACGTCTACCTGCTTAAACGGTATTTAAAATGCAATCTAATTGTGAGAAAAAATGGAAGGAAAGGCTTGTACACATATTTCAGAGTCAGAGAATGCATTAAAACTATCACAAGAAAATAAAGGAATTGTTATTTATCATTACTAAAAATCAACTGTCAGTCACTCAGACAACTACTGTTGAAGTTGTCAAAACATTTCTTTATATACCTTAACTGGGAATTTTTATCATTGATTTCAAAATGCAGAATTAAAGATAAACCCTAATTACTGTATAAAAGATACTATCACCTTCAGAAATGAGTCTGTGGGAGCTTTATGCACACTCCATATGAACTTACAGATTTGCAAAGTGGAAGATGTGGCCAAGATGCATGTTTTTCAATAAAGATGTTGTTCTTATAAAAAAGGTAGAAGCATAACAATATGAGCTCACTTGGGAAGAATAAACTGCAGGTGGAAAAGGATGAAAAACAGGCAGTGGATCTAAATCTTCCCAATGTGCCACATAGTTCATTAGATGCCACATTTGACTGTGAAATTAAATTAAGACTAGGCTTCTAGCTTTCCTTTAAATAATAAAAACTTTAGTTACTTGATTTACCAGGCTTTTCATGCTCACTTGAACCATCTGCAAAACTGTTACAAAGGTGAGCTTGAACTTGAGTTCCACGTGTCAAAACAATTACAGTTACTATTTTATAAGCAAGTTCTTTAGAAGATAAATCCTCTCGAATAATAGCTAAGATTTATCTTATCCATGTTGAATTTCTTTGAATTTTAACTTATTTAAAAGGAAAATGGCAGAAAAGGTTAATTTGGATGCTGCCAAACATGAACAAAAGGAAGACAGAACTGTAGGAGGGGCTATGACTTCAAGGAAGGCGGAGCTTCCTCGGGTCCATGACACAATACTTTGAGAAGTCACTGTTCATTTCACATACAAGTTTAGATATCCCAGGATTACATTTTCCCCTACAATTAGCTGTGGGCTTTATTTTTGCCAGTCTGAAAGTAGAAACTCCTAGGTTCATTCTATGAGAACGTGGTTACAGAAAATGAATCTTGCCCAAAATGTATTATGGAAATAATACACAGATATCTTCCTTATTGAATACTGACAGCAGTTCAGCTTTAAAAGAAAACCAAGTATGAAATTGGTCATGAGGCCATGAATTTTATTTGTAAAGATGATCAAGTAGAACCAAAGTTAAGCAAACACCTCTGACCAAAAGTAGGGCCAGGTTTTGACAACGGATACATAATTGCTCAGACGTGAGGGAACTTTCATATACCACTGGGAGGAATACAAAATGCCACAGTTGTTTTGGAAAACAGTCTGAAAACTCTTCCACAGATGAGAAGCAGAGTGACCATGTGACATAGCAAGCCCACCCAAGTACATACCCAAGAGAAGCAGAAACTCAGGTCCACACCAAAGCTTGAACACCACCGTCCACAGCCTCAGGATTCATAACAGCCAAGCTTAAAGACGACCAGAAAGTCCATCCCTCATGAGTGGATAAATAACATGTTGTAGCCATAAAATGGAATATTATTCAGCAATCAAAGAAAATGAAGAACTGATTCATGCAAACAACAAAAATGAACCCCCAAAACATGATGCGAAGTAGAAGAACCCAAACACAAAAGACCAGACGTCCTATGTTATGTGTATATAAAGCATCAGACGTCCTATGTTCTGTGTATATAAAGCACCAGACGTCCTATGATTCTGTGTATATAAAGCACCAGACGTCCTATGATTCTGTGTATATAAAGCCTCAGAAGTCGCAAATCCAGAGAGGCAAAAAGCAGGTCCCTGGTGGCCAGGGACTGGGGCAGGGAGCATGCAAAATGGCTGTAAATGGCTTCTTTCTGGGGTGATGGAAATGGTCTAAAACCTATTGTGCCAAAGGCTGCACAACTCTGTGAATATAATAAAAACACTGAATCACACCCTTTAAATCCATGTCTGGCTCAGATCTGTGGGCCAGGGCTATGGCAGCATAGCCTGGGGATGTGGATTCCTCCTTCAGAGAACAGGCAGGGAGGCATGGGGTGAGGAATAGCCTCGGGTGTTAGCCCCCACTGCCTTGGTGTCCCAAAGGACCCAGACATGGTCCAGCTGGCTCTGGGTCAGGTTTTGACCTGTTGTGGGCTCCGCACCACAGAGAGAAGCAGAAGGCAGATGGAGAGCCCTGAGTGCTGACAGAATGTTCCCACTTGGCCACAGAAATGGCAGCGTGCAGCTGCGAGCCACTCAGACTTGGTGGGTTTCTACTTTGCTTGTGCTCCATGGACCAGTGAACTTCAGGCAGCCACCTGCAAGGCACGGGTGCCCCTGGGAGCTGAGTCCACCCCATACTGCCCTCACCTCCAGGTCTGGCAGCACATGATGTGGGCACAACCCAGGCTCCTGAGTCTCTCACATGGTGAGACACTATAGGATGAATGCCCTGTTCTCACCAGGCTAATAAGACGCAGAGAGAGAGACACGGTATTCTGAAAGAACTAAGCTCAAGACAAACGCTGGGCAAGGTCTTGTTTACCTTTGATAAGGGGAATATTGCAGACAGTGAGATTTAAATCAGTGCGTATTTTAACAACATAATTAACACAATTGGGGGATCAGCTGGAAAAAATCACAGAACAATTATAACAAACAAAACCATTATTAAAGATACTTTATGACATTTCTAATTTAATGTTGTGATACCACTTAAGAAAATGTCACTTCTATAAACCCAGGCAGAAAGGAATATGGGTAAAATAACCTGCCATAGAAACATAGAATCAAATTAAAAACCACAGTGGGGAGTGTGACTAGCTATGTACAATTTTAATTAAAGTGTCAATTTTCTTTGAAAAATTAAATTATCAAAACTTAAGTAGGTTTTAAAACAATATGAGATCTTAGAAATTTATCAGAGTCACTTTTAGACTCAAGGCAAAGACTGATTATAGTTGAATTCTTCTAAACGTTTGAGAAAAAAATACTATGCCTTGTAAAGAATATCAGAGTATAGATAAGAGGAAGTGATTCCTGCTATGTTTGAAAAAAAATAAAGAAAAATGTGACAAATATAGAAAAGAAAGAAATAAAGAACAAATCTCCCCTTTTAATATAAGCAGAATATCTCTTTCTCTCCAAGAAAATATAATCTACAAGTACAATGAAAGAATAACACCAAATATATGAGGAGTTCTGTCAGCAGAAGCTGATGCTAATAAACCGTAAGTTAAAAATCACCTAGAAAAACCAAGAGACAAAAATCTTATGAGCCTATTAACAGATGGCAAAAAGTTTAAACATATTTCCACTATCATCACTACCATTTAACAAGGTTACAGAAAAATCCCAGTCAAATTAATAAGGTAGGAAATACAATTATGATGTTTAATGATTTGTAAAGAAGGGAAAATAATTATCATTATTGGCGGACAGTGTAATTGTTTATTTTGGAAAAAAATAGATTTCCCATGTAGACAAATACTCATGTTCCATCTCCATCCCCTTCAGATAAGATGTGCAGACAAAATAAAAACAAAAACACACTGAAGATAAATGCAAATATACAAGAGTTGAAAATAAAAGACTTTAGATATATAAAGTAGGCAAATATGAACCCCAAAAGGAGGATCGTGCCCATTTAAAACTGTTTAAACAGATTTTCCAGCAACAAAAACAAAACCCATGAGAACAACTAAACACTGGTGAAATGAACAATAAATCAAGAAGATATAGCAACCAACACCATATGCAAACCCAGCAAGCATTCCAAATAAAACACCGGCCGCTGAAGTACACAATGAGCATCTTTAGAATTGCAGCTGGAGAGTTGGTTCCAGTCCTTTTTGGTCCATCTCTTGATAGAACAAATGGAGGGAAATAAGTAGCGGTACAAAAGATTCAGATAACAAAATTAAGAATCTTGAAAGTAACCCTCAATACATTTTATAATACTCATTCTACAGCACCATAGAGCACTGCCAGGATCAGTTACAGACAATCATTGCCAGTCAGACTCTGCCTGCCTGTCACAGGGCAACAGAATTCCACTCCCTGATGAGAGAAGAGCCTCAGACACTCAGCAAATACAATATTGAATGCTCCTTGACTTGGAGGAACAATAACGAAGGAAGCAATGCACTGAATAAAATAAAGGATTGTTGTATCTTTGTTCTCATTAATTTCAAAGAACTTCTTGTTTTCTGCCTTAATTTCATTATTTACCCAAAAGTCATTCAGGAGTAGTTTGTTTAATTTCCATGTAATTGCATGGCTTTGAGTGATGTTTTAAGTCTTGGCTTCCATTTTTATTGCACTGTGGTTGAGAGAGTGATTGGTGTGATTTCAGTTGCTTAGCATTTGCTGAGGATTGTTTTATGTCCTACTGTGTGGTCTATTTTAGAGCATGTACCATGTGGTGATGAGAAGAATATTCTATTGTGGTTGGGTGGAAAGTTGTTTAGAGGTCCATCAGATCCATTTTGTCCAGTACTAAATTCAGGTCCTTAATGTCTTTGTTAATTTTCTGCCTCAATGATCTAATACTATCAGTGGAGTGTTGAAGTCTCCCATTATTATTGTGCGGGAATCTAACTCTCTTTGTAGGTATCTAATGAAAAAATGCTCAAGATTGCTGATCATTAGAGAAATGCAAATCAAAATCACAATGAGATACCATCTCACACCAGTCAGAATGGCTACTATTAAAAACTCACAAAATAACAGATGCTGGTGATGTTGCAGAGAAAAGAGAACACTTATACCCTGTTGGTGGAAGCGTAAATTAGTTCAACCATTGTGGAAGGCAGTGTGGTGATTCCTCAAAGATTGAAAAACAGAACTACCATTTGACCCAGCCATTGCATTACTGGGTATATACCCAAAGAAATATAAATCGTTCTATTATAAAGAAAGATGTATGCATGCATATGTTCAATGCAGCGCTATTCACAATAACAAAGACATGGAATCAACCAAATACTCATCAGTGGTAGATTGGATAAAGAAAATGTTGTACATATACACCATGGAATACTATGCAGTCATAAAAAAGAATGAGATCAAGTTTTTTTGTAGGAATATGGATGGAGCTGGAGGCCATTATTCCAAGCAAACTAACCCAAGAACAGAAGGCCACTTATAAGTGGGAGCTAAATGATGAGAACACATGAACACAAAGACACTGGGCCCACTTGAAGGTGGAGGGTAAGAGGAGGGAGAAGATCAGAAAAAAAATGCTACTGGATACTGGTTTAATACCTGGGTGACAAAAACCTGTACAACAAACCCGTGACATGAATTTACCCATATACAAACCTGCACATGTACCTCTAAACATAAAAGTTAAAAATATATTTTTAAAAAGAAAGAGAAATAAAAAACAAGAAAGAAGAAAATAATATTTCAAGTTTTATGAAATCACTATACTTAACACATTCATTTAAAAAAATCAGTTTCTGGTGGGGTTAGGAAGAAACTGGAAACACTCATGTGTTATTGCAGGGAGCACAGGCTGGACCAGTAACTAAGCCAAACAATCTTGAGTTACTTTGTGAAAATGCCTGTGAGTGTAGACTACAACACAGTAATCTCAATCTTGGGTATGAGAAGCCTGTCCACAGGTCCACAGGGAACTTCTACTCCAAGGTCAATCCAGACCTCCACAAGAGCAAGACAGCAGACTGGCAAAAATTGTTGGCCACAACTTTTTCAGGACTCCAAAAGTTGATCAAAGGCTAGCAGTGATCAGAGGAGATTTTACTAAGCAAAGTATCTGAACGCTGGGAAGAGTAAGCTTTATGATATTTTAACATACCCTGTTTCCATCCCCGTCTCCACAGCTCTGCAGCAGCCTTCAACACCAGCGGCCTCACAGCTGTAGTAACTGTGCCACAGGCAACGTAGCAGCCCTTGAAGAAGGGACAGGCATTTGTGGAGTTTCTCCAAAAGTCCCATCTCCAAAAAACTGTCAGAATTGGATCTGACCAGCAACCCCCTGGAAGGCTCTACTCTCTGGACTTGTCTTTGTTGACCTGACTCAGAGCTTCCTCTGCAGGACAACACCCTCCCAGGGCATCTGTCAAAAGCAGTCAGTGGCCACTGTTTAGCATCACAATTGCCTGAGGCTGCAGTACCAACTGGGATGCTGTTTCCTCCAAATCTCATGTTGAGGTGTCATCTCCAATGTTGGAGATGGAACCTGGCGGAGGCAACTGGATCATGGGTGCATATTTCTCGTAAGTGGTTCAGTGCCATCCTCTTGGTGCTGTTCTTGCAATAGTGAGTGAGTCCTCTCAAGATGTGACTGTTTAAAAGTGTGTGACATCTCTCCCCTCTCTCACTTCCATTCCCACCATGTGACATGACTGCCCCAGCTTTGCATTCTGCCGCGATTGGAAGATTCCTGAGCCTTCCCCAGAATCTAGGCAGATGTCAGTGCCATGCTCGCACAACCTGTAGAACTGTGAGCCAAATAAACCTCTTTTCTCAGCTATTTCTTTATAGTGACACAAGAATGATCTAACACAGTGACCAAGGGTAGATACACCCTTGATGTATCTACCAATGAGGTACATTGGAATACACCAAGGGTGTATCTACCAATGAGGTAGATACAAAGTAACTAACTCAAACTGTTTAAGAGCATTTGCAAACAACCCACAGATAATATACTTAATGGTGAAAACTACATGTTGTCCTTCTTAATTCAGAAACATGAGGAAACTGGCCAATTCTTGGCATGATTCTTATTTTACTTTTGCAGACATCTTGGGCATAAAGGATATCTTATCATTATGTGAATTTAAATGTATCAAATAAGTTAGGGAACAATTGAAAGTGTCCCAATTACCCATTACCTGAGTTCCCTTGCCTATACCTGTTTATATTTTTGGGCTATCTAAAATTTGGGCTTATTCATTTATCTTGTAGATTTGCTACAGATTCCTGATATATGTGCGTGCGTGTGTGTAGTTTCGTTTTCATTTTTAGACTTTAGGAACATTTTGTAATCTGTCATTTCTCGGTTACATTTATTCACTGTGTGTTTCACTGTACAGTGTAATCTGGCCTACTTATTTGGCTTTTGCGGTTTTGCTTAAGAAGTTCTTGGTCATATCAATCATGAGGCGCCGTGCTCCCGTGCCCCAGCCCGTGGTCCCGCTGCAGCGTTGTTCCATTGTTAGGGCCCTGCCTGCCCGTGTTTCACTTTGGTGTTGATGACGCTTCATTTCAGGTCCCCCTTCCACCTGTCACAAGCAATGCTGTCAGTAGCTACTTTTATTTAATAATTACTTTAATTATATATAATTCACATACTATACAGCCCACCATTTTTAAATTTAAAATTCAGATTTTTACTGTATTCACAGAGTTGTGCAACCATCACTGCTAATTTTAGAACATTTCCATTACCCCAGAAACAAACCCTGTGCCCATTAGCAGTCAGTCCCAATTTCCCATCGCTAGGAAATGCAAATCTACTTTCAGTTTCTGTGGATTGACCTATGCATGATATTTCATGTGAATGGGATCACACAACATGAGGTCTTTTCCATCTGGCTTCTCTCTCTTCGAATATTTTCAAGTTTCATCTGTGTTGTAGCATGTATCAGTACTTCATTACTACATAGAAATGTGAAACAAATTAGCTGGGCGTGGTGGGACGTGCCTGTAATCCCATTTACTCAGGAGGCTGAGGCAGGAGAATTGCTTGAACCCTGGAGGCGGAGGTTGCAGTGAGCCAAGATCGCACCACTGCACTCCAGCCTGGGCAATGGAGTGAGATTTCGCCTCAAAAAAAAAAAAAAAAAAAATATATATATATATATATATAACAATGAACTATATATACAAATAGCCAAACACATAAAATTTTAAAACTGCTGAGTGAAAACCATGAGAAACCATATGAGACTATAAGTCTATTCATGTCAATTAAAGCACATCTTAGGAAGCTACAATTAGAGTGTGCCCATCTGACACTCTGAGGACTGTTCCCTGAGAGGGGAGGAAATGGGAGCATGAACAGAAAACACCAGAGAAGAACCCTGCACAGACCAGCGACAGACCTGTCTCCAACCGTGTAACTCAACAACTCAACCCTCTGCACGTAAAGTCCACTCAACAAAAACAAAACCAAGGATCTCCAGAAGTCAGGTGGCTGCTTTTATATTTGCTACCTAAAGTAAACATTTCAAAATATGTTAAATTTCACACTGTTTCATGCAATATTGGAGCCTGCAAATTCACTAATTTGGGATTCCTCTCAGAACCTCTTTGCTTTCATAGACTCTGCCATACAAGACTGGAACAGAAGTATTTATTGGTGTTTTTACTTAAGAACCTGTCTAACTAGCTAACTACCACTTGCTTAAAGAATAATCCCTACAACATGTTGGTATCTTCGAATTTCACAACTGCAGCTTAAAAGAGTTCATAAAAGTGGAAATCAGTGAATCTGGGGTCACACGAATAGTCATCGGTGCACGTGGCTCTTCTGCAGCAGAACCATGGATTTCTTCCTTTGTCAACAGGAAAAAAGGAAATCAGTAAATGCACAGTTTTATGGTACACTTGAGAAAGTTCCAGAAGGTGAATACAATGTAATACACATAACATGTTGCCAACATATTTTTACTTATTTTGAAATAATTGTAGATTTTTGAGAAGATGGAAAATGAGTGTACAGCAGTGCTCAGTACCCTTCACCATGCCTCTGACAGGAACACCTAACCTACTGTAGGTTTATGACTGAGAAAAGGCCATGACTGACATGGCCAAAGTATAATGCTGACCATCAAATGCTCACTGGCACACGTGTGGACAGCTCGGTGTTGTTTAATCACAGCTGCACATGTGAGCAGCCTCCAATAAGTACATCTTGTTGTGTGTTTGTACCATCCATGTGTCATCACAGGCCAAGTGTCTCTGTGTGTCCCTTGCCCTTTTTTTAATTGAATTGTGTCTGACCACAGCTACATTTGAAATTAAGATCATGTGGCCCAGGGATCAAGTGGCTCCCACAGTTTCCTCTGAAATCCTCCTTTCTAAGCACGAAGCACGTCTCTAACACACGCACTGCACCAGGCACAGTGGAAGGCGGCATGACTGCACAGCTCAAGAAGTTCAGCATCAAATACAGCCAGTGACACAGGAAAATGCAAACAGCTAAAGCAACAACCAGTGCATGCAATGAGAGCTACAAGTTATTTATGATCGATGTACAAAAGAAGGAAAGGTCACTTCCGAAGGGGCAAGGAAGCATCCCTAAGACAACCTGCAGCCACTCAAGGTGTAGATAGAAGAGATGAAGGAGGCAGCATGCAGGGAAAGGGAATGGCTGCCGAGTCACTCTGCATCAACAGCTTCTATTTAGCGAGAGTGTAAAACACTGGAAATGATACAGGAACGTAAGATGTGAAAGGTAAGATGATGCCTAACAGGGAAAAGCCAGAGTACTTGACTAGAAAGAGGTCAGGTGTGAGTTACTTGGGCTGCCACTGTAGGTTTATGACTGAGAAAAGGTCACCACTGAAGGTTCTGGAAAGGTGACTCTTGCCAATGACATGCATCAAGGTCTAAGAAGAGTCAGGGCTGACTTAGCAGAGGATGAGATGGCACAGGAGCACTGAGGGGGCACCAGAATGAGTGCACCTTGGCGGCGACAGCAGCTTAAGTCTGGAAGGAATGAGACGGGACCAGAACGTGTAAGGTCATGCTCTCACGCATGGTCTCAGGGTGTAACGCCAGAACTATGGAGAACTCATGTGTCAACTGATCAGGACAACATTGCTGATTAGCGGAAACTTCTACAATGACCAAATTCCATTTCTTAATTTCCTTCAAAAAGGAATTATTCAAGCATAACCAAGCAGCATAACCAAGGGGTCTTATTATTCTTAGATACTATTATTCAATAATGCAATAAACCAAAACCTGACACTGTGAATTTATTTAGACATGTTATAGCTTGTTTAATCAAGTGTCAAGTATATTTCTTGTACCACTGCAATATATTTTCCTGACCTCCCTCACCTGCAAAGAAAATCAGTCTTTTTTGTGTTAATTACCACCTCCTCTTAGTCATTTAAAAATTGTAAATCAAACTAGCCTCCTATAGTTAGCTGAGACTTTTGGTAACGTACCAATTCTAAGTTGAAACATAAAAGTAAATATGAATTATTTATAGAAATAAACTGGGGTTTTCGATATATGATTTGGGGAGATAAAGATAAGTAGGCTGGGGTTGCTGGAAAGCCCGGAAACGTGGGGGCCTGCTGTCCAGGCCGCCGGAGCCCCTCCCGATCCTGCCTGAAGCCACACTCCAGCCTGGACAGAAGGTGCATGCCTCCACATTTCCCAAGAGCCAGTGGCAGGGCTTTTGCTCTTGGAGATGAACATGGGACAGCACATTACTAAAAACTCTAGACTCTAGAACTGGCCTGGTCCTATTAAAAAGTAGATACAAATTCACTGTAAAAGCGTGTAATATAGCACAAAAATGCACACAAACGGAACAGTACCCATCCTGCTTAGAAGCGCAGGGTGAGAAGAATCCCTGGCTTTCATGCAAATGTGATTAGCATTTAAAAAAAAAAAAAAAAGGAGGTTGCCTGGAAAACAGATGCAGAGGCAGAGAGGACCAGGAATGTGTTGGAGTTCTAACTACTCAGTGTTGTAAGACCCAGAGTCTTTTCGAGTAAAGCATAAGGAAAGATAGATCCACATGAAGGGAAAGCAGAGGGTTTCTGGACCTTTCAAAGAAGAGAAAGCTGAGAAGGTTTGGACATTGTAAGTGACTGACACCAGGCCTCCCGTCTAGAGGGAAATGAGCCTGACCCGAGGAAGGAAGCTTCTCAGCCAGCATTCGGAACCAGCTGTGGGGATTTTAAACACTACAGATGTCCATTCAGGTGCTACCCTATCAGGATACCTGCAGTCAGTGAATACCCAGGTATTTCTAAAGGTTCAGTAAGCGTAGGATGTGCAGCCAGAGCTTAGTGTCTGTGGGTCAGATGCACCTTCAATGATGCACCTGCTTATCTCTTTACTCAACAGAGATGCATGAGTTACTTACTGGGTAGTGTCTGTGGGTCAGACGCACCTTCAGTGATGCACCTGCTTACCTCTTTACTCAACAGAGATGCATGAGTTACTTGCTGGATAGTGATTGTGGGTCAGACGCACCTTCAGTGATGCACCTGCTTATCTCTTTACTCAACAGAGATGCATGAGTTACTTGCTGAGTAGTGCCTGTGGGTCAGAGGCACCTTCAATGATGCACCTGCTTATCTCTTTACTCAACAGAGATGCATGAGTTACTTGCTGGGTAGTGTCTGTGGGTCGGACGCACCTTCAATGATGCACCTGCTTATCTCTTTACTCAACAGAGATGCATGAGTTACTTGCTGGGTAGTGTCTGTGGGTCAGATGCACCTGCTTATCTCTTTACTCAACAGAGATGCATGAGTTACTTGCTGGGTAGTGTCTGTGGGTCAGACGCACCTTCAGTGATGCACCTGCTTATCTCTTTACTCAACAGAGATGCATGAGTTACTTGCTGGGTAGTGTCTGTGGGTCAGACGCATCTTCAATGATGCACCTACTGACCTACTTACTCAACAGAGATGCATGAGTTACTTGCTGGGTAGTGTCTGTAGGTCAGACGCACCTTCAGTGATGCACCTGCTTATCTCTTTACTCAACAGAGATGCATGAGTTACTTGCTGGGTAGTGTCTGTGGGCCAGACGCACCTTCAGTGATGCACCTGCTTATCTCTTTACTCAACAGAGATGCATGAGTTACTTGCTGGATAGTGACTGTGGGTCAGACGCACCTTCAGTGATGCACCTGCTTATCTCTTTACTCAACAGAGATGCATGAGTTACTTGCTGGGTAGTGTCTGTGGGTCAGACGCACCTGCTTATCTCTTTACTCAACAGAGATGCATGAGTTACTTGCTGGGTAGTGTCTGTGGGTCAGACACACCTTCAATGATACACCTGCTTATCTCTTTACACAACAGAGATGCATGAGTTACTTGCTGGGTAGTGTCTGTGGGTCAGACGCACCTGCTTATCTCTTTACTCAACAGAGATGCATGAGTTACTTGCTGGGACCAGGGAGCACTGTGGGCCCGGGAGCATCTCCAGGAAACAAGCAGACGAGATCCCTGTTCTCTCCAGGGTGCAGGCAGTGAGCAGATGTAGGGGAGAGCTGTTTTTAGGGTGTGCAAGAAGCACATGGAAAAGAGTCACGGGACACAGAGAACTAACTGCAGCAGCAAGAGTGGCCAGGATGGAGGGGCTCCCAGCATCACACAAGGGAGCAAGGGTAGCACGATGGAGGCTGAGCCAAGTTACTGTGGAAGAACCACTCTGTCTGCTATGCAGATACTAAGCCAAGGAGTGCAGACAGTAAATCAGCAAGGCTGCTGTGCAGACACTAAGTCAGGAGAGAAGGAGGCCAAGGGCAGGGGGAGGCCACAGGCAAAAGGAGGAGGCAAAGAGCAGGAAGAGGAAGGGCAGGCCAAGGGCAGGAGGGGGCTCCTGCATTCACCCAGTGAGAGAGGATGGCACTCAGACCATTTGCCATGGGAGACAGAGGTGGAATCGGGGTATTTTTAAAAGGCAGAGCAAGTGGGTTATTCCGAGGGTTGTTTCCTGAGCTCCATTCCATGCACAAGGCTACTCGGGAGAATGAGACATGCTGGGTGAGTGCAGGGTTGTCAACAATTTCATGCCTAGGAAAACACGAAGAGCCATCCATGAATATTTAATCTCAAAACTCTAGCCCGTACAATGATATCTCCCTCACTTTTTTTCCTAGCAGTTTTATTTATTTGTGTTTTTGGATGTTGGCAAATGACATCTTATAATTTCCTAAAACTATTGTCAGAGGGCTAAGTCCCTGTACTGGTAACTCTAATGAGTTCTTTATGCACTGAATAGCAGATTCTGAATTAATGCCAAAAACTGCATAAAATTTGGAAGGAGGAGAACAAGTCCTCTCCCCTGCGTGTTCTTCAGTGTTCACGCTAAGTGCTGAAGAGGAACGCCAATTGAGAGTCTGATTAATAATCCTGAATTACCATAAAACAATGCTAGAGTGGGGTTCAATTAAAAGACACGTGTCTGCATCTGGTGTTGGAGCACTGGGAAAATCAACAACAACAACAAACTTTTCAAAATTATCCAGTAACAAACAAAGCTGCTTGCTTTTCCAGAAACTGATTAACAATTCATATTAAAATTACTCATTACATTTGGACTGGTTTTAAAGAATGCATTTTAACTTCTATAAACATGCAACAAAACAAAACAAAATGCCAAATTAGTTTGTAATGCTGACTTAAAACTCCTGGGCTTAACAACTAGTTCAGCAAGTCAATTATTCCTGCAGAGCCCAAATTTTCAAATCTCTCAAATGCGGTTGACCAGTCTCAGGGTCTCATGAATGAATGAATGAATGAATGATGCTGTCTATGTTAGGCAAAGGCCCCCACAAAAATATCCACATCTGCAGAGCCTGTGAATGTCACATAGCAGGGGGACATTGCAGATGAGACTCAGGCTTGTGAGATGGGGGTCATCCCGGATGACCCAGAGGGCCCAGTGTCATCACAGGGGCCTCCATAAGGCAGAGAGGGGACAGGAGGGCCAGGGTCACAGTGAGATTTGGAGACGCTGCACCGCTGGCTGTGAAGATGATGTGAAGATGGAGGACGTAGCCAGGAGCCAAGGCGCACAGGCAGTCTCTAGAATCCAGAGGAAACAGATTGCCCTCCAGAATTTCCAGAAAGAACGCAGTCCTGCCGATACCTTGATTTTAGCCTAGTGCAACCCATTTTAGACTTCCTACCTCCAGAACTAAAAATATTAAGTTTGTGCTCTGCAGTAAAAAACAGCAGCCATGGGAAGCGAATCCCCCATGCTCTTCTCATCATAGGAATTCTAGAAGTGCCGCACAGGTCCACAGCCATCTCCTGCATGCAGAAGTCCCTGTGTGGCTGCCCTGCCTGGATTCCATGCACCCATATCTCCTGCCACCCTCACCCCGTCCTGTGCTATGTTTACCAACCGGGCCCTTGTTCTATTCCATGAGTCTCTTGAAGTTGCTCCCAGCTGGGATGGCATGCTTCTTCCTGCTCAAGCACTACTCAGACCCTGCATTACTCATCATCCCTAGGGGAAAACACTGAGGCAAGAACTTGGATCTACTCTTTCTGTTAAGCTCTACAACATCCCTTCAGTGTTCTGGTGGGGAACATAGTTTGATTTTGGCAGTGTGAGTGGGGGTGTTTCATATTTTGATCTTTTAGATAAGTTATCTAATCCACGTAGAGTGTATGTAGCAGATCTTGACAATATTTCAAAATAACTAACATTATATCCTGCCATTTATTTCATTATCCCATAGAGTGCACTAACAAGTAATCATATTGTAAGTATTAGTTTCTGCTTTCTTTTTATTTCTTGGTAGAGTACACAATGTGGACCTGTATTACCTATGTCACCTCAGTGCCACCTTGCTTGACAATGTTTTGACATTTGCTAGTGTAAGTCACTGCTTTATTACTTTATTTTTCAAAGAGCCTTGGGTATTAATTCTCATCTTTTCATTATTGCAGGTAAATTTCAGAATCAATATTTTCATTAAAAATAGTCTTGGGTGGGCACGGTGGCTCATGCCTGTAATCCCAGCATTTTGGAGGGTGAGGTGGGAGAATCGCTTGAGCCCAGGAGTTGAAGAACAGCCTGAGCAACATAGTGAGACCACACCTCTACAAACAATTTTAAAAAATAATTGTCCAAGTGTGGTGGCGTGAGCCTGTGGTCCCAGCTACTCAGGAAGCCGAAGCAGGAGGACTGCTTGAGCCCAGGTGGCCAAGGCTACAGTGAGCCATGATCATGCCACTGCACTCCAGCCTGGGCAACAGATGGAGACCCTGTCTAAAAAAACTTAGTCTTCATGTTTTTATCAGAATATATTTAAAGTATAATTTCACTTATAGAAAAAATAAATAATAACCTTCTGTCACATCACATCATGTATGGCTTAGTTAAGTTTTATATTTATTTAAATATTTGTTTTCTTCATATTGGTCCCTCACTTTTAGTATTACGATTTTTCAAATAAATATCTTTTTCTGCTTCATTTTCAATCTGTGGCCCACGGATTGAATCTGGGAGGCCCCTGTGGTGCCACGAAGCTTCCCTGGCAGGCACCATCCATTCCATACCCATGTCTACCGCAGCCACTTCCCCTCCACGAGAGCAGGACTGTTGTTGCCACAGAATCACAAATAAATATCACCATCTCGCACTGCACAGAAAGGTTCGCCAACCCCTGTTCTAGATGAGTTATTACTGGTGTAAAGCACACACCAGTTTTTCCACATTGTCAGTGGATACTCCATGTAACGTTGCTCATCCGTGGAAAGCTTTCAGGTGTGCTGTCTTCAGTCCCAGTCAAGGACAAGGAGGTCCAAGAGCAGCCTGCAGCCGGACCTGGTGTAAGCGGACATCGATGGCACACACACAACTCTCCTTGCAGACTGCCGAGGTTCTGGATCCACTTGACATTGAGCCTAAGGCTGTCTAAATGTCCCCAGACTACGCGGGGTGCAGATGTGCTGACAGTGGCACAGTGACGGAGCCAGGGCTGGGCAACGCGAGTGTCCTTGCAAGGGCTGACCAGGCAGGTCTGAGTGGGCCCACAAAGGCAAGAATTGACACTGTCCACAACATAAAAATGTTCGACGATGAAACCATAAATAAAAATAATAATAATAACCTATTACCCATTTAAGTATAAAACTTATGTTCCTCCATGTTAACAAAATAAGTCAGGCCTTTTATCTCAGTGATGGAAAATAAAGACAACATCAACTATTTGCACATTCTGACTGCAGAAAATTTAAATAAAAATAGATTTACCACCATCCAGCCTCCAACACAGCATCAATTCAGCCCAATGTCATGGCCACTCACCTCACACTACAGGAGAAAACACAATCTTGGAGCCACATCCTTCTACTGCTGCCAAGAGAAGGAGATGGCCCAAGAGTAAAGTGACCGTCCAGGCCAGGCTGGGGGGTGATTACTCAAATCCCTCATTTCAAACAGGATAAATAACATGGGCCCAGACTAATTCTCTCCTCAAGACACGGGCCAGAAAATAAAATTAAAAAAAAAAAACCTATGTGAATATCTACTGATAGTGGGTTAAATGTAAAGTCAAAAAGGATTTATTTCTGAACCACATTAAAAAATCCTCTTTCCTGGTGTCTCCCACTTGTAGCAGCTCAGAGGCTTGTGTGTGCCTGGGAGACTCTCATTTGCTGCCAGTCTCACATCCTCCTACCCTGGCCAACTGGCTGAAGCCATTTATCTCCTTTATCTTCTCTTGTTTCTTAAAGTAAATCTTAACTCTCCAGACGACAGTCCCTAGGCCTTGTTTCTCAAGGTCTATGGATTTATATTCGCTATCAAGATGCTACAATGTTAACTGCAGCTTCTCAGCTACACAAGGAGATTCTCATGGAAGGGGGAAAGAAGAAATGACAGAGGGAAAATTCACTATTTAGCACTGACCCATTTTGATAATCACCAATCCCAATGCAATCCCTTATTAATAAAAAATGTACCTGATCACTTGCCATGTACTAGGCAAGTATGCACAAAAACTCGGGGGCTTCACAAGGGTACAGGAATACTCGAGGATACAGGGACTCAGAGGAACACAGGGAATCAGAAACTCGGAATCACAGGAACTCAGGGATTCAGGGGAACTCAGGGACTGACGGGAATGCAAGGACTCACGGGAACTCAGGGACTCGGGAACTCAGGGACTCACGGGAACTCAGGGACTCATGGGAACTCAGGCAATCATGGGAACTCAGATTCACGGCAATGCAGGGGCTAACGAGAACGCAGAGGCTCCTGAGAACGCAGGTCCTCACGGGAATGCAGGGATTCACGGGAACGCACAGGCTCACGGGAACACAGGTGGTTCACGTGAGCGCAAGGATTCACGGGAACACAGGGGCTCACAAAAACAAAGGAATTTATGGGAACAAAGGGATTCATGGGAACGCAGGGACTCACAGGAAATCAGGGACTTGCAAGAACCTAGGGATTCACAGGAGCGCAGGATTTCCTTTCCTTCGGATAAATGCCCAGTAATGGGAACACTGGCTCAATTCATAGTTTTCAGTTCACCTCTGTGCTCTATTCATAACTTTATGAGGAACCTCCATACTCTTCTCCACAGTGGCTGTACTAGTTCACGTGTAACTAGTGTACTAAAATTTTGAAAATGTATCATGTACACATAGAATAAGTAATTTAGCATGATAGGATTATTAGGAGCTTATGTTTTCACTAAAAAAAAAAAAAAAAAAAGCACATAAAACAAAATTCAAGCCAGGTGTGGTGGCTCACACTTTTAATTGCAGCACTTTGGGAGGCCAAGGCAGGAGGATGACTTGAGGCCAGGAGTTTCAGACCAGCCTGAGCAAAAAAGTGAGACCCCCATCTTTACAAAAATTAATAATAATAATAAATCCGGGCATGGTGGTGCATTCCTATAGTCCCAGCTACTCAGGAGGCTGGGGTGGGAGGATTGCTTGAGCCAGGAGGTGCCAGGAGGTGGAGGCTGCAATGAGTTATGATCATAGTGCTGCACTTCAGTCTGGATGACACAGAAAGACTCTGGCCCTAAAGCAAAAGAAAAAAAAAAGAAAATTCCTAGAAGTCAAGGCAAAAAATAAGTTATATCAAATTTGAGTAAAATATTAAAAAATATATTTAAACAAAATTTTAAAATATATTTGCTTGATGTGTCCAGAAAATGTCCCTGCAAGCTTTTGGTTTCCAAATACCCTGTTAAAATGATGGATTTTAAAAAGCAATATATCTCCTTGGAAAATGGGGCATGCCATTTCTGGATTCAGCAAAGTATTATGAGAGCGTGCTTGAGATATTTTTTATTATCAAACAAAAGGAGCTACTGATCAACAGACTTTTATGGGTGCAGGTCAACAAGATACAGAAACCAGCTTGAACCTCCTACTAATCACATTTGGGTCTATTTAACTGTCAAAGATAGTAGCTACCGTAACTGACTGTAGTGCACCATGTATATGTAATAATACTCAAAAAATTACAGAGAAAGCAAGTGAGAGGAAGAGACAAACATGGCTTGATTGCCCCCACTGGAAGAGATCAAAACACGATTCCTTACTGTGAAAATTGGCGATTCAAGAGAGAATTAATCATTCACCTTTCATTTTAAGAGGAACCACAGTGTCTCTATAGTTGATGAGGAAAAGCTATTCTTCTTTGGAGAAAGGTCATTAAAAATGTAATACAAAAATCACCATTTTTCCAGGTTCAATGAAATAATTGACTCAGAAGGATCATCATTAAATGCTAAAGCTATTAAGCAAAAATTGTTGGTAGGATATTTTCATGCTGTCTAACAGTTACTATTGGCAAAAAATATATATATACATATGGTTAAAAACAGAGAAGTCTGTGAGTTACTCTCTTAAGTGAAAAACTCAGCTCATGAATAATGGGACTTCCTGATGTGGCAGACAGTTTGACATGTTTGAGGTTAAAATTCCTGAATTTTGCAAATGATTTTTAATAATCAGCAAGAACAAAACACAAAGATAAATATATTAAAATATTAGTAATTGAATATGGATGAGGAGTATATTATTAGACTATTCTTCCAACTTTTCTGTTGGAATTTTTTTAAAAAAAAAATTCCTACAAATTTGGAGAAGTGCAGGAATGAGTACACAGACCCAGCACAATCAGATCCCATTCGGACAGTGCAGATGCTGAGTGGGTTTTCAGAACAGCTCTTTGGTAAAAATAAGTCCTTCTGCAGATGTCCCTCTGAGGCTCCACCGTGGCCTGCCTGCTGATGGTTGTAAGTGGTTCCCTCACTCACCATCTGGCCAGTCCAGGGGCCAGAAGTGGGAGGAAAGGCATTCATGCTGGAGCCAGGGGAGCTGGGCCCAAGCCCAGATGCCTGGGCCCTTAGGAAGTGGCCCTGCCATTCACCTGCTGGGCATTGCCCTGGAGTCCTCCACCATCCACCCCACGTCTATGAAGGCTGGAAGAGCATGCACGTATGTGTATAAAATGGGATTTTATTCATCATCAGCTTGTGTACTTGAAATGCACCATTGTTAATATCAGAAGAGATTCATGCCTGAATGGCTATTGGGAATAACTGTCAGTGGCCCATAGTGTTTCTGTGTTGTTCTTGTTGTTTTTCTTTGAGATGGAGTCTCGCTCTGTCCCCCAAGCTGGAGTGCAGTGGCACGATCTCAGCTCACTGCAACCTCTGCCTCCGGAGTTCAAGCAATTCTCCTACCTCAGCTTCCCAAGTAGCTGGGATTACAGGTGCCCGCCACCACACCCGGCTAATTTTTCTTTTTTTTGTAGAGACGGGGTTTCACCATGTTGGCCACACTAGTCTCCTGACCTCAGGTGATCCACCTGCCTCGGCCTCCCAAAGTGCTGGGATTACAGACCTGAGCCACCACGCCTGGCCTCTGTGTTGATGTTAATACCAGGTCGCCCACCTCGCATGAGCCTCCTTAGCACTGTGGTTATCCCTCAGCTAAAACTGCCTAATCCTGCAGCATAATTACCAGTGGAACTATCATTAACTTAGAGAATGTCTGTAGAGTTTCAACAGCCTGCTGTGACATTATAGTTTTTCAATGAATTTCCATTTCCTTTCTTTCCAGAAGAGTGTGCAATCTCCAAAGCTTGGAGCCACTTTGACCCTGCCCTCCTTGCCATTTCTTCCCTTGGATACCACACCTGGTCACTCCCTCCACATTCCCAGCACACCTATGGCCTCTTCCCACAACACTCACTCAGATTCACAAAGCCATCTTCTAAACAGCTCCAGTTTGTCCCCTTCCCACTCAACCCTGCATGACATTGCCACGTGAATCAGGAAACGCCAGTTTGGAATCACTAGTCCCTCTCTTGCTCTAAACACACTCATTGATGGATTAAAATGAAAACTTCTTAGCATGTTCTCCAAGACCCTCCAAGACTCACAGACATGATATCTGGCCTGTCTGATTTCAACCTCATTGCCCATCACATGAAGCTGAGCCAAAGGGGACTGTTTGATGCACAATACACACCATGACGTCCCTCCATCAGTGCTCTGCAGCCCAGCTCAGAATGCCTGTCCACAACTCACACCCTCCACAGCTGCCCCCCTAACAGCACCTGCTCGAAGAGCTGATGCCAGGTCCTTCTAGTAAAACATGCAGCGCTGTCAGCACTGTAGATAGAGCTCTGCATGCGTGCTGTATTCTCATCAAGTGGGAAACCTGTCAGGACAGGAGGAGGACAATGGGCATCTCTTCACACCCTGGAAACTACCAGCATCCCAGGCCCAGCAGCACTCAGAAAACACCTGCTGGGAGCCAACCCTGCTGAGAGCCAACAGGGGCTGTAATGTGATGGCCCATTAAGTGAAAGCACGTTGTGCTCAGGCCTTTGCCAACATTTTACAAAAAAATCACGCAATCTTTTTATTTTATTATTATTATTAATTTTTTTTTGCCAGCCACTTGAGCATGCATTGGCTTTGCATATCGTTCATGCTGTGAATATTTCCCTGCAGAGCACAGCCTGAACCAGGTGAGAAGTTCACGCCCTGGGTCTAAACAGCTCTCATTCCTGCTCCTTCCTCCTTTTCCAAACTTTCTCACTGATGTTTCTCCAGGTCTGACAGCGGCCCCAACCCTGCCCACCATGCACTCTCCCCTCCCTGACTGCACAGCCTCCACCTACCCAGTCGGCTGTGGGCACCAAGGCCCCATCTTTTGCCACAAATAAGTGAACACTAAAGCAGGGATTCCTGGAGGGCCCACCATGGTCTCAGGAGTGGGCACCAAATTTCAAGGGCATCTTTCAGAAGCAGCAGCTTATGCCGATTGTGGCCAGTAAATGAAGACACCCTCTGACCACCAGCGACGTGCCTTCAGCTCCCCAGGGCTGCTTGTCTCCTCACTACTTTCTGCAAGATGATGTTTCCCTTGCTTTGATGCACTGAACAGAACGTAAGAGCCACTTCAGCAATCAGCCAGCCTTAATGGGATTTTTAAAAGAACTGTGAATTAATCATTTTCAAATTTTATCCCTACCAGTAAAAAGTGGGAGTCAACAGAGGCTCGTTACCATACTACAACATACATATTTTGCTAACTAACTCCATGACTAACAAATATCTTTACATTTCTTATGCATGGATGCCAGATACATGCACGAAATTCTGAAAGGGCCTGGAGGAAAAGGGATGGACGAAACCCAACTGGAGATGGCGTGGGGCACTCTCTGAAGGGGAAGAGCCTAAAGAAAAATATGGAAGTTATGAGCTGACCAGACACCACAGGTCACCTCCTCACACCATCCGCATTTGTAGAACACCCACTGTGTGCTCGGAACCTGACAGTTATTGATGCATTCCATAGCTAACACTGCCCTCACGACAACCCTTTAACATTCACCTGACACAGTCACAGAGCTGTCTAGCAATGCTTATCTGTGATCAGAAACCAAGTAAATTAAAAGAAGATACGGTAACTCTTCTTTTTAAAATTTATGTATACGTGAGCTCTTAGGCAAAATTTAACACTATGGTGTGCATCTGTATATTCAATGCCAGCTTTATACAATTTTAACCTACACCATAAATACATGTACATACATGTGTGTGTGCATGTGTGTATGTGTGTGTGTGTCCCTGCCTGTGTGGATATGCATATATTCTGGGTGTGAATGTGCACGTATGTGTCTCTACATGTGTGCATGCATGTGCATTTGTTTGCATGTTTGTGCATGCACATTGCATGTGTCTGCATGTGTACACGTAGCTCCATGTGTCTGCATGCCTGCATGTGTATGTGTGTATACGTGTGTCTGCATGTGTGTATATAATTTTAAAAAGATATACTTGAGAATTCCCCTTATTACATACCTTTTGCTTTACAGAGTCAATTTCATTTTCTAATGAAGTTTTTAGACTTTTATGACACAGTTACAGAATAATTAATACTAGATGTTACAGCAGTAAAACAGAGATCATAAGACTGACAGAGTAGATTCTCTGTGGCAATAAGACACCAAATTACAAACAGGACCTAAAGCCATGCCAGGCAAAGGGTGAGTTGTGCACCCTGCTCTTAGTAAACCGTATACTCACTGCCACAAGATTTTCTTTTTCTGTAGCAGCTGAACCAGCACTAGCCTAGAGATAAGAAAGATTAAAATACTCATAGCTCATCCAGCTCTGAGACCCTGGCCAACTGAACCTCTTACCAGCCACAGCAGCAGCTTCAGTTGGATAAGGTATGATTCCAGTAATTTTCTCCTGATAAGAGACCACCCACCATGATCTGGTCCTGGCTGGTTTTGCAGAGGCTGTGCACTGAGGGCATTCATGTACCAGCTTCACCTTTCAACACACAGAGCCTAATTTTGCTACATTTTAATGTTAAGTCCACACCCCAAAGTGAATATGTGTCACACATAACATACGTGTTTATTCAGTCAAATGTCTCAGAGCCAGTCCGTGAATACGCATAGCTCCATCTCCCACCTGCTAAATATGTATATTTGGCCAACCTGTTCAGCATAAATTCCTGTCTCAGCCTTCCTCCTTCAAATGCCTGCTTTCGGTCTCTGCTGGAGGCAGCCTGTCAGAAAGTCCAGCCTGAGGGCTGCAACTCTTTATAAGAAATAAAGTTGTCGGCCGGGCGTGGTGGCTCACGCCTGTAATCCCTGCACTTTGGGAGGCTGAGGCGGGCGGATCACCTGAGATCAGGAGTTTGAGGCCAACCTGGCCAACATGGTAAAACCCCATCTCTACTAAAAATACAAAAATTAGCCAGGCACGTGGCATGCGCCTGTAATCTCAGCTACCCAGGAGGCTGAGGCAGGAGAATGGCTGGAACCTGGGAGGCAGAGGCTGCAGTGAGCCAAGATCACGCCACTGAACTCCAGCCTGGGTGACAGAGCGAGACTCCGTCGCAAAACAAAAAACAAAACAAAAAAAAGTTGTCTGCAAATTAATGAAACATGGGATTACTTGTTGACAACAGTTATACACTTTTTTTTTTAATTACAGGAAGGGGGTCATACTATATACTGTGCTCTATAACTGCCTTTCTCAAAGCTGTAACATATTTAGATATGTTGATGGAGATAGCCCCAATTAATCCATTTTAACAGTAATGTAATATTTCATTGCATGAAATTAACAAAGCATAACACATGTATACAGTGTATTAAGATAATCCCCTACAGTATTCTATTTCAGCTATTTCCATTTTTATTTCCTGTTACAAGTAATACTGACCATTTATAAACATGGACTATCTGCTGCATGGGCCATCTGCAAGTCTTTTGTCTTGCAGGGCAGCAGATACAGATGATGCTGGGACATCCTGCTGGGAGCGAAGGAATTTCTAGGGCACCCAGATATGCAACTCTGCACCCAAAGGCGCGTCTTCAATTCTTCTAGAGAACTGATCCTCATAGACATTTGTAATGATTTACAAACCTGCATGTGAGTTTCTGGCAATCCACTAAACTAGGCAACATTTGGGTTTAACACGTTTTATTTTTCAGTCTCCTAGCTGGGAAGAAGACATCCCCATTGATGGAAATTTATATTTCTCCAATCACAAGTGAACTTGGACATCATCCACGTTTACTGGCCTTAAAGGTTTCCACCTGCTGGACTGTCTGTCTGTACCACGGGATTTTTTTCCTTTTATGACACTGCCTTATTGTTTTTAAAATCTTCATTTAATACAGAAATAAACCTCTTGTAAGTCACATAAATAGAACACACGTCCTTCCAGCTTGTATTCTGTCAGTTAACTTGGTTTATGGTGTGTTTTTGAAAAATAATATATATGTGTGGATATTTTATTTTAATGTGGCCAAATTTTTAATCTGATTAAGACTGTCATTTTTAATGGCATCTAAAAATCCCTTCTATCAAGCCTTTAACTAGACATTGAATCCATTTGAGGCTCTTGAATCCATTTACTTCTTTGCATCTGAACAGCCACCAACATGGTCCCAGCTGCCCACATCTCTACCTCGGACAAGCCTGCGGGACCAGGATACCTGCTCCCGCTCCAGTCTCTTCTCCACCTGGCAACTCAGTTTTTCAAAATGCACATCCCAAGGTTTCCCGCCTGCGTCTCAGCCCCGCGCTGTCCACCACCCAAGGGTTTTCACTCCTTCTTAGGACAGAGATGCAGCCCTACCCAGCCACATGCAGCCCAGCCCCCTCCCGGGGCCCCCGGCTTCCTCAGGCTCCCCCTCCACCCCTCAAGGCTGCCCCTCGGGTTCTAGCCAGTTCTCCATCTCCTCAACTCCCACCCCTCCCCTCAACTGCATCACAAGCACCAAACCTCGAGATTCATGCTGATGCAGCCAGCGAGGCAAATTCCATGTCTCTCCACCCTTATAAATCCTTCTCCAGACCACCCTTCTCTCTGCTCTTATAAATCCTTCTCCAGACCACCCTTCTCTCTCTGCCCATATAAATTCCCCTACAGACCACCCTTCTCTCTGCCCATATAAATCCCTCTACAGACCACCCTTCTCTCTGCCCATATAAATCCCTCTACAGACCACCCTTCTCTCTGTCCTTATAAATCCCTCTCCAGACCACCCTTCTCTCTGCCCATATAAATCCTTCTCCAGACCACCCTTCTCTCTGCCCATATAAATCCTTCTCCAGACCACCCTTCTTTCTGCCCATATAAATCCCTCTCCAGACCACCCTTCTCTCTGTCCTTATAAATCCCTCTACAGACCACCCTTCTCTCTGCCCATATAAATCCCTCTCCAGAGCACCCTTCTCTCTACCCTTGTAAATCACTTTCCAGACCACCCTTCTCTCTGTCCTTATAAATCCCTCTCCAGACCACCCTTCTCTCTGCCCATATAAATCCCTCTACAGACCACCCTTCTCTCTGCCCATATAAATCCTTCTCCAGACCACCCTTCTCTCTGCCCATATAAATCCCTCTACAGACCACCCTTCTCTCTGCCCATATAAATCCTTCTCCAGACCACCCTTCTCTCTGCCCATATAAATCCCTCTACAGACCACCCTTCTCTCTGCCCATATAGATCCTTCTCCAGACCACCCTTCTCTCTGCCCATATAAATCCCTCTCCAGACCACCCTTCTCTCTGCCCATATAAATCCTTCTCCAGACCACCCTTCTCTCTGCCCATATAAATCCCTCTACAGACCACCCTTCTCTCTGCCCATATAAATCCCTCTCCAGACCACCCTTCTCTCTGCCCATATAAATCCCTCTACAGACCACCCTTCTCTCTGCCCATATAAATCCTTCTCCAGACCACCCTTCTCTCTGCCCATATAAATCCCTCTCCAGACCACCCTTCTCTCTGCCCTTATAAATCCCTCTCCAGACCACCCTTCTCTCTGCCCATATAAATCCCTCTCCAGACCACCCTTCTCTCTGCCCTTATAAATCCCTCTACAGACCACCCTTCTCTCTGCCCATATAAATCCCTCTCCAGACCACCCTTCTCTCTGCCCATATAAATCCCTCTACAGACCACCCTTCTCTCTGCCCATATAAATCCTTCTCCAGACCACCCTTCTCTCTGCCCATATAAATCCCTCTACAGACCACCCTTCTCTCTGCCCTTATAAATCCCTCTACAGACCACCCTTCTCTCTGCCCATATAAATCCCTCTCCAGACCACCCTTCTCTCTGCCCTTATAAATCCCTCTACAGACCACCCTTCTCTCTGCCCTTATAAATCCCTCTACAGACCACCCTTCTCTCTGCCCATATAAATCCCTCTCCAGACCACCCTTCTCTCTGCCCATATAAATCCCTCTCCAGACCACCCTTCTCTCTGCCCATATAAATCCCTCTCCAGACCACCCTTCTCTCTGCCCTTATAAATCCCTCTACAGACCACCCTTCTCTCTGCCCATATAAATCCCTCTCCAGACCACCCTTCTCTCTGCCCTTATAAATCCCTCTACAGACCACCCTTCTCTCTGCCCTTATAAATCCCTCTACAGACCACCCTTCTCTCTGCCCATATAAATCCCTCTCCAGACCACCCTTCTCTCTGCCCATATAAATCCCTCTCCAGACCACCCTTCTCTCTGCCCTTATAAATCCCTCTACAGACCACCCTTCTCTCTGCCCATATAAATCCCTCTCCAGACCACCCTTCTCTCTGCCCATATAAATCCCTCTCCAGACCACCCTTCTCTCTGCCCATATAAATCCCTCTACAGACCACCCTTCTCTCTGCCCTTATAAATCCCTCTACAGACCACCCTTCTCTCTGCCCATATAAATCCTTCTCCAGACCACCCTTCTCTCTGCCCTTATAAATCCCTCTACAGACCACTCTTCTCTCTGCCCATATAAATCCTTCTCCAGACCACCCTTCTCTCTGCCCTTATAAATCCCTCTACAGACCACCCTTCTCTCTGCCCATATAAATCCTTCTCCAGACCACCCTTCTCTCTGTCCTTATAAATCCCTCTACAGACCACCCTTCTCTCTGCCCATATAAATCCTTCTCCAGACCACCCTTCTCTCTGCCCTTATAAATCCCTCTACAGACCACCCTTCTCTCTGTCCTTATAAATCCCTTTCCAGACCACCCTTCTCTCTGCCCTTATAAATCCTTCTCCAGACCACCCTTCTCTCTGCCCATATAAATCCCTTTCTAGATCACCCTTCTCTCTGCCTTTATGAATAAATCCCTCTCCAGACCCCCCAAGTCGCTGCCGCCCCTTTTCTGTGTGACTATCGATTAAGCCTGCAGGTTTCATTACCCACCCACCCAGCTGTAGGTTCTAAGGGGGCAGGGACTGTGCCAGGCTCTGCTCATCGCTGGCCTCCCACACAGGGACATGTCCACTTGCACCGAGGATGAGAGAACTCATGAAATAGAAACAGAGATGAACAACGTTATTTCAAGATGTTGTTTTGTGGATCTAATGGAAGCTCCATGGCAAGTCCCTGGCAATGTAGGCATCCCATACATGACAGCCTTGACAGTTCCCCACGCTTAGTGTTGTTACGGCTTCTCCACTGGGACCACTGTGATCGTTGCTCGTATTGATTGTCAGGGAGAAGAGGAGGCAGATTATTATCTCAATAGCAATGAAATTTGCTTATGATTTAGAGATTGCTTGATTTAGAGGAAGATCCAGGAATCTAACTGTTTGGTATTCACTGGGGAAAAGAAAGTTTCTAAGTCAATATTTGAAATATGCCATCTTTGTCTATATTCGGTTTCTCAGAGAATATAAAATACATATGAAGAAATGCATGCCTATATACAAGTGGACTTCACAATTTTTCCTAATGAGTGTAATGCAGAGTTTCACTACAGCTAGGTCTACAATTACTAATACGCATCTACTAATAATTAAAATGTGTTTTTTAAATGTGTTTTTTAGTTGATAATAAGCATTTATCTCTTCAGTAATTGATTAAAGTCCAATGAAAATGATACTTCATGCATACTACCAGATTTTCAGACCTCATATGAAATCTGAAGTCATGTCAACAAAAAAAGCCTGCAATTATATTAATTTATATTAATACACAGAAAATTAAATATATTTGAAACTTTCCTCAAGGTCAGAAATAGCAACATCACAATCACAGTTTTTTATGCTGCTCACAAGACATGGCCACCAGCAACCAAAAAGAAAAAACAATAGAACTAAAATGCAAATACGGTATGATTTAAAAATCTGAATCATGGCTCATTCATCAAAGATTGTTTCTGAAACTTGTCTCCACATTTGTACTTAATAAATTATATGTGTACTGATGGTGTTATCATATTTATTTAGTGGGATTTTTAACAGTTAAAGGAGAATGGTCAATTGTATTTATGTACTAAAAGGCATGTCTTGAATTGTTCTATTCTTTCACCAAAGCTTATCTGTGTAACCAGAAATTGGACCTAGCAGCTGAGAAAGTGCTCAGACGCAAGTGTGTTGCCTATGTGGCTCCGCCCTGCTCCCACCTGGCCCTCAGTCACCCCGTGCCACGTTAGAGATTAGATCAGAATGGTGGCTTCTTGGGACTTCAGATACAGTGAGGCAGACAGAGCTCATACTTGCTGATCATGTTTTTATAACTAAATCTGTCTTCCGTTCAATAAACTAAAAGAAAACCTATCAGAGCACTGAGAAAGGCCTCTGAGATGGAACATTTCCATGAACACACCATTGCATCTTATAAAGTTAGCTCAGTTCTACTTTTCCATTCACAAACACACCATTGCATCTTGCTGTAAAGTTAACTCAGTTCCACTTTTCTATTTTCTGTCCAGAGTCGGAAGACTCTAGGGCCTACACAGTAAGTGCTTCCCTTTCTGCATTCTAGCTTGAAGTGCTCTGGACTCAGCCTGGGAGGGAGCCCCTCCCTTGGGCCCTGCCTGGGGTCAAGCCACTGAGCACGGCTGTCATTCATAGCCCTGTCAGCAATGGCTCCGGGAGCAGCAGAGACAAAGGTGAAGAGCCCTGCGTATAGGGCCTTGGACAGGCTTTCAATCACGTTCTAACAATCCTTTCTCCCACAACCAAGCACCATCTGAAAAAAAGTGTGACTGTTCACTCTTCCAATGAAAAGAGACTCTGTTTCTTGCAATGTGTGTTTTGCAAGCATTTAATTTTTCCTGTGGCATCCTGTTGGCCGTATTCCAACTTCTCTAATTATAGTCTGGCTCTGATGCCTACAAGCAAAATGCTCAGATAAATGCTTGAGTGATTTTGACCAGAGGGACAGATTCATTCAGAATCCCACACACCACGCTCATGAGGCTGATTGTCGGGGTCTCCTTTCCCTTTATTTACAACAGCCACAATTCTGCATTTGTGGTTCACACCCAGCTAGACCAGGTCCAGTCTTGGCATATACAACTTATTTATGTTATCTATTCCCTCAGTAAATGCAAGTAGGTTGACTTTTACTGTAGAAGCTTCACTCTTTATCCTTCATTTTTGCAGCCTGAGTTCTGGGTCCCATCTTTAGTGAGCCCCTAAGTGCTCACGCCACATTCAACTCACCCCGTGGACATCCCATTACCTCTCCTTCTGACATCTCATAAGCTCCATCTAGTGTGTTCATACCCCTTTGAATCACATATTATAAAGATCTCATTATCAGACACCTCTGATAATAATAATAGAGTGTGTTCTGATAATATCTCACCTGTTAGTACAAATGTAAATGATACCAGCAAAAGTACTGCTCCTTCCCCCAAACGGTGACTTAACTTGATCAGGCACATCAGTAGCACACATGGAGAATCTTGCATCTCTTCCACAAGTCAGGACTTCTGATTCGTTTACAAATGAAAGGATGAGAAGAGAGATGGGGGCAATAGGAACATAGGGAAGGGAAGATCTCATTCCCTATCATAAATCTGAGATCAGGAAAGGGAAAATGAGGAGAGAATTCACGTGGTTCCACGTGGTTGGGAGATTCACCAGTATCAGAAGCAGCATGTCTTCCTGATGTGGCACAGGTGTGGCTGCCATACACACGACCCACACCAGTATCAGAACCAGCAGTCTTCCTGGGGACACAGGTGTGGCTGCCATACACACGACCCACCAGTATCAGAACCAGCAGTCTTCCTGGGGACATGGGTGTGGCTGCCATACACACAACCCACACCAGTATCAGAACCAGCAGTCTTCCTGGGGACACAGGTGTGGCTGCCATACACACGACCCACCAGTATCAGAACCAGCATGTCTTCCTGGGGACACAGGTGTGGCTGCCATACACACGACCCACCAGTATCAGAACCAGCATGTCTTCCTGGGGACACAGGTGTGGCTGCCATACACACGACCCACCAGTATCAGAACCAGCATGTCTTCCTGGGGACACAGGTGTGGCTGCCATACACACGACCCACACCAGTATCAGAACCAGCAGTCTTCCTGGGGACACAGGTGTGGCTGCCATACACACGACCCACCAGTATCAGAACCAGCATGTCTTCCTGGGGACACAGGTGTGGCTGCCATACACACGACCCACACCAGTATCAGAACCAGCATGTCTTCCCGGGGACACAGGTGTGGCTGCCATACACACGATCCAGGACCAGACGTGACTGCCTTTAGAGCCAGCTGCTCACACAGCTTTAGGGATTTTGATACCAGGAGTTTCTCTAGAAAATATTTTCCTAGGTGCTCTAAAAAAAGGTGCATTTCTTTCTAATGGGCTATAATTTGAAAGGCAATTATGTACAAGCAATTTCAGGTTGCCATACAGGTCTTTCCTGCAATACCAAAATTCAGTAATTTGAAACAGCACTTTCTGTCAAATGCAAAATTAGGTAACCTAGGGCCTTTCAGAAAGAACTGAAATGAACACTGAGCACAAAACCTGGGAAACCTGAGTTTAATAACAATTTAAAATATATGTAACTTATAAACTTGTATTTATTTTTATGGAAAAGCAAAAATACTAATTACTATCCAAATCTACTCCAAACCAGATGCCCTTTTACATTACTGTATTTTTTTCTAAAATGAAAACTATAACTAAAACATCAATAAATATTTATGTCACCTATCATTAGTTCTACGACATTACAGGTTTCTGTAATGTTAATACATATAAATAATAAAAACGGTTTGATGACGTAGATAAGCAGGCATTTAGTCTGAAATTCATGCATGTTTTAATGCAGTACACTTTGTTTTTTAAATGGAAAATGTTCACAGTAAGAAGGCCAAATACTGGTATGTGATGATTGTCATGTGATGGTTACCTGAACATCCCTTTTTTGCGCATCTCAAAAAAAGTGATAAAGCTATTATAGAAATGACTATAATTTTGTGAAGCACTAAAAATAGTCAAGAATGGAGATAAGTAATACTAGTTTGCTCATGTGAAATAAAATAGATGTAAAATTACTGGAATCTGCTTATAAATGGTGAGTGTTACAAACACACATTCGAAATGTCCCCTAACTAAAGAGAATTAAGTTTGTTTACAGAAACACAGATCAACTACTTTCAGAGAAAGATATAGAACAGAAAAATAGAAAACGAGTACTATTTGTGTGTGTAAAACAGTGTCTTCAATATAAGTTATTATCAAGCCTTTTAAATAAATGCCAAGATCAGTAAGGCCAAGAAATAACAAGCCCCCCACAAAATAAAAACCTGGTCGGGTGTTGTGGCTCACACCTGTAATCCCAGCACTTTGGGAGGCCAAGGCAGGTGGATCACAATGTCAAGAGTTCAATACCAGCCTGGCCAAGATGGTGAAACCCCGTCTCTACTAAAAATTATAAAATTAACCAGGTGCAGTGGCAGTCATCTGTAATCCCAGCTATTCAGGAAGCTGAGGCAGGGGGTGGAGGTTGCAGTGAGCCGAGATCGCACCACTGCACTCCAGCCTGGGTGACATCGAGTGAGAGTCTGCCTCAAAAAATAAACCAAAAACATAACAAAACAAAACCTTCTAAGGTATATTGTCCACTGAGTTTATAACTCAATACAAG
Organism: Homo sapiens; assembly: GCF_000001405.40. NCBI lineage: Eukaryota > Metazoa > Chordata > Mammalia > Primates > Hominidae > Homo > Homo sapiens. The sequence goes on along the minus strand of NC_000002.12, from coordinate 1,007,713 downwards.
GGATGTGCATCTTTTTCTATAGACCTGAACGCTTACTGAGTGCTCTCCCATATAGTACATCATTCTATGATGATTTTTAGGAAATCGTTTAAGAGAAGCAGTCTTAGGAGGTAATGCTACATTTACTCAGAAAATTCCTTGCTCACCTTGTCTACTATGCCTTGTGGTGGGTGATTTAAAGACATCATCTTCAATCTTCACAACAATGTGTAACACATATAATTAATGCCATTTTTACTGTGGAAACTGAGGCTCAGGGAAGTTTTGTTTCCTGCCCAACATCCTCAGCTGGAAAGGGCAAGTCAGGTCTAAATGTGAGTCCATCAAACACCAAAACCTTTGCTACTTCTCTTGGCAACACCCAGGTGTCTCCACCGATGAGGTAACAAGTTTAGAGACGTGATTTATGATGGCCTAGGATCGTGTGGGTCAGGAATTGGCCAAAACATAGAACTCAGGTCGCCTGTCTAATGTCCTTCTCACTAGGGTGTGTGTGAGAGTCATGCAGTGTCCTTTGGGATCTGTGGGGGATGGATTCCAGGACCTCCCCAGATACCCAAACCCACACATACTCAAGTCCCTGATATAAAATGGTGCAGTATTTGCAAAAAACCCATGCACCTCCTCCCCTATACATACATATATATATACACATTTATTTATTTATTTATTTATTTATTTATTTGAGATGGAGTTTCGCTCTGTTGCCCAGGCTGGGGTGCAGTGGCACAATCTCGGCTCACTGAAACTTTCACTTCCCAGGTTCAAGCGATTCTCCTGCCTCAGCCTCTCTAGTAGCTGGGATTACAGGCATGTGTCACCATGCCTGGCTAATATTGTACTTTTAGTAGAAAGGGTGTTTGTTTCACCATGATGGTCAGGCTGGTCTCGATCTTCTGACCTCAGGTGATCCACCCATCTCAGCCTCCCAAACTGCTGACATTACAGGCGTGAGCCACCGCGCCTGGCCCTCCCTCATACTCTAAATCATCTCCAGATTACTTCTATCTACCACAATGTAAATGCCATAACAACACTGTTACAATATATTATTTAGGGAATAATGACAAGGAAAAAGTCTATACATAAGTACAGACACATTTTCTATTCAAATGCATTCCATCCACAGTTGGTTGAACCCACGGATGTGGCGGGCCAAGTCTATACAGAAAAGTATAACTAAAAGTAGACAACGGTAAATTCTCTAAGTAAATGATGATACTGAGGTCCACTCAAAATAAAAAAGGAATTTTTCACCAAAACACAAGATTAGCATCCAAATACGTATTAATAGAATTTTCTTTTTTTTTTGAAATTCTACTTTATTTAATATCTGGTTAATATTTTATAGGTTATATTCACTAATATGTATATAATCAATGCATTTTTTTTCTTTTTTTTAATTATACCTTAAGTTTTAAGGTACATGTGCACATTGTGCAGGTTAGTTACATATGTATACATGTGCCATGCTAGTGCGCTGCACCCACTAACTTGTCATCTAGCATTAGGTATATCTCCCAATGCTATCCCTCCCCCCACCCCACCACAGTCCCCAGAGTGTGATATTCCCCTTCCTGTGTCCATGTGATCTCATTGTTCAATTCCCACCTATGAGTGAGAATATGCGGTGTTTGGTTTTTTGTTCTTGCAATAGTTTACTGAGAATGATGATTTCCAATTTCCAGAGTTTTCAAATACTCTGCTCATATGTCCCTGAAGACTATATTGCTAATTATTTATCTTGGCTTCCTCCATATAATTCAGTTGGCATGTAAAATTTTTCATCCAATGTTTAAATAATATAAAAATAAAGTCTCAAGAGCAATGTCAACGTTTATATATATATATATATATATATATATATATATATATATATATATATATATATATATATATATATATATTTTGAGGCAGAGTCTTGCTCTGTCGCCCAGGCTGGAGTGCAATGGTGCAATCTCGGCTCACTGCAACCTCCGCCTCCCAGCTTCAAGCAATTCCCCTGCCTCAGCCTCCTGAGTAGCTGGGACTATAGGCACATGTCACCACGCCTGGCTAATTTTTGTACTGTTAGTGGAGACGAGGTTTCTCCATGTTGGTCAGAGTGGTCTCAAACTCCTGACCTCAGGCGATCCACCCGCCTCAGCCTCCCAAAGTGCTGGGATTACAGGTGTGAGCCACTGTGCCCAGCTCCAACGTTAATATTTTAAAATAGATTTCATTCTTAGAGGGGTTTTAGCTTCACAGAGAAACTGAGAGGACGAGGACGGTACAGAGAATTCACGTACCCCCACCGCCCCCACATGTGCACAGCCCCTTCATTATCAACATCCCCCAGGTGGCGCATTTGTTATCATTGGTGAACCTACGTGGACATGTCCTCGTCACCCAGAGTCATGGTTTACACCAAGGTTCACTCCAGGTGTTGTGCATTCTGTGGATTTGGACAGACAGATAATGACACCTGTCCACCACTACAGGATCATACAACTCAGTTTCACTGCCCTGAACATCCTCGGTGCTCCACCTGTTCACCCCTCCCGCCCCACAATCCATGATCTCTTTACTGTCTCTAGAGTTCTGCCTTTTCCAACAGGTCATACAGTTGGCATCATGCAGTCTGCAGCCTTTTCAGATTGACTTCTTTCTTAGTAATTTGCATGTAAATTTCCTCCATTTTTTTGTGGCTTGATAGTTCATTTCTTTTTACTGTTGAATAACATTACAGTGACTGGATGAACCATAGTTTATTTCTCCATTCACCTTCTGAAGGACATCTTGGTTGCTTCCAGTTTTTGACAATTATACATAATTATAAAATAAACAAATAAATAATGCTTTTGTTAACATCTCTGCATGTTTTTTGTGTGGGTACATAAGTTTTCAATTCATTTGGGTAAAGTCCAGAGAGCACAACTGCTAGGTTCTATGTTAAGAATATGTTTAGCAAAGTAAGAAACCACCAAACTGTCTTCCAAAATGACTTCACCATACTTGCATTCACACCCACAACGAAGGAGAGTCCCCATCGCTCCACATCCTTGCCAGCATCTGGTGCTGTCAGCGTTTTGGATTTTAGCCAGCTAACAGTGGTGTAGGGTTGTCTCATTGCGGCTGTAATTTGCAATTCCCTGACATGTGACATTGAGCATCCTCATATGCTTATCTGCCATCTGCAGATCTACATGAGGTGTCTGTTCAAGCGTTTTGCCCAAGTTTTAATGGGTTCTTCAAGGTTTTGTAGTTGAGTTTTAGTTCTTTGTATATCCTGTGTACAAGCCATTTATCAGAGATTATTTTTCAAATACTTTCTACAAGTCTTTGGCTTGTCTTTTCATTATCTTAACAATGTCTTTTGCAGAGCAGAAGTCTTCAATTTTAAATTAGCAGTTATTTCTTTCATGGATTGTACTTTTGATGTCATATCAAAAGTCATCATCATATCCAACATAAACCAGGCTTTTCCTGTGTTATCTTGTAAGAGTTTTATGAATATAGACTTCCTGTTACAGGGACTAATGATTTAGTTTTTGTCACAGGACAGTCATGTCAGGCACTATCATTAAGAATAAAACATGGTATAACTTCTTTTATAGAATTAAAACCAAATAGGTTGCACAGTTTAGGGGATTCTGTATAGGTATAAATATTTGGCAAATTCTCCTTTTATCACAGCTGCTTTGTAATAGCTCTCTTCCCAAATGAAGTAATTCAGGTCATGACAGGTATTAAATTAAGCATTCAGTTTGCATGGGGATTTCAGAAGCCCCAGAATACAGTACACATTAAGGAATAAAGGGGAGAAGCCTAGCAAATTACAATTACTTCTTTGAGAAATAACAAAAAGTTTATGTACAAAGAAAATATGATGTTTCAACAATGTTACATAAGTGTAATCTGAAGTAATAAAGATTTCAAAATGAAATAATAGCAAGTAGCTACACGAGTGATGCTTAAAAGTGCATCATATTAGGGACCATCTATTAATAGATCGTCACAGCAGCTCCTTCCGAAACTCATAGCTGCTTAGGACATCACTGGAACAGGTTCTCACAGAAACACTTGGCTGCCTAACCATTCTCACCTGCCAGGCAAATGCACCCAAGGTAAGACAGAAGGAAGGAAGCCTGTCCAAATGTGTACAGAAATCCTGGGCCTCTCTCTAGACTCCAATACAATAGAAATCATAATGTCATATGTAATGAAGTCTAGACATGATGAATGCTTGGTTAATATGTTTGATGCTCCCTGTTAATTATGGAAGCCTCCAACTGGGTCCAGAGTTTGGGGGCTGACACCGCTGATGCCTGAGCTGATGCCACTGGCTTGTGTCACCCAGACATGCACTTTGCAAACCTCCGTCCCTCACCTTACCCAATTCCAGGCCACACTCTTGACTATACACTGTCATCCTCCCATAATAGATTCATATACTCGTGCAAATCCATTATTTTTTTCTTTTTGAATTATTTTTATAGATTTAGGGGGTACGTGTGCAGTTTTGTTACATGGATATACCATGTAGTGGTGCATGCAGGCTTTTAGTGTAGCTATCAGCCAGAGAGTTTACATTGTGCCCATGAGGTAATTTCTCATCTCTTACCACCCTCCCCACTTTCTGAGTCTCCAGGTCTATTATTCTACTATGGTTGTGTGTACACTTTATTCAGCTCTCACTTGGAAGTGGAAACATGCAGGGACATGCAGGATTTGGCTGTTTCTGAGTTAATTCGTTTAAGATAATGACCTCCACTTCCATCCATGTTGCTGAAAAAGACAAGATTGTATTCTTTTTTATGGGTGACTATATAAATATATATATATATATAACATTTTCTTTACCTAGTCATTCATTCATTGAAGAACACATTGATTCTAGATATTTGCTACTGTGAATAGTGCCACAGTAAACATACAACTATCTTTTTGATATAATGATATAATTTTTTTCCCTTTGGGTATATATCCTTTATGGGATTGCTGGATTGAATGGCAGTTTTATTTTTAGGTTTTTTTTTTTTTTGAGAAATATTCATACCCTTTTTCATAGAGGTTGTTCTATTTATATTTCAACCAACCATAGATAAGTATTTTCTCCACATCCTCATACACATCTGTTTTTAATTTTTAATAATAGCTATTCTGACTGGTATAAGGCGGTATCTCATTGTGGTTTTAATTTGCATTTCTGTGATGATCAGTGTCGTTCAGCATTAATTCAAATGCTTGTAACCATTTGTTTGTCTTTTGAAAAATATATGTTCATGTCTTTTGCCTACTTTTGCCTACTTTTAAGTGGTTGCTTTTGTTATTGAGTTTTTTGCATTCCTTGTAGATTCTGGATATTAGTTACTCACTAAATGCAGTTTGCAAATATTTTCCCCCATTCTATAAGTTGTCTGTTCACTATGTCAATTTTGTCTTTCACTGTGCAGAAGCATTTTAGTTCAATTTGTCTATTTTTGGGATGTTTTCCATTTGCTTTTGAGGTCTTAGTAATAAATTATTTGATCATGGCAATGTCCAGAAGAGATTTTCCTAGATTTTCTTCTGGTTTTTTTATAGTTTCAGGTGTTATATTTAAATTTTTAACTTATTTTGAGTTAACTTTCGTATATGGTGAGAGCTATGGATCCAGCTGAATTCTTCTGCATATGGCTATCCAATTTTCCCAGCACCATTTTTGGATAGGGTATCCTTACATTAGTGTGTGTTTTCATCAACTTTGTAAAAGATCAGTTGCCTGTATGTATGTGGCTTTATGTCTGGGTTCTCTATTCTGTTCCTTGATCTACATGTCTATTTTTATATCAGGACCATGCTCTTTTGGTTAATATAGCCTTGTAGTATAATTTGAAGTCAGGTAATGTGATACCTCCAGCTTTGTTCTTTTTACTTAGAACTGCTTGGCTATTCAGCCTCTTTTTTAGTTCCACATGGATTTTAGGACTTTTTTTCTAATCTTTTAAAAAATGATATTAATATTTTGGTGAGAATTGCACTGAATCTCTAGATTGCTTTGGGTAGTATGGTTATTTTAATAATATTGATTTTTTTCAATCCATGAGCCAGGGAGGTTTTTCCATTTGTTTGTTTCATCTAAGATTTCTTTCATCAGTGCTTCATAGTTTTTCTTGTAGAATTCTTTTACCTCCTTGGTTAAATATAATCCTAGGTATTTTACTTATTGTAGCTATTGTACATGGAATTGACTTCCTGAATTGGTTCTCAGCTTGATCATTATTGTTGTATAAAAATGCTACTGATTTTTGTACATTTATTTTTATCTTGAAACTTTATTGAATTCATTTCTCAAATATAGGAGTCTTTTGAAAGAGTCTTGAGGATTTTCTAGGTATAAGATCACATCATCAGCAAACAGAGATAATTTGACATCCTCTTTTCCAATTGGGATGTCTTTTATGTCTTTCTCTTTACTGACTGATCTGGCTAAAACTTTCAGTACTATGTTGAATAGGAGAGGTGAGAGTGAACATCTTCATCTTGTTCCAGCTCTTAGGAGCATGTTTTTGGTGTTTGTCCATTCAGTATGATGTTGACTGTGCATTTCTCATACATGGCTCTTATTATTTTTATGTATGTTCCTTCAATACCTAGCTTGTTCAGGGTTTTATTATGAAGGGATGTTGGAATTTATTGAATGCTTCTTCTGCATCTATTGAGATGATTATATGTTTTTGGTTTTTACTTTTTGTTTACGTGGCGAATCACATTTGTTGATTTGCATATACCTTCATTGCATTTCTGGAGTTAAAACTCATCTGATCATGATAAAATTTTGATCACATTTTTGACATGCTGCTGGATTTTATTTGCTAGTACTTTCTTGAGGATTTTGCATCTATGTTCATCTATGATATTTGCCTGTAGCTTTCTTTTTTGTTGTGTTCTTGCTAGGTTTTTTTTATCATGATGATACTGGTTTCATAGAATGAGTGAGAAATGAGTCCTTCCTCCTCATTTTTTAAAATAGTTTCAGTAAGATTGGTACCAGTTCTTCTTTGTACATCTAGTATAATTTATCTGTGAAACTGTCTGATCCTGGACTTGTTTTGGTTAGAATTTTAAATCATTTATTCAACTTAATAAGTTATTGGGTTGTTCAGGATTTCTATTTCTTCCTGGTTCAATATTGAGAGGTTGTATATTTCCAAGAATTTATGTATTTCCTCTAGGTTTTCTAGTCTGTGTGAACAGAAATGTTCACAGTAGTCTCTGAGGATCTTTTGTATTTCTGTGATATCAGTTGTAGTGTCATATTTATCATTTCTGATTGTTTAAATCTTATCTTTTTTCTTGGTCAATATAGCTAGTGGTCTATTAATTTAATTTATCCTTTCAAAGAAACAACTTTTTGTTTTGATGATGCTTTGTATGATTTTTTTGGTCTCAATTTTATTTGGTTTTGCTTTTATCTTTATTTATTTTCTTCTGTTAGCTTTGGGTTTGGTTTGTTCTTCTTTTCCTGGTTCCTTGATGTGCAATGTTAGGTTGTTAATTTGTAATATTTCTATTTTTTCATGCAGAAATTTAATGCTATAAAGCTTCATTTCAGCACTTATTTTTCTGTATCCCAGATATTTTGGTATGTTGTAGCTCCATTTTCATTCAGGTAAAGAAAATTTAAAAATTTTCCATCTTAATAGCATTTTTCACCCCACGATCATTCAGGACCAGGTTGTTTTATTTCCATATATTTGTATAGTTTGGGGAGTTTCTCTTGGAATTGATTTCTAGTTTTATTCCACTATGGTCTGAGAAAGTAAAGTACTTTATATAATTTTGATTGTTGAAAATTTACTTAGACTTGTTTTGCGACCTTATATGTTGTCTGTCTTGGAAAATGTTCTATGCACTGAAGAGAAGAGTATATAATCTGCAGTTGTTGAGTAGAATGCAATGTGTTTGTTATGTCCATCTGGTCCACAAATTTTAGTCCGCTAATTTTTAGTTGATTTTCAATCTCAATGATTTGTCTAGTTCTCTCAGTAGGGTATTGAAGTCCCCCACTATTATTGTATTGCTATTTTCTTAGTTCTACTACTATTTGTTTTATGAATCTAGGTGATCCAGTGTTGGGGCATGTATATTTATGATTGTTATAGCTTCCTGTGGAATTGATACCTTTATCATTATATAACGAACTTCCTTGTCATTTTATGGTTGTATATTTAAAGCCTGTTTTATCTGATATTAGTGTAACTACTCATCATTGTTTTTGGTGTCCTTTGCATGGAATATTTTTTCCACATTTTTACCTTGAGCCTACTAATGTCTTACCACTCAGGTGGGTTTCTTGTAAGCAGCATATGGTTGAATAATGTTGTTGTTGTTTTAAATCAATTTAGCCAATCTGCATCATTTAAGTGAAACATGTCATCCATTTATGTTCAAAGTTAATATTGATATGTGAGGTGTTGTTCCTGTCATAATGTTAATTGTTCCCTAGTTGCTTTGTAGTCTCATTTGCATAATTGTTTTATAAGACCTGTGAGTTTTCTACTTTTGTATGCTTTTATTATGGTATCAACATTTTGTTTCCACGTTTAGAACTCTCCATTTGTTGCAGGGCCAGTCTCTTGGTGAAAATTACTTTAGTGTTTTCTTGTCTGGGAAATACTATACTTCTCCCTCATTTATGAAGCTTAGTGTAGCAAGATATAAAATTTGTGGTTGACAGTTTTTATCATTAAGAAGCCTGAAAGTAGAACCCTAGTCTCTTCTGGTTTGTGAGGTTTCTCTTTATAAGTCCATTGATAGGCTTAGAAATTTGATGGACTCTCCTTTACAGGTAATCAGATGCTTTTGTCTTGATGATTCAAAGTTTTTTTCTTCACATTGTCTTTGGATAGTGTAATAATTATAGGTCTTGTTGAAGTCCATTTTGCAATGTATCTTTCTAGAGTTCTCTGGGCCTCTTATATCTGGAGGTCTAAATCTCCAGCAAGATGAGGGAATTTATTTTCAATTATTTCCTCAGATATGTTTTCCAAACTTTTACTTTTTCTTCTTCCTCAGGAATACCTATGAATTGTAGGTGTGGATATTTTACATAATCCCATACTCTTTAAAGGCCTTAAATTTTTTTTTTATGCTTGAGTTAATTTGAAAGACTGATCTTCAAACTCTTGAGATTCTTTCTTCTGCTTGGTCTAGTCTATTGTTACTGCCTTCAACAGTATTTTGTAATTCCTTCAGTGAATTTTTCATTCTTAGAAGTTCTGTTTATTTGCTTCTTTTAATATCTATCTCTTTGGTAAATTTTTCCTTCATGTCCTAATTTGATTTTTTTCCGATTTCTTTCTGTTGTTTTTCAACTTTCTCTTGAAACTCAACAAGTTTCTCTAGAATCAATAGTTTGTATTCTCTATCTGTATTTCCATGTTTTCATTTTGGTTAGGATATACTGCTAGAGAATTAGTGTGATATTTGGGGGCTGCTGTAATACTCTGTTCATACTTCCAGAATTTCTGGTTCCTTCTCAACTAGATAAACTATGCCTTCTTGTTATTTTTGAATTTACTTTCATTTGGATGAATTTTTTCACCCTTGAGGATGTGACTATAATGTATGTTGTGTAGAGTCATCTGGCTTTTTAGGTGCCTTCAATGGCAAAGATTCTGCGTGAACTCCTTGGCTATAGATAGCCTTTGTATGATGGCTTTCTCAAATGCTGGGTGTAGGAGTGATGTACTGGTCAGGTGAGTAGGCTAACAGCCTCTTGCAGAGACAGAGTGGCGGAGGTCTCAAGAATCTCATCATGCTTCTTTGTGCTGTTCGCTTGTGTCAACAGGTTTTGTAATGGGTTGTGTAGTTCCAGCTCTAGGCTAGTAGGTGATTCATGCAGGTAAGGGCCAGTTGTGGTGGTAGCAGAAGGGTTTATGTTTAATCTTTGTTTACCAAGAGAAGCTCTCTGGTGCTTCAGGCAACAGGCTGGTCTCTGGAATGCCCGGTGGCCTGGGCTCCCCACTCAGCCCCAGAGGGGGGTCTATGTTTGGCAGAGCTAGACAGGGCAGGCCTGCCAGACCACACTATGTAGAAATGCAAGAACTGCTGAGGTGAGTGATGGGGAGGTCTCAATCTAGTTCTGTCTCTGTCATGGCCACCTCGCCCACACTCCTGCCACAGCTCCCATCCTGACATTCTGTGTCCCACAGCACAGTCAGATTGAAGTCTTTAATGAAGATCAGATCATGCTACTTTCCTGTTGAAAACCTACCAATTGCTCTCACCACAGACAGAATGCAATTCAAATCCATTGCCATTATCTGCACAATCCTACATCTCTCACTTCATTTTCTGCATGTCAAGTCACTGTCAACAGTCTGGAAATCATGGTCCATTCTCAGCCCTGACACATGTTCACCATGTCCTTCCCTACACGTCCTCATGGCTGGCTCATGGCTGACATCCAGGCTTCTGTTCATAAGCCACGTGCTTAGAGAGGGCACCCAGCTTAACCTAGAGCTTGTCACGCCCCCAGTACATGTTCTCATATCCTTCTGCTCTATATCCTACATACCCCTTAACATTTTATAAAATTATTCTGTTTATTTGTGAACTTGCTTATTTCTTTGACTTCTTCCCATTCCACCAAAAAAATAAAAGGTACAGTGAGTAAGAGACCTTGTGTACCTGTAGAGTGGAATCCAGAACAGTGCCTGGAACAAGGCAGACACAGAACGAAGTGCTGCTGAGTTGATGACCAGACACACATAGGGTACTAGTATTGGCAAAACAGAAAAAAAGTCTCACTTGACAACCTTAGGCATCTTATCCAATAGTTTTGGCTTTGTTGATGTTTTACATTATTAATATTAAATAAAATGAACAATGAAACAGAAGGAATCAGACAGTTTTCAAACTTTGCTCCTTTTGTTCATTCACTGCTACAGAGCAACCCTCATGTTAATAGAGGAAAATTTTAGGTACCCCAGCATCTCCAAAATGTCTTTCTTGTGTTGCTTTCATCAATACCTAGTGGTAGTAAAAAAAAAAAAAAAAAAAAAAAAAAAAAAACTGGGTAACTCAAATACAAGCAATATAAATCAGCAAAGCTAAACTGGTTTCCACCAATATATACACACATATACATATATATGTAGATGTAGATACACATATGTGTATGTCTATATGTAGATATATAGATACACACAATGTTTGTGGCAGCATAAGCATATCTACATTTTACTTTCCCACTTTTGATTTAGATGAAGTCACAAGAAATGTTTATGTTTATTCCTAAACCCATTTTTCTACAAGGTGTAAGGAACACAACAATAAATATTAGGCTCAGGAACAAGCACAATCAGAAATCCTAGGAATTCTGTTGAATTAGAAATTGAGGGCACCATCTAAGAGGAAAGAAGTTGCTCACTTCTGAGCTGATTTCTGGCAGTCGAAGTTGCCAGAAAGGTAAGTGTTTGAAAAGTTCTCTTAGTTTTTAAGTGAAAACTACCTAATTGTCAAATATTTAAATTAATCTATTTTAACCCAGTATGGACCAGAAAACTGCATACCAGTCAAAACTCCTCCATGACACTCAGGCCACCTGTGTGCAATCACAAGTTGAGAGTATGTTTGTTTATGGTCAGTCACACCTATCTATCCATCACTAGAGGTTAAGAAAGACAATAAAAGTGTTTCCTCATTACAAGGCAAACAACAACAAAAAAATAACTTCCACTAAATAACGACTTTTGGGACCTGCTCAGGTCATATGTTAAAATTTTAAAACCAGAAATTCTATTTTTCCTTGTCTTTTTCGAGCAAAATTTGGAGCTGTTTGCCAACTAATTCTCTCTCTCCTCCTGATTGTGTTTCTTTTCCACATACTATGGGGAAGTTGTGCTGCTCTTTGTAGAGAGGAAGGAAGTAATAAGTCAAAGAAAGTGCGGTGTGAAAGAGCTTTGGGAAAATTATATAACTTAAATGAAATTGACACATTCCTAGAAAAACATAAACAAAATTGAATAAAAAATACATAATCTGAATGTATATCCAGCAAACACAGAAATGAAATAGTAGTTTCTAGTGAATTCTGCCAAATATTTAAATAATAATGAATACAAATTCTTCACAAACTCTTCTAAAAACATCAAGAGGAAATAATTTCCAACTTATTCTATGGGACAAATATTACCCTGACACAGATCAGACACCACAAGAAAACTACAAGATAATATCCCTCATGAATATAGATGCAAAATGCTAAACCAAATACAAGCCAATCAAATCCATCAACATTTCTAAAAAATTATACACCATATTTAAGTGGGATTTATACCAGAAATTCAAGGTTGGTTTAACATCTGAAAGGAATTTATCCAATACCCCACCCCATATGCAGTAAATAAAAGACAAAATCATATGATCACCTCAAGAGATGCAGAAAAAGCATTAGATAAAATCCAACAGCCTTTCATGATAAAAATGTCCATCAAACTAGGTATAAAACAGAACTTCCTCAATCTGATAAAAGTTATCTGTGGAAAATCCATAGTAAACAATATACATAGGAAGAAAGTCTGAGTGTTTTTCTGCTAAAATCAAGAATGGGACAAATACGTTTATTCTTGCCACTTCCATTTAACATTTTACTGGGTGTGCCTATCAAAGGAATATTAGGAGGAAAAAAGAACTAAAACTCATCTAGATAGGACATTCAGAAGTAAAATTATCTCTATTTGCAGATAACATGATCCTGTACTTAGAAAATTTTAAGAAATCTGTTAAAATTATTTGAACTAATAAATGAGTTTGGCAATGTGGCAGGATACGAGATCAATAAGCAAAAGCCAATTGTATTTATATATGTTTGCAATTAACATTCTAAAAACTAAAATTAAGGAAATAATTCTATTTATAGGAGTTAAACTGAAGAATAAAAACCCTGAGAATAATTTCATTAAGAGAAATGCAAAACTCTGAAACCTATATATCATTGTTAATGAAAATGAAATAACTAAATAAATGGAAGAACTAAATAAATAGAAAGACAGTCCATGTTCATGGATTGAAGGCAATACAGTTAAAATTTAATAAATTCTTAATATTATGAAATGGATAATTCTCAAATTGATCTACAGATTCAATACAATGTCTATCAAAATCCCAGCTGATTTATTTGCAGAAATTGACAAGCTAATTCTAAAATTTTATGGATGTTCCAGGAACCCAGGACTGTCAGAAACAATCCTAACAAAGAAGAACAAAGTTGGAGGTTCACATTTCCTAATTTCAAAACTTACTACCAAGGAACAATAATCAAGGCAGTACAGTGCTGGCATAAGCATGAAAATATTAACATAGCTTTATAAAAATAGAGATATAGATCAATGGAATGGGAATGAGTATCCAGAAATAAACCCTCACATGTATTATATAATTTGATTTTCAACAGGATTTCCAGGACAATTCAAAGGAGAGAAGAAAAGACTTTTGAAAATATGATGCTGGGCTCTCTGGATATCCACAATTTAAAAAATAAATACGTTTATATTTGTTCTTCACACAATCACAAAAATACAAAAATATACTCAGAATAGACCCTTTACCTAATAGTAAGAAAGAAAATTATAAAAGTCCAAAGGAAAACATAGGAGTGTATCTTTATAATCTTGGGTCAGACAATTGTTTGCTAGGTAAAATAAGAAAAAAACTATAGCAAAAGTAAAAATAGATCAACTGAACTTCATCAAAATATAAAACTTTACATGACAAAGGATACTTTGAAGAAAATGAAAAGGTAATCCACAAAATGAGAGTAAATATTTGTAAATCCTATATCTACATGTATCCAGAACATAAAATTATTTTTAAAACACTCACAACCGAAAAAGATAAATAATCCAATTAAAAATGGAAACATTAGAAAATATACAAATGGCAAATAATTACATGTGAAGATACTTAACATTATTAATCATCAGGGAAATGCAAATCAAAGCCACCAGCTCACACTCACTAGTATGATTTTAATTAAAAAAAAATAGACACAAAGTTTTAGTAGTAACATGCAGAAACTGGAATTTTCATATACTGCTGGTGGGGATGTCAAGTGGTACAATTTTCTTGATCCAGTATTATGATCACATCAGAGACACTACTGATTTTAGGAGTTTTGAAAATAATGAAATATAATTGGAAACAGTGTGGCCAGTAATTCCACTCATAGTTTTACACTTAAGAGAATTGAAAACCAGGTCCATTCAAAATCACATAAATATTTACAGCATCATTATTTATATTAGTCAAATAGTGGAACAACCCAAAGTCTATCAGCTGATTAATGGATAAACAAAATGTGCTACAATGGAATGTATCTGGTAGTAACAAGAAAACGGTCTAATACTATAATGTGCATGGAACTTGAAATCATTATGCTAAGCAAAAGAACCCACAATGAGATCACATGGACACAGGAAGGGGAATATCACACTCTGGGGACTGTGGTGGGGTCGGGGGAGGGGGGAGGGATAGCATTGGGAGATATACCTAATGCTAGATGACACGTTAGTGGGTGCAGCACACCAGCATGGCACATGTATACATATGTAACTAACCTGCACAATGTGCACATGTACCCTAAAACTTAGAGTATAATAAAAAAAAAAAAAAAAAGAACCCACAAAAGACCAACTGTATGACCAACACTATGTAAAATGTCCACAGAAGGCAAATCTTTAGAGATATAAAGTAGATTTGATGTTGCCAGGATTTGGGGGGAGGGGTAATCAGGACTGATTGCTTAATGGACATGGGGTTTTATATTAAGGGTGCTAAAGAGTTCTTAAATTGGACTATAGGGATGGCTGCACAGCTCTGTGAATACACAACAAACCACCGAACTGCAGACTTTTGGTGAATAGTATGGTGCATGATACTATAAAAGAATAAGACAGCTTTGGGAATAAAGATTTGGACAGGCCACTGTGTGATGGCCTCAAAGAGACAATATGTTGGCAGCTGCTTTTCAACATGAACTTAATTGTCATAAAATGACTCCCTGCACTGTCACATATGAAATGCAATGTGGAAGGGGAGCAAATTCCTGGTCCTAATCTCACTCTTGTAAATTGGGAAGATATTCCAAAGTTATTCAGAAATGAAGTCTGAGAGAAGGTAGATTTGGGTCAGTTGATGGTAATTTATTCCATTCATTCATTCACTCATCTTGTATTGCAAAGATTCTTGAAGTCTTTTATTAAATATTTCATTTATTTTTGAAATTCTTGTCAACAGTGTATCCTGAGGGTGCCAAAACTAAATACTAAATACTGTATCAAGAAAGTTTTGTAGTTGTAATTTGATTATCACATCTGTTTCATTTAATTTCTTCAGTAGGGATATTTATCATGTGTTTTGTCCTTTGTACCTACTATCCACTATCTCATATTTTTACTTGTCTTTTTTTCTTAGCATAATTTTCTCCATATCACTAACTCAATTTCCCCAATATTTCTTTTCTGCTTCCTGTTCTGTGAATGTACCTTTTTGCTTTACAAAATAATCAAATGTGTGCTTTTCAGTTCCGCAGTATTGATAATTTATATAAAATATGTTTCCTTCAAAAGAAAATCCTATCTGAGGTTATTTCCATTATCTGCTTCGCATGCCTCATGCTGCAGGTGCATGCTGGGTCACGGTGTGTTATTTCCTTCATCTGCATCACATGCCTGATACTATAGGTGCATGCTGGGTCATAGTGGAGTCAATGTTTCTGTCACTTTTGCTTCTTGACTTAACAGGTGAGCACAGCATCACTTACAAGCGCTCCCTGCCAGTCTGCTTCAGAACAAAATTAATTCCTCTCCCAGATTTAAGCTTAAGGGCAACAATCTCTCACGAAATTTCTTATCATTTATTGATAATTACAATGAACCGAGAATGAATTTGCTGTCACCACTGCTGCCTGGTCTCAGGATGACATGCAGGTAACTCATTCCTGGGAAACCTGAACCAGCTGTGCCTTCCCTGTGCCGGGAAATGCTTGTCCAGCAATCAGCCCTAGATGCCATTACTGCGGACAGTGTTGTCTTCGCCATTTTCCAAGTAGCATCAAGCCTCCATCTAGGGCCGATGCCCTGGGTGCTACCTGGAGCAAAAAACATGCCTCACATCCCCATTCATGAGTATTAGGTCAAAACTATAACAGGATTATGGAAAACAGAATAAGCCAGGAGGATTAGTAAAGTATTAACTATAAATATTCTAACTGATAAGGTCCATTTGTGGGTATAAATAATTATAGCCTGCCTTGTCATTCTAGAATTAAAGTCATAATTGTGTGTGTGTGTGTGTGTGTGTGTGTGTGTGTGTAATATTACAGAACTTATAAGCTCCCTTCTCCACAACTTCAATTTAATGTACTGACTATTTTAACAATGAGGCAAGACTTAGGAAATTGAATCATTCTTTGAGGTTGTGGCATTCATCCTTGAAATCCATTAGACATTAATACATAGACTTTCAGGGAGAACTAGCTATAATCCCTGCAGTTATGGAACAACACAATTGCCATCTGGTTTTCTCTGTCTCTGGTACTAAATCATCTCATTACCAGCAGAAACAGGCAAATTAAGAGAAAGTCTTCTCTGTAGTGTGACCAGATATATATCATCAGCATATCTTAAGGTTTTTACTGATCTTAGGATGGTAAGTACTTAACAAGTAAATGGGAGATTGAAAGAAAGGTCAGTAAATTATGATTAAAAAAAGAAAAGCATCCAGATTTCCCTTTAAAAATAATACAATATATGCCTTCCAACCTGCAAAAATAAAGAGTTAATGACTATTTTAAAAGGTGAATTTTCTCATTCTTTTTTTTTTTCTAAGAAAAGGGTGCCAACTTTTCCCTCTGACTTAGGACGGCATTTCCAGAATTAGGAATGATATAAAAAGAGTTATTGTACACCAATTTTATTGCATTTATTTTAATAATGTGCTTTCTCTCCAGGTTCAATAAAATGTGCACATCAAAATTGATAATGCATAGAACTGACAAAAAATTATGCTCACAATTTATAATTAAGTGTTGTTATGGACTGAATATCTGGGTCCTCCTAAAATTCCTAGATGATGTTGAAGCTCTAATCTGCAATGTGATGGTGTTAGGAGGTGGGGTCTTTGGGAGATTATTAGGTCATGGAGGTTGAGCCTCCTCATGTGATCTGTGCCCCTGTAATAGGAGAAAGAGGCAGGAGAGCTCCCCCACCACGAGAGGACACAGTGAGAAAGGGCCATCTGTGAACCCAGAAGCAGGCCCTCATCAGACACTGAAGCTACCAACTCCCAACACCTACATCTTGAATTTCTAGCCTCCAGAATCTGTTGAAGCCACCAGGTCTGTGGGATTTGGTTGCAGAGGCTTGGGCTGACTGAGATGCCTCTGGTGGAGCTCCTCCTCTGATTAGCACCTGCAAAGTACACAGCAAGGCCTCTCTGAGGCGGCTCCAGAGCCAGGCTCCAAGCAAACAGAGGAACTGAATGGCCATGGACGTCCAGCCCCTCTGATGGCAGTGAGAACCCATGAGCTCTTTGCCTTTAGTAAAGAATAGAAGGAAAAGATGGCAGCAATAAAAGCGGATTTTTAAAAGAAAGGTCAAAGGTTAGCAAAGGCATAAAGCTGCGTGTGAGTCAGAATAACCACAAAGGGGTCAGCAGCTGCTCCCAGCTCCTGGAGGAGCTCAGGGCAGGACACAGAGCGGAGCCGTGACTGGATGCCACCCCTGTCCTGGACCATGCAGCAGGGTCCCCTTGGCTTCCTTTCTCTATGCAGTAAACTGCATAACTTAGATTAAAATGACAAGCGCGTTGACAGAGTCCAACAGCCAAAGTTCACTTGAGAAGATACAGATAACCTGACTTGCCCTAAATCTAACAAAAGAATTGCATTATTTCCACAAAGAAGGGTCTAGTCTTAAGTCGCTTTACTGCTAGGTTATTTCAAAACCTTCTAAAATATAATAGGAGAGGGAACATGTTCCAACTCGTTTTATAATGCCAGAATTATCGAAAGCAAATATATTATGAGAGAAAATTGGGGATTATAAGCCTCATAAAGTTAACTGCAAATAGCTAACAAAATGAAGTCAGTAATTTTCAGCAGTGGATTAAAAGAAAAATACATAATCCCTATTGAGAGTTACACCAGTATTGCACGTTTACATAAACATTTGAAAATCAATGTGATACACCATATCAGACTACAAAACTAAAATCATATGAACATCACAATAGATGCAAAGTAAGTTTTCCACTAAATTCAACACAATTTAGGATTAAAAACCCTCAGCAAACTAGGAATGGAAACAGGGACCTTCTCAAACTGACAATCTACTGAGTGTGACAATTAATGGAGAAAAAGGGACTATTTATCCCTGAAATCAGGAACACCACTAGGATACTCCCCTCTCTTGTCTTTTTAACATTTTATTAGAGATCCTACCCAATGCAAGATGGAAGGAAAAAATAAAAAAGAAGTCATACGTTAGGGAGAAAGAAGTAACACTATCTTTATCCCAGATAACATGATTGCCTACATAGAAAATCTTGAATAATCTAAAAATAAAGCCAACAAAACTACTAAACAAGTTTGACAGTCACAAGATATAAAGAAAGTAAACAAAATCAGTTGAATTTATGTATGGTAACAATAGGAAATATTTGAAAACTGAAATTTAAAAAAATTACAATAAAATAAAGTATATGAACATTTAGTCATAAACTTAACAAAATATGTGCAAGACACATGCAACGAAAATTGTAAAACATGGCTGGTAGAATTCAAAGGAGATCTAAATAAGAAATGTATTATGTTCATAGATTGAAAAATTCAGTATTTTTGACATGTTTCACCAGTTGAGCTATATACACATAAAATCACAATTAAAATGGCACCAGGTGTTTTTGTAGAAATGGAGAAAGTGATTTTACATTTATATAAAAATGCAAAAAAAAAAATCCCATAAAATTGCGAATATACTTCCTAAAATGACCAGCAGGCACACTCCTGGGAGCTTAACCCAAGAGCAATGGAAATCGTGTCTATAGCGTCCACGTATGAACGCCCACAGCCACTTTATTCACAACTGCCTAAGCCTGGAAGCAATCAAAACACCCATCCACAGATGAAGGCTGAGCAGACTGTGGCACCTCAACCCAGGATAACACCCTATTGACCCCGCATCCTCACGGGTGAGTTTTGGAAGCATTGCGATAAGCCAAAGAAGTCTGAAAAAAGAAGCCAAAAAAAATCAAAACTCCACGTGGTAAAATTCTACTTATTTGACATCTGGAAAAGGCACAACAACTCTAGGGACACAGAACAGGCCAGTATGGCCAGGAGGGATGGGATGGGATTAACTGCAATGGACTCAGGGCCTCTGGGGTCATGAGTGTCTAATCTTGATCATAGTTGTGGCTCTATGATTACATCTGAGCATGGGCCTTGGGCGGCCACAGGCTCTCCCCACCTGAGTGTCCACGCCTCGGTCCCCCATGTCTTTGGTGTGACCTCTTGATGATGTCCCAAGAAAGCCTTGTTTCCTCTCAATGTTACAGGCTGGGAAAGATGCGTACTTCTTAAAGGAACGGAAAGTCAGTATGTGACTGCGTCCTGCCAAAGGGGCGGGAGGCTCCCCATGAGGTGATGAGGAGGAAGACGGGCTGTGGCGAGCAGGGCGAGGCTGAGGGCAGGAAGAAGCTGCATCTGGGCAGCCGAGCGGCCTGGAGAGGCCCACGTGGGGTGTCATCCTGGGCGCAGACCCAGGGGCTGGAACTGCCGGGCAGAAATGGAGCGGAGAGCGCTGGTGATGGGCAAGGCTGCGCGGCCTTCCTTCCACATCTCCAGAACCTTCTCCTCAGTCTTCTCCTCAGTAACCCTGTCCTTGTCTAGGAG
The DNA here is from genome assembly GCF_000001405.40 of Homo sapiens. Lineage (NCBI taxonomy): Eukaryota > Metazoa > Chordata > Mammalia > Primates > Hominidae > Homo > Homo sapiens. Next base: position 987,792 of record NC_000002.12, on the reverse strand, counting down.
GCCTCCCTTCATCTGCGGAGGCCCCATCAACCCTCCTGTCCTCCAGGCCTCTCTCCCCAGCCTCCCCTTGGTTTCCTAGAGCTGCTGAGACAAAGGACCACATATGCAGTGGCTTAAAGATGCAGATGTATTCGCTCACGGCTCTGGAACTCGGAAGTCCTGAAATCGAGGCGTCAGAAGGGCTGCTCGGCTTTCAGAGTTCTCGGGAGAATCTTCCCTTGCTTTCTCCAGCCGCTAGAGACGCTGGAGTCCCCTGGCTCCAGGCACTTAACCGCGAACCTCTCCTTCCATCCTCACCTCTCCTCTGACGCTGACAATCCTGCCCCTACTGTAAAGGCCCCCGTGACACACTGGCCACAAGATCATCCCAGAAGGTCTCCACCCCAGGAGACTTCACAGACCCACCTCTGCGGAAGCTCTTGCTGCCTAAGGTCCAGTGTTCACAGTTCAGGATCAGGACGCCGACATCCATGGGGACCATCTCTGCCCACCACACCTGCAGTGTGCCATTCTCCTGCTGGCTTTAACCCAGCGCAGTCTAGCCTCACCTCTCCTTCTCAGTCCTGGCACAACCATCCCAGGCTCCAAAAGCTCCATCTCCTCTAAGTTCCTACAGCGTTTCCGGGACCTGACTGCATTCCACCTTTTATCACCTCCTGCCACTTCAGGGATGTTTTCCTGCCCAGGCAGATGGCAACCACCTGGAGGATAGAGGCTGTGTTTTCTAGAACTTTTGCATTTCCCAAAGCACCCAGCACATGCTAAGGACATGAGCAACACTTCAAACACATGTGTCTGAAAATTATTTGTAAAAACATATATAACGATAATCGAATGTGTTACTCAAATATAAAATAGCTGCAAGTATTCCCATTTTAATCTAAAAAGCTATTGAGAATATTCTATAAAATTTAGCCCGTAGTTATGTACTCTAAAATTGCTAAGTATTTATTGGTTTTTCTAATATGTTCTATTTTTCTGTATTGCCAAGGACATTTTCTTTAAACAACACAATCTGTGCTTTGATTAGAACACTGCTACATTTTATCTTTTCTACTAAAAGAACGAACCCTCTATTTAAGGTAGAAAAAAATGTTCCACTTGCTAAGAAAGCAATCTTGCCTAGACATTTCACAGAATCTCCGATAGTCTTTAAGGAGGTAGAGGCTATTAAATACAATGTGAGCATCAGGCTCAGCCACTGGTATGCCGATCCTTCTTAGGGGATCCTGAGCTGTCCAGAAGGTTCCAAATGTGTCTTATCTGAAATCTTCCCTTTTTAACTAACCATGACAACCTCATTCACAACATCTGTCCATTCCTACATGGGAAGTCCTATTTAGGTAAATCAGCATTATCTGTTAGTCTAGTTCAACTCACGTCAAGGGGCATTTTTTCAAATGTTAAAAATGAAAACAGAAACCTGATTCCAGGTGAGATTTTCTCTTCTCTAAAGGGTAAAGTTACCTTTGTCATTGCATCCCAAACAACCCTGGTAGAGCGTGTGAGAAGGAGGTCTGGGAGGCCACCCCAGGGGCCACAACTCTGCTCAGGCCATGAGAGTACAGGGGCCATCCCGGCCATGTCCCCAAATGAGCTGCCTGTGCTCAGTGCTTCCCCAGCCCCCCATGCAAGACTGTGTGAAAGGAAAATTGATACTCAGCACATGGGAAATCCTCTGATCTCTCTCTCTCTCTCTCTCTCTCTCTCTCTCTCTCTCTCTCTATTATTTGCAGGGAATGTATTTTTCCCTGTAAATAGTAAAAAGAAATAAATAAAATACAAATCCCTCTCCCCTCTTCCTTTCTGAGCTTTGCTTCTCAGAAAAATAAAATAAAAATAGGTTGGGTCTCCAAACACAGTACTTTTCTTCCACATATTGTCTCTTTCTTGTCCATGAAACTGTGATAACACTTGGCTGTCTCAATATTAATCATTCTTGCAATAAAATTAAAGTTAAGAGGATTCACGTGATAAAGGAGAAACATTTACGCCAACTGAAAGCAGCTAGGATAAAAAGCCAACCAGCGTCGGCTTCCTTTAGGTGAAACTGCTCTCAGACGGTCCTATCAGAAGACGGGTTACTTACCAACTTGTGTAGGCAAGAATACCATAAAATCAACCACAGAGAATGCTAGATTTCTGACTGAAGGCCTGAGATATCAGTTTACCAGCATCTGTTTCTCTCTGAAAATTATCCTGTGCATATCCCCCAAAGTTAAAAAGCAAAATGGCCTTGGTTTGAGGATTAGATCCTCCCAGGGTGTCTCTGCCTGGCCCAGCAGAGGGGGAGCTGGGGAGCTGCAGGCCCTCTTATTCCTAGCAGGGCCCCTCAGCTTAATTTGAGGGTCTGGTTTTTCCACTTCCTAGGAAAGAAAAAAGACACATCCCTGAGCTCACACAAACCCTTCTATTTTAGAGGAAGAAAATATCTTAATTACAGAAGTTGCTCTAGCATGAAACGTTTTCTCACCAGTTTCTAAATTTGCCAAAAAAAAAAATCAACTTGTCTTTCTGTTTAATGGCTGCAGGCACATGCATTTCCGTCGCTTTTCTTTGATGGAACCCGATATAAATTCAGCAGGAAAAGCTCTTCCTGGAGGGGAGTCCGTGCTGTTTTCTTTAGGAGGGAGTGGCGTGTGGTCTGCAGAAGCCACATTATGTCTAAGAATGAGAGTGATATATATTTGCTTTTCAGGCAACACTTGATGATCGGATTTTGTCTTCACAAATTGAGGTGATTGTTTTTGGGGAAAAAAATGGACATATAATATGCTTCTGCACAGAAAAACTCCCCCAGCAAATTGTGCAGCCTAGAACTGTCTTTTCTAGTGTTACTGAAGAAAACTATGTAAAAGAAACAAATAGGTTCATGTCAATCCTTGTTAAATTCTGATTGATAATAAAACTTCTACTGTGCCCCAATAAAATAAGCATTAGACTTGAAGACCTAAGGTCTGGGTTCAGGAACTGAGAAGTGGGTGCTTCCCTCCCCGTGGAGCTGACGCAGCACCTGGACGTCTGTTACCCTCGTCTTCCCCGCTGAGAACACACTGACTTCTTTAGCACTGTCCTGAGTCACGGAGCTAAGGCAGTGCCCTCATGGAGGCCGCTGATGATGGCAGGATGTGCCAAGTGAAGGAGCAATTTCAGGACGGCAGGGCCACAGCTGACCTCATGGCGCTCAGGACAGACAGGTGAGGCCACAGAGTGGGGAACCAGAAGCAGTCAGAGTGCACCAAAGGGACCAGGGAGGACGAGAGGGGATGGGAGAGGGTAGATGGCATTTAGCAGAGAGCAAGGAAGCACCGAGTATCTTCTACCCAGCAAACAGCACAGAGCTCCTGCTTGGACCGTGGAGAAATGAGTGAAATGAAAAAGCCTCATGCTGGAAGATTTGAGCCTCCTTCCCTTGGTAGAAGAAACACGCACTTCCCATTTCCATCACCAACCAGAGAGGAGATTTTGCCCTTTGTTTTCATTTTATCTTAATTAACTGCATGAAAGTGTGCTATTAAAAAAAAAAAAAAAAAGCTTTGTTTCTTTTGGGTAAAAGTGGGAAGGCTGTTCGAAATAAGTGAGGCTTATTTTTCTTCTCCAAAAGTGCATCTGGTTTGTACAAGAACCCCAGGGTAAAGTGTGATTCAATAGCGTCACCTCTGCAATGCCAAGCAGCCGAGGGATGTGTGGCTCACAGAGCTCCTGCCACCTGGCCCCTCAGCAATGGGGCAGCTTGGTGCCACCGCCCCTCTCTGCAGCCCTTCAACAAAGGGGTGTGCCCACAGCTCTTTCAGACACAGTCTGGCCTCCTCTTGACACTGACCCTCAGGGACACAGGGACACAGACATCTCAGAGGCCATGCTGTGTGGAGCCCGACTTCTCCCAAGTGGCAATGGCCAGGTGAGTTCTGCACCCACCTCTGCCCTCTGAACACCCTCATCCCTCCTCCCATTCCTCAGTGATTCTCCAGGCTCCATGGTGGAGGGTGCCCACAAGTGAGAAGTATGTCTTGATCTTTTAATCTCCCTCTACTCAATATATTCTGGACCAATTTCTAAGAAAACTGGTACCTACAACACTTTAAATCCAACCAGGGACATGAATCAAGACTGAAGGTCAGCGTACACTTAGGAGCTCAGAGTTCATCCTGGGGCAACGGGAGCCACTGAGTGCAGAACAGGAGAAGGGCAGGTGGGCTGGAGGCTGCAAACACGATTCTGGCCCCAGGGCGGAGAGTGACTATTTCGGAGGGTTAGATCTGGGACACCTGCTTCGCAGCCCCCCTGAAAGTCATGCAGGAGGCACCAAGTTGGGCAGGAAGGGTGGGAGGCAGCACCTGATTAAATCAGAGCGTGATGATAGATGGGGCAGCCTGACCACCACCTCTGCAGCTTCTGCTAAAGAGCCTCTGCTTCATCCCGACCTCCACCTCTGCAACTTCTTCATCCCGACTTCCACCTCTGCAGCTTCTTCATCCTGACCACCACCTCCGCAGCTTCTATGGAAGAGAGCCTCTGCTTCATCCCAACCTCCACCTCTGCAACTTCTTCATCCCAACCTCCACCTCTGCAGCTTCTGCATCCTGACCACCACCTCTGCAGCTTCTGCTAAAAAGCCTCTGCTTCATCACGACCTCCACCTCCGCAGCTTCTTCATCCTGACCACCACTTCCACAACTTCTACAGAAGAGAGCCTCTGCTTCATCCCAACCTCCACCTCTGCAACTTCTTCATCCTGACACCACCTCTGCAGCTTCTTCATCCTGACATCACCTCTGCAGCTTCTTCATCCTGACCACCACCCCTGCAGCTTCTGCTTCATCCTGACCACTACCTCCGCAGCTTCTATGGAAGAGAGCCTCTGCTTCATCCTGACCATTTGTTGCACAGATTCCCCCTCCTTGGGATGGGGTTTTAGTGTCTCACAGTTTCCTCCAGGCACAGTCTCTGCACCTTGGGACTTCCATTCTAGGCGAGGCTCAGTTACAAAGTGACCAAGTCCACAATCAGTGTTGAATGAGGGCCACGGTCAATACTAACCCGAGGTGCTGAGTGAGCACAAGAGAAGAGATAGCTGCCCAGGCACAGTGACAGGGGCCCTGCCCACGGGAGTCCTGTCCACGCTGCTTCTTTCAGAAACCCACTGCATGCACGCTGACTTTAATATGAAGGGTGTTCATGGTATTAGTCTCACAATCTGAAGATGTTTTTGATTGGAATCACATTTCGTATTTTACATTAGTGCATTACTAACTACTCAACTTTACTCACAACCAGGAGGGAACAGGAACACAAAAAACCTAGAAAAGCAACCTGCAGAGTCTCCGGTGTTTTCACCCCTGCAGTAGGGATAGAGGAGGTGGGGCTGGGACATGCCCGTGTCCTCCGTGTACCGAGGGGGTGTGCAGGGAGCATCCAGATTAATAGGGCACATCTTTGAAACACCAATTATTCTCAAAGAAAAAGTGTGGAACGTGAATTCCTCTAACTGGTAACTGTAAGGCTTACTTTATATTAAAACAATGTATACACTGTGAAGGACACTGCAAGTTTTTGCATCATTAAAAAAAATAAAACTCAAGAAAACAAGGAGAGCAGGATTCTATTTAGGGCTTTGCCAACACAGGTGAGTGACTTAATAAATTTATGGAAAGACCAAGATTCAGGTTTGAAGACAGCTGTTAAAAGAGATTAGCAGCCAAAGAAAAAGCCTGGAGATGCATGTGTGTGGGTGTGGACATGTGTGTGCACAAGTGCTTGTGAGTGTGTGTCTGTGTGCATCTGTGTGGACACGTGTGTGCACAAGTGCATGTGAGTGTGCATCTGTGTACATCTGTGTGGACATGTGTGTTCATGTGCATGTGAGTGTGCATCTGTGTGGGGCATGTGTGTGCACAAACGCATGTGAATGTATATCTGTGTGCATCTGTGTGGACGTGTGTGTTCACGTGCATGCATGGGCATTTGTGTGTGCATAGTTTCATGTGCATGGTATACATGTCTGCTTGCAAGTGTGGGGGCATGTGTGTACTCATGTTCATGTAGGGACATGCATTAATGTGCATGTGTGTACGACTTGTTTGTGTGTGCATGTGTATATGTGTGCACTCACATGTATGCAGGTCTGTGTTCATGTGCATGTATGAGCACACGTCTGTGCACCTGTGTGTATATGCATATGTGCATATGTGTGGGCACAGGCATGTCCTTGAATACGTATGTGTGTGCAGGCATGTGTGTGTGCATGTGTGTGCTCATGAGTTTGGAACATGTGTGAGTGCTTGCATGTGTAGGACACATGTGCACTCATGTGCATGTGTGAGCATGTGTGCATATGCATTTGTGTGTTGTGCATGTGTGTGCACATGTGCTTGTGGAAGTGTGTGTCTGCACATGCATGCGTTTGTATACTTTTGTGTGTACATGCATGTGTGTGCATGCCTGGAAACAGCAACATTATATACTACAATGGAAAGCATATTTCATGTGAATCAACAGGGCCCAGCCTGGAAATCACCCAAACCACTGCCATTTGCTTGATGAAGCTGCTGAGCCTTGAGGAGAACAGGCAGCTATTTGTTCACATATTTTGTCCCTTGCTCAAAGTCACACTCCTGTTAGATACAAACACCTTGATCATGAAAAGCAAAGCTACAATAGAATGAGTCTGAACAGTAGTAAAAATGGTACCTGAGAAGCATGCTGGAGGGTGGTTCATATTTCAAATTCAGGACACAGCCTGCCAAGATTCAAATTTCAGTCCTGAACATCACCAGCTCTAACCTTGGGCTACTCATTTAACTTCTTATTGCCTAAGTTTCCCTATAAGTAAAATAAGAAAAATAATAGGGCTAGGTAATTGGGCTGTCATGATGATTAAGAAGTCAGAATTTACGAGGTCCTAGGTATCTGGAACGTAGTACTGACAGCATGGATGGGGAAAAGAAGCTACTATCCTTTATTATCTAACCCGTTAATGTCTTTCAAGGAAAATGAAAAGTATTTCTTTTTTGTCATGTCAAATATTAAAACAAGGTTTCATCACATCCCTTTTTAAAAGAACATATATAAATGTGTGTGTGTGTGTGTGTGTGTGTACATGTGTCTATAAACACTAGGCCTATCCCCTTATAATAATATACTTACACATACTGGATGGCTTGTATGAAGCTAAAATTTCAGATAAGCATCAGGTAGTAAAATGTGAGCTCTGTAGAAATCATTGTATTCTTGGTAAAATAAGTGATAAACCAAAAGTTCACTGTCTCTTAAATTTAAAATGAAACAAGATGAAAACGTGAATGTTGTCATCCAAAATGTATTGTTTTCTGTATTCCTGGCAGAGTCCCAATGACTTAGAAATACCATATTTCCTTCTAGTACTATCTTCCACACAGATCCATAGGAAACAGAATCGTTGTATGAATTATTCATCATCAGCTGTTTTAGTTTACTCAAGGATGCTTATTCTTTCTCGTGTTTACTAGGAAACTCTCCTCTCCCACCTGCTCACCTTTAAAGAGGAGGCCCAGGACCGAGTTGTAACTGAGCACTGGATCCTAACATGTAACTGTAACATACAACTGTACCTGGACCCTAACATGAATACACAGCACTTGTTTAGATGGCTGTGTGATGAAGAATTAACTATAAGGAGGATGGTAATTTGGAATTCTGTATTTGAGCTCAGCTTGAATTCAAACAAGTCACATGGAAGTCATAGATACTCTCTGGCATAAAATTTTATATAAAATAACCTATCTTCTAAAAGATTTCATCCATTAAAAATTTTGAATAAAAATTTACTTACTTTTTGTGTTTGTTTTTATATACTTAATTATTTATATACTTAATTATTAACAAAATGTGGCATAATTCTTTCATAATGTATTTAACATAACTTAAATTATAATCTCTATAAACTTTGGCAATAACTTTGTTACAAGGTGTTAGTTCTCTGTGGACATTCAATGTGTTAGAAAGTTGCAAATATGCCACTAAGAGTTAAAAGATCTTAAAATGGAAAATCACTCCACTGTAGCAGCTGTTTGAAAGAAACCCACACATTTGCATAAGTAGGGCTGATTTGTTCCCGGTCTTGAGAAAAGCAAATGTCTTTTTAAAGGAGAGCAGAAAAAGACCAGAGACAATGAAGCAACTTTCCTAAAACCACTTTTGGGGAGCATATTCCTTAGCAACAAAGCCACGGGGCGAGTTTAGGACACCTCCCAGCTTCCCAAAAGGCCAAAAGGACAGGTCACCGAGAGGAGCTGTGTGGTAAAAACCACAAAGATACATGGTGACCAACATGGCCAGCAAGGCTGGGCACAGCCCGACGGGCAAGCTCCCATTCCTCCTTCAAACCCCACCCTGCCTTCCGGGGATGCCTATGAGGCCATTTGTGCAGCATTTGTACCTAAATGCTACCTTCTTACTTAATCAATTATCTCCTTGAATTCTTCATTGCACCAGCACGGCAGAGCACTGTTAAATACTGGGGAATGCTGCAAACTGGTAATGAAACCACTGATGCCTGAAGCAGCCACTATAGATGTATTTATACCACAGAAATCAGCTTTCACCACAAACCAGGTCAATACCCCCCCAACCCAAAAGCCAGTATACCAGCTGTCCACCAAGGCCATGGTAATATTTTCATTTCAATTTCCATTTGATTTTCATTTCAATTTCCATTTGATTTCCATTTTCCTTTCATTGAAATTGAATTTAATGTCACTTCAATGCTCCCTAGGAGATTGCGATTAAGAAGAGCAGGGCCTTGGTTTACACACATCCAATCCTCAACGCAGGGAGCCTGCAACACACCAAGTGCTCATTTTTTAAAATGAATACATAATATTCAGCAATCTGACTTAAAATTATCAACAGGTTCATCCTTATAAATGACTTTATGGATGAGGACATTCTAGCCCAAATAAGCTAAGGGACTTTCCCAGGTTCATACACTTGATTAGTGAGAACATGAGACTAAGACTCAGCCATCTTCTCATTGCGAGACTTACCTGTACTCAGAATTTCAGAACTCCTTTTGTGCATAAGACATCCGCTTATTGCACACATTAAAATATCCTCATAGGTCAGAAAATATATATTTTAAAAGTCATTTCTAACAGCTTTCAGCCCCGGTTAGCAAATTGTATGAGTGGCTACCATGAATCACAGGGGCAGAAGGCTTCAGCAAACGTGGGGGAAATACCACCTAGAAGGTTGAATCTTATTACTTGATAAGCGGAGAATTAAAAACAAGACAGGGAAAATTTATACCTCCTTAAGTTTATGGCATCCCCCAAAATTCCTTTTTATTTAATTTTTGAGATATGTTCCTTGTTGGATAATAATTAAAGTTTTGGATCTGGTCTCTGAAAAATATCAGATGACATTTACCAACTAAACTTGAATGAAAAGTAATAATTTCTAATTCTGGAAAAAAGAACGTTGAATAATGCCTGAATCACTTTTACTAATGTACTTTTCTCCACTATTTTCCACGTATACTGAGCTATGATAAAGTGTGGGAACAGACACCCCAACTCCCCATCACTCCCGCATCATCCTGCACCACGAGCTGCATCTCCCAGCTCAGCAAGGGCACTCCAGGCCCCTCACTGTGACCTTTGCCCCCTCTCGCCTTCACTGGCCAGAGGCAATCACTCATCAAGTTGGGTGGATTCGCCCATGTTGGGTATGTCTCCATCCCATGCTTCAATGGGGTCACACACAATAAACAAGGAAACAAGTATGAATAAATATACAAGAGAAGTACTGATTTTGATAACCTTCATGAAATCAATACGTAGGCTGATGTTACAGATAATGACAGCGATCTTACATGAGGTCTTCCAAGAAGGCCATTCTCAGAAACCAGTGAGCTGAGATGAAAGAGATGAGATCAGTTACTTGAAGAGGAGTAGGTGGCACGAGGCGGGAAGGCTCTGCCATCCTCAGAAAACAGAGCGGAGATTGTGGAGGGCGGAAATGAGGTTATGGAAGAACCACATGGCCGTGACGTTGGCAACGCAGGCAGGTCCTGATCTCGGTAAGGTCTAGTTAAGGTGAGGCACAGTGAGGCTCTGATCCCATCCTAGAAGCAATGAGTAGCTGTCGATGAGTTTAAACCACCAAGGGGATGAGACCTGACTTACGACTCACAGGCAAGATGGACCATTGAGCGACAGAGATGGCAAAGGTTCCCAAGTGGGAGGGAAGCTGTCGGTTATTTTATTAACTAGTGCAAGTGCAGGATACGGTGCCTTAAAACAGGGTGGAGGCAGCGGGTCAGGGGAAGGTGAGGCAGAGGACTGGGTGGTGAAGAAGGAGCTTAAGAGATAATGGGGAATCAGTTAAATCCAGCGAACTTTCCCACAGCAGACTCAAAGCAGGCCGTGGGCACAGGGGCCTCCTGCCACCATTCACGCTGCTCCCTGGACCACCTTCACAGACATTACCAGGCAGGCACCTTTACTAACATGTTTGAAAATCTTCTAACGCAGGGCAAATAAGCCATAACAAGAAAAGTACAATGGTTTCTTACATAATATTGCACATAAAATAAAACTAGGACAATCCGTTGTCTCTGGATTATATATACTTACAGCGTGTACTGCCTGTCAGTGATAGGAACAGGCTCTCCCACAACTGCTCTTTTCTTCAGAGAAGAACCTGCGGCTTCCTGGATCACCTACATTAACAGTGAATGGTGGCAGGAGGAAGCTAGGAAGGCCGTGCAGAGAGCAGGCATATACGATGGTGTCTGCCAGGTGGGGCTGCCACCTCCAATCCTTGAGAAATCCCACAAGACCCTTGGCCTTACCCACCAGCAGACCAGCAGCCTGGTGCTCCCCATGGCCTCCACTCGCCTTGGCTGAGGCTGCCTCTGGAGAGCTGCTGGGTAAACTGAGCAAATCTGGAAGATGGGGGAGGGGGTGTGGCAGGAGTGGAAGCAGTAAGGCAGGGAGGGAGACGGATGGGGGTTCTTGAGTGGGGGTTGCACAGACCTGCTCATCTGCTCAGAAGAGGAGCTCAGAGGGGCAGAGGACAGGGCTGGGGAGTGGACAGCAGGTGCCACCAGGATTGTAAATGTGTAGGGATGACATTACTGAACAACACTCATCACTGATGTGTTCCGAAATGGGTGATAGAAGATGCGCTATTTTAGCTTTAAGCAAACCTTGAAGAGCACCAGAGCCCCCGTGCACACCGGAGCACTGTCATGCTTCTGCTCTCAGGCAAAACTCGGAGAAGAGCTCAGGCTGATAAAGGAGGAAAGAAGAAACAAGGACAGGGAGGTGGGGACGGAGCAGGGGAAGCAAGAACAATCGCTGGCTTCCACATTTACTAACAAGGCCTTGGACTCCACCTCTCAATCATTCCAAAGACAATGTACACATAGAGAACCACTCAAGCTCATCACAACATCGATATGTCACAGCGTGCTGGCTCGTGTTTCTCTTCCTCCCCAGCTTCAAACCTTCACAACTCAAAATACCACTCAAACACAAATGTTATTTCATGATAAAATTTTACAGAATTGATAGAACTTTCCACTTCAAAAGATCCATAATTTTTCTATTTACCTTGAATATGAATTGCTTCTAATTATTCTGTTGATAAGCACACCACAAACTCCAGATTCATCGCCTTGTATCCTTCAAATACATTTCATCCAACTCTTCAAATGCATTCTAAGCCACAGGTTTCTCTTCTCTGAAGAAAAGAGCAGTTGTGGGAGACCCTGTTCCTATCACTGGCAGGCACTATGCGCCATAATTATACGTAACCAAGAGACAACAGACTGTCCTGATGTTGTCTTATGTGCAATATTATCTAAGAAGCCATTGTACTTTTCTTGTTTTGGCTTATTTGTCCAGTATCAGAAGATTTTCATAACACATTAATAAAGGTTACTGTCTGGTAAAGTAACATCTTGAAAGAGATCTTGGGGAATAAACACAGTAATAATAGCTATATGGACATATATCAATAGCTTTTGTTATCAACACATTTATTTAAAAAGTTACATAGCTAAACTCACAATTTACTAAATACATTCAGGATGAACACACAATTAATTCCAGTCTTCAATTATGCTTAGATTTTTTTGTTTAAAACACAGTAGGTATTTTTTGTCAAACATTAAGCTGTATGTGGTGTAGGCGGATGGGTGGGTAGGTATGTAGAGGGTTCTGTTTTGGGTTTGTATTTTCTTGGCTTATTCCTTAATTAATCTTTAGAGCTTATTATATAGTAGATGTCAATGTACTCAATACTCCTTGCCCCAGAGACTTTCTCCTGCAAATCTCCTAAGAGTCACAGGGGAACTGTTGCTGTTTGCTCATGGATGTGAGTGGGTCCAAGTGTGTGGTGTGGTTTGCTCACAAGTGTGAGTGCAAGCACGTGTTGTTTGCTCACAGGTGTGAGTCCAAGCATGTGGTGTTTGCTCATGGGTGTAAGTGCAAATGTATAGTGTTTGCTCACAGGTGTGAGTCCAAGCGTGTGGTGTTTGCTCATGGGTGTGAGTGCAAGCATGTGGTGTTTGCTCACAGGTGTGAGTCCAAGCGTGTGGTGTTTGCTCAGGGGTGTGAGTGCAAGCACATGGTGTTTGCTTCCAAGTGTGAGTGGAAGGGTGTGGTGTTATTGCTCACGGGTGTTAGTGCAAGTGTGTGGTGTGGTTTGTTCATGGGTGTGAGTGGGTGCAAGCGCATGTTGTTTGCTCCTGGGTGTGAGTGAGTGCAAGTGTGTGTGTGATATCCATGTGTATGTTTCACCTTCTTCATGCACTCTCTGTTTCAAATGACCTAATGTGCAGAATTAATAAAATACAAGGGCAGAAAATTAGGATAGATGAGATTTTATTTTTTGTTTAGTTTGGGGTATATATGTAGAATACATAAAGCCATGAGAAGGCATAGTGTCTACCCTAACCACAGAGAATGTCAGAGAGTGTAAAAGCACAAATTAACTTGAACCCACCAGAACTATGGCTTCAAGGCAACAAAGTGAACTACATTCCAGAGAGTAAAAAGTCCCTCTGAATGGAGACAGGATTGAAAGACTTCACGATTGGCAGAGCTCCAGAGTAGGAAATGCTGCCAAAAAACAAGCTGGGAGGAAGCCAGCAACATTTTAGAAACTTCAGCTGATAAGACACCTTTGAAAACCTAGAGCTTCATGAATGATTCAGAAAATCTCCCTCCCTCACCAGCAGCCTCGACAGGTCCAGCAAAGACTGAGGCAGGGAGGACACCCAAGGAAACCAGTGTCCAGCTCCTGCATGCAGGGGTCACTTATGCACTGATGCCCTAACGCTCACCCCAGGGTCAAACTGACAGGGCTGCCTGGAAAAGAGGCAGGATCAGGAAAACCAAGCAGTGCCTTACCACGGCCAGGTAACGGGTGCAGCTTCCTGTGGGGGAACACTCGTGGGGAGGCCCTGTCCTTCTGCCCCCAGGCTTGGGGTCCTGCTACACCATGTGGAGCATGAACATGGGGCAAAGCTCTCCAGCGCCATGGCTCATGAGCCCACAGAAGGAGCAGCCCACCTCGGAGGATGTGAGGCTTGTGGTCTCTGAAGGTGACTTCTAAGGGGATGACAACAACGAAGATCAACCACCCAGCTCAACTCAACACTCTCGGTAACATCCGGCCAAAGAAGAGGCCACCACTTCCTTCTTTCTTAGTTTTATAAGCTAAAAAAACCAAAAATAACCATAAATAAATAAATCCATTTTCAGGAAATGAAGCCATCACAGAGACAGGCCCAGGGATAACACTGGTCCTGAGATACCAGACAGAAATTTCAAAATGACTGAGATTTGGATGTTCAAGTGTGTAAGAGACGAGTTTAATGAAACACATGGACAGATGGAAAATCTGAGCAAAAAAAGCTGAAAACCTAGACATTTAAAAGACAAAACTAAATGAATGAAAGCAATACAGAGCATCAGCATGAATCCCTTCCATGGGGCTTGCTAGACAACTGGACACAGCGGAGGAAAGAATAAAGACACCTGAGGACAAATCAAAATAAGGTATAAAAACTGAAACACAACAAAAATGAAAAAGGAAGAACAGAAAGAACATATCAGAGCTGTGGGAAAATCAGAAACTCAGTAACAGGCAGTTACAGTTCTAGAAAGAGAGGAGAAAAAGAAAAAGGCAGAGGCATGTTCAAAGAGTTAATAATAAAGAGTTCCAAAATTAGTAAAAAACAACTATATCCAAGTAAAAAAAAATATATATATATACATGTATATACACACACACCCCCAAGAAGCCCAGAGAATCCCAAACAGGTTAATACGCCCGTCCCTCAATGGCAAAAACTCAACAAAACAAAACAAAACCTCAACCTTACACTCAACTCCAGAAAGCCAAAGGTAAAGAAAACTCCCTGAAAGTAGTTGAAACAAAAAACACTGAAAAAACTTTCAATCCAGAAATCCATACTCAGCAAAAATAACTTTCATAAAATGTAGGGAAATTTACCTAAATATGCCTTCAGAACAACAAAAGCTGAGAGAATTCACTGGCAACAGATCAGCATCACAAGAAATGCTAAAGGATGTTCTCCAGGAAGAACTGTGATGTCAGACAGAAATACGGATTAAATAAAGGGATAAAGGACAGTATATCAAAAAGAGGATTGTTTTTAATTTGCTATAAGAATTACTGATCATTGAAATCAAACAAAGAATGTACTAGAGTTTCCTAAAAACATGGAAGCAAAACATATGCTAACTAGAGCAAAATATGAGAGGTAAGAAATATATGTAAATGTTACAAGACACTAAAATGGTATACTGTCACATAGTAGTAGATACTTGTATTAGTCTGTTCTCAAATTGCTATAAATACCTGAGACTGAGTAATTTATAAAGAAAAGAGGTTTAATTGGCTCACAGTTCTGCAGGCTGTACAGGAAGCATAGTGGCTTCTGCTTCTGGGGAGGCCTCAGGGAGCTTCCAATCATGGTGGAAGACAAAGTGGGAGCAAGAGGTCATATATGGTGGGAGCAAGAGTAAAGGGGTGGGGTTGCTACACACTGTTACACAACCAGATCTCATGAGAACTCACTCACTATCAGGAGGACAGTACCAAGGGGATGGTGCCAAACCATCCATGAGAAATCCACACCCACGATCCAATCACTTCCCACCAGGCTCCACCTCCAATATTATGATGATGATCCGACATGAGATTTGGGTGGGGACACAGATCCAAACTGTATCAATAGTGTCAAGTGGAAGATGTATATTATAACACATCATCTGTAACTCCTGCTGTTTTTTCTGTTTGCTTGTTAGATGTGTAAAAAAAAGCAGGAGTTACTACTCTAATTTTGGACAAAACAGAATTTAAACCAACGACAATCAAAGAAGACAAAGAAGGACCTCATACAATGGTAAAGGGTTCACATCAAGGAGACTTAACTATGCTAAATGTGTATGGACTCAACACAGGAGCACCCAGATTCATAAAACACGTACTTAGAAACTTATGAGGAGACTAAGTACAGTAAGAGTGGGAGACTTTAACACCACACTGGTAGTATTAGAAAGAGCATGAAGGCCAAAAACTAGAGAGACATTTGGGACCAGAACTTAGTATTTGACCAAATAAACCTAATAGATATCTACAGAGCTCTATACCCCCAAACAACAGAATATACATTATTCTCATCTGCACATATTAGAAACTCTAAAATCAACCACACAATAGACCATAAAACAATTCTCAGCAAATTAAAAAAGAATATCAACCACATTCTTTGACCACAATAAAAATAGAAATCAATAACAAGAAAATCACTCAAAACTATACATGGAAATTAAACAACCTGCTCCTGAATGTCTTCTAAGTAAACAAAGAAAGTAAGGCAGAAATAAAAAATTATTTGAAACTAATGAGAACAAAGATACAACATACCAGAATCTCTGGAACACACCTAAAGCAGTATTAAGACAAAAGTTTATAGTGCTGAACACCCATATCAAAAAGTTAAAAAAGACCTCCAATTAACAACCTAACATCATATCTTAAGGAATGAGAAAAAAAAAAAGGAGGAAACTGACCCCAAAGCTAGCAGAAGAAAAGAAACAAAATTAGAGTTGAACTGAATGCAATGGAAACACACATGAAAAAACATACAAAAGATTAGCAAAACCACAAATTTGCTCTTTAAAAAAATAAATAAGATGGATATACTGCTAGCCAGACTAATTTAAAAAAAGAGAAAAGATCTAAATAAAAACAATCAGAAATGACAAAAAAGACATTACCACTGACCCCACAGAAATACAAAAAAAGAGACTATTATGAACACCTCTATGAACACAAACTAAAAAACCTAAAAGAAATGAATAAATTCCTAGAAACATACAACTTTCCAAGGGAGAACCAGTAAGAAATTCAAATGCTGAACAGACCAGTAACATAACAAGTTCCAAAATTAAATCAGTGATAAAAAAACAAACAAACAATAAAAGCCTATCAACCAGAAAATCCCCAGGACCAGACAAATTCACAAACAAATTCACAGACAAGTCAAGAAAAGCTGGTATCATTCCTAATGAAACTATTCCAAAACATTGCAGAAGAAGGATTCCTCCATAACTCATTCTAGGAAGCCAGCATCATTCCAATACCAACAGACATAACCAAAAAAAGGAAACTTCAGGCCAATCTCCTTGATGAACATAGATGCAAAAGTCCTCAAACAATCCCACCAACAGTGTAAAAGTGTTCCTATTTCTCCACATCCTCTCCAGCACCTGTTGTTTCCTGACTTTTTAATGATTGCCATTCTAACTGGTGTGAGATGATATCTCACTGTGGTTTTGATTTGCATTTCTCTGATGGCCAGTGATGGTGAGCATTTTTTCATGTGTTTTTTGGCTGCATAAATGTCTTCTTTTGAGAAGTGTCTGTTCATGGCGATTCCTCAGGGATCTAGAACTAGAAATACCATTTGACCCAGCCATCCCATTACTGGGTATATACCCAAAGGACTATAAATCATGCTGCTATAAAGACACATGCACACGTATGTTTATTGTGGCATTATTCACAATAGCAAAGACTTGGAACCAACCCAAATGTCCAACAATGATAGACTGGATTAAGAAAATGTGGCACATATACACCATGGAATACTATGCAGCCATAAAAAATGATGAGTTCATGTCCTTTGTAGGGACATGGATGAAATTGGAAATCATCATTCTCAGTAAACTATCGCAAGAACAAAAAACCAAACACCGCGTATTCTCACTCATAGGTGGGAATTGAACAATGAGAACACATGGACACAGGAAGGGGAACATCATACTCTGGGGACTGTTGTGGGGTGGGGGGAGGGGGGAGGGATAGCATTGGGAGATATACCTAATGCTAGATGATGAGTTAGTGGGTGCAGCGCACCAGCATGGCACATGTATACATATGTAACTAACCTGCACATTGTGCACATGTACCCTACAACTTAAATAATTAAAAAAAATCCTCAAATATTAACAAACTGAATCCAGCAGCATATCAAAAAGCTTATCCACACAATTAGGTAGGCTTTATCCCTGGGATGCAAGGTTGGTTCAACATACAAAACAAATAAATGTAATTCATCACATAAATGTAACTAAAAACCAAAACCACATGATCATCTCAATAGATGCAGAAAAGGCTTTTGATAAAATTCAACATCCCTTCATATTAAAAGCCCTCCGCAAACTAGGCAATGAAGGTATATTCCTCAAAATAGTAAGAGCTGTCTATGACAAACCCACAGTCAACATCATACTGAATGGACAAAAGCTGGAAGTTCCCCTGGAGAACCAGAAGCAGACAGGGATGCCCACTCTCACCACTCCTATTCAACACAGTATTGGAAATTCCTAGCCAGAGCAATTAGGCAAGAGACAGAATTAAAAGGCATACAAATAGGAAGAGTGAAAGTTGAATTATCTCTGTTTGCAGACAATATGATTCTACACCTAGAAAACCTTACAGTCTCTGCCCAAAAGCTCCTAGATCTGATAAACAACTTCAGCAAAGTTTCAGGATATAAAATGAATATACAAAACTCAGTAGCATTTCTAAACACCAATAACTTCCAAAGCAAGTGCCAAATCAAGAAGCAATCCTGTTCACCATAATCACACACAAAAATAAAATATCTAGAAGCACAGCTAAGCAGGGAGGTGAAATATCTCTATAATAAGAATTAGATAACACTGTTGAAAGAAATCAGAGATGACACAAACAAACAGAAAAACATTCCATGCTCATGGATAAGAAGAATCAATAGTGTTAAAATGTACTGTCCAAAGTAATTTACAGATTCAATGCTATTTCTTTCAAACAACCAAGGACATTCTTCACAGAATTAGAAAAAAAACTATTATAAAATTCATATGGCACAAAAAAAGAGCTTGAATAGCCAAAGCAATCCTCAGCAAAAGGAACAAAGCTGGAGGCACAACATTACCCAACTTCAAACTATACTACAAAGCTACAGTGGCCAAAACAGCATGGTACAGGTACAAAAACAAACACAGGCCAATGGAACCGAGTAGCAAGCCCAGAAATAAAGCCACACACCTGAAATCATCTAATCTTTGACAAAGGCAACATAAACCATCAGTGTGGGAAGGACCCTCCAATTCAATAAATGGAGCTGGTGATAACTGACTTGCCATATGGAGAAGATTGAAACTGGACCCCTCCTTTCACCATATACTAAAATCAACTCGAAATGCATTAAAGACTTAGATGTAAAACCTAAAACTATAAAAACTCTAGAAGGAAAACCGAGACACTCTGGACATAGGGAGTGGCAAAGACTTCGTAACAAAGACTCCAAAAGCAATTGGAACAAAACCAAACATTGACAAATAGGACCTAATTAAACTAAAGAGTTTCTGCATAGCAAAATAAACTTATCAATAGAGTAAAAAGACAACCTACAGGATGAAAGGAAATATTTGAAAACTATGTATCTAGCAAAGATCTAATACCACAATCCATAAGTAACTTCAACAGATCAATAAGCAAAAAAGAAATAATCCCATTAAAAAATGGTTAAAGGACATGAACAGACACTTCCAAAAAGAAGACATAAGAACTTATGGGAAGGGATTAAAGCACCACTCTATAGGTAATACATGGTGGTAAACACTGGCAATAAAAGGCAAGAAATACCCCAGATCAGAAACATAAGACTCCACCTTAAGAATCAGGAAAAACACAACCAAAATAAGTCCAAAAGCAAGCACTGAGAAAATAATAAGCACAAAAATCAATGAACTTCAAAAAGGCCAAAATAAAAAATAAATGAGATTTAAAATGTATCCTTTGAAAAGAACACTAAAAATTGATAATTAACTGGGAGACTGATTTATTTTTAAAAAACAGACAGAAAAGACCTAAATTAAGAGTATTACAAATGGAAAAGGGGCATCACCACAGAACCTATAGACTTTAAACACATAAGAAATATTGCAAACAACTTTTTATCAAAGGATTTCATTACTTAGGACAAAGTTCCTGAAAGACAGACACTATCAAAATTCATTCAAGAATGAATAATGTGAATAAGCCCTTATCATAGAAGCTGAATTTATAGTTAAAAAAAAACGCTTGAAATAAAATTCCAGGCTCAAATGCATTCTGCATGAATTTTATGCAAGAAATAATACAAATACTAAAGGAAATCTGTGGAACTATAAAAAGACACTTTTTTTTTTTTAATTTTGAGACAGAGTCTCGCTCTGTTGCCCAAGCTGGATTGCAGTGGCACAATCTCGGCTCACAGCAACCTCCGTCTCCTGGGTTCAAGCAATTCTCCTGCCTCTCCTGAGTAACTGCGATTACAGGTGCCTGCCACTATGCCTGGCTAATTTTTGTATTTTTAGTAGAGATGGGGTTTCACCATGTTGGCCAGGCTGGTCTCAATCTCCTGACCTCAGGTGATCTGTCTGCCTTGGCCTCCCAACGTGCTGGGATTACAAGCGTGAGCCACCGTGCCTGGCACAAAAAGACACTTTCTAATTCGTATGGACAGGCCAGGATTACACCAATGCCCTGACGCCAAAACAGGCAAAGGCACAACATGAAGAGAAACAAACCAACATCCAACGTGAATGTAGAAGCAAATGCCCACTGACAAAATACAGCAAATTGAATCTAGTAATACATAAAAAGATGATACATTGTGACCAAAGGGGATTTATCTCTAGAATGTAAGGTTATTTCAAATTACAGAATCAATGTGTAACTTACCATAAAAACAGACTAAAAATAAAACACTATTACCACAATAGATAAGAAACACATTTCACCATATTCAACATCCACTCCTGATAAAAATCTCATTAAACTAAGAGAAGGGAACTTCATCAACCAAAAAAAAGCATCTCTAAAGTACATACGGTGACATTTTACTTAATGATGAACACTGAATGTTTTTCCTTTAAGATAGGGAATAAGGCAAGGTGTCCACTCTCCCCATTTCTACTAAATAGCATATTTGTGGTTTTACCCGTTACAATAGGTCAATAGAAAAAAAAGAAAAAGAGTACCAGTTGCTAAAAGAGAAATAAAAGAAACACACACAGAGTCTGCACTCCTGTCCCTGGTCTGCCTGAACAGGGCGCATATTTTCTCATATATATTTTTGACTAGTGACAATTCTTTCTGCTTTAAGGTAAATTTATATTCTTTGTACATTTTTCTTTTGGACTTTTAAAGTTTCTCATTTCAGAAGCTTTTTAAAATTAAAAATATAGCCATTAAACTATTATTTGTTTTTTTGTTTGTTTGTTTGTTTGTTTGAGACAGAGTCTTGCTCTGTCGCCCAGGCTGGAGGGCAGTGGCGCGATCTCGGCTCACTGCAACCCCCACCTCCCAGGTTCAAGCAATTCTCCTGCCTCAGCCTCCTGAGTAGCTGAGATTACAGGCGCCCGCCACCATGCCCAGCTAATTTTTTTGTATTTTTAGTAGAGACGGGGTTTCACCATGTTGGTCAGGCTGGTCTCGAACCCCTGACCTCATAATCCACCCACCTCAGCCTCCCAAAGTGCTGGGATTATAGGCGTGAGCCACCGCGCCCGGCCAAACTATTATTTGTTTTTGAAATACTTTTCTATTTCATTGTTTTGCATTCATTTTATAACTTATTTATATTTTGTTTTGTCCTACATGATTTTGAAAAATTTCCTTATAGTCAGAAGTATTTTTCTCTTATGAATTATGCATTATAAAAGCCTTTACAAATCTCAAAAATCTTACAGATAAAGATGAAAGGAACATATTCCTTAAAGAATTCTCACCATCAGAGTTCAAATGAACACAATGAGAAATTATCCAAAACACAAGAAAATAAGCATTTTCTCTCAAGGTTAAAAAAAGACAAAAGTAACAAATTGCAGAATCAGGCAAAGATTGCAGATATTTAAATTTTTAAGTAAAAAAAAATGTAAAATAAGTACTCTTAATAGATATAAATACCCAGAAGAAGTTATTGTAAGTGCAACAACAAACATTTTAAAAATATCAAAACTAACCAGTTTTGATGACCCAGAAGTAACTGAAGACCCCACACAGAATGTGGCACAGAGAAGGGAGGTGGGACAAGGTGGGTTCTGGTCCAGGCCCCACAAGAGCAAATGCCAGGGCAGGACTCGCTGTGAAGCAGGTTCCGCGGGGGACCCTGGGCATGCATGGAGGCGAGAGAAGCAGCAAGGCCATGGTAGGGATGGGTCCGACACACAGGACCGAAGAAGCAGGGACTGAGTGGGAGCAGCTGGGAGGAGCCGGGAGCAGCCGGGAGGAGCTGGGCCCAGCCCGCCCTAAGGGTCTCTGTGGGTCCAGGGTCAGCCCAGGCCAAGGCGGCCCTTGACTCCTGCCCAGGTGCCAGCCTGGCTCACCATGGAGGGTGGAGAGCCATGTGCAGGGAGCAGGTTACCTGTCAGCCACCCCCATACAGGTCCTTCTGGAGAAGACTGTAGGGGGCCCAGCTGCATGGACAACACAGATGGAGTAAAAGACAGAAGGAAACCCCCCACCCCATCCAGTGGAATTCCAGGGGAGAGCACACACTGGGCAGCTGACACCCCCGCCAGCAGCAGCAGCCCCCGAGCCGAGGGCAGCCCAAAGGACGAGGAGGACCAGGGGCAACGGAGGAGGAGGGGGCCACAGAGGAGGAGGGGACCACAGAAGAGGACCAGGGGGTCAAGGAGGAGGACCGAGAGGCCAGGAGGAGGGGACCCTGAAGAAGACCAGAGGATCAAGGAGGAGGACCAAGTCAAGGAGGAGGAGGCAACCAACAGGAACAGGGAGACCAAGGAGGCCAAGGGATCAAGGAGGAGAAACAAGGGTCCAAGGAGGAGGACTGGGGACCAGGAGGAGGATTGGGGACCAGGAGGAGGACTGGGGACCAGGAGGAGGATTGGGGTCCAAGGAGGAGGACTGGGGACCAGGAGGAGGATTGGGGTCCAAGGAGGAGGACTGGGGACCAGGAGGAGGATTGGGGTCCAAGGAGGAGGACTGGGGACCAGGAGGAGGATTGGGGACCAGGAGGAGGACTGGGGACCAGGAGGAGGATTGGGGTCCAAGGAGGAGGACTGGGGACCAGGAGGAGGATTGGGGTCCAAGGAGGAGGACTGGGGTCCAAGGAGGAGAACTGGAGTCCAGAGGAGGACTGGGGGACTAAGGAGGATTCAGGGCCAAGGATGAAGATTGGGGGTGCAGGAAAAGGACAGGGGACCAAGGAGGAAAAGCAAAGGTGGCCAAGGAGGTGGACTGAGGGGCCAAGGAGCAGGACCAGAACCAGGGCACAGGAGCCCCAGGGCCAACAGGACAGAGGGGGCTGCCACCCATTCTCCCCGTCTTCCAAGTTCCTTGGTGGAGAAACCCCACCCAAGAGGAGCTCTTCTCAGAACCTACCCCAAGCATGGAACCGAGTGTCACACGCAGTGGACGGCAAGGCTGCTCAGATTCTTCCTGGCACAGGGCGGGACCCGCTGTGGCAGAGTGCCCAGGGCTCAGCCTCTCAGGAACAGCCTCACCCCAGAGCTCCCCGTGTCTCGAGGACCCTGCACTTCCAAGGACCCAGTGTCTCTTCCCCACAGGGGAGGCTTTCAAAGGCTTGTCCTGTCTTCAGAACTCCTTGTAGGATCAACCAAGGCCTCATCCCTCAGGGCCCCTTGTCCAGCCCTTCCTCCTCCCATCCTTCTCATGGGGTGATGCTGGGAACCTCCCTAACACATTTCCTGCAAACACATCTGCATCCTACAGTCAGCAATATGGATGAGAAGGATTTGTTTGGGACTGCTCTCCTGGAAGTAAAATGTTAAATATTGACTCTTTTCCTGCAAAAATCCTAAAGGCACCTGAAGCAAATCAGTAACCCTGGCACGAAGGGGCGGAGGCAGGCGGAGACACCATGGGACAGGAAGGGCTCCCTCATGTCCTTAGAACACAGTATACAAGTCAATGAAAGATGCTTCCAACAAACTTTCCACACAACTATAAGAAGACTCCTTCTTAATAAGGAATTTATTTTAGAAAATTGCTCTCTTTCTAAAAAGTTAGGCATGTGTGAGTTCTTTGGCTACCTTGGAGCTTCATTACAAGATCCAGAGGTAGTGCTGACGCCTGGATTTCACAAGCAACACTGGTGTTCAATATCACCAAGAAGACAGATCTGATTACAAAGCTCGCCAACAGGGAGAGCAGCACACACTGTGACTGCGTGGATCGCTGAGCCTTGAGACTAGAGACAGGAAAACGCAGGCAGCTGAAACTGTTAAAAATGAGAGACACGGTCACTTTGGAACAAAGTGAAGAAACAAAAAGAAGAAACAAAAAGAAGAAAATGAAGACAGATTTATAACAACATGCAATTGGATTATCTTAACTGTTAGCTTCATTTTCACATGACACCCTCCAAAGGATTTATACTTAGTACCGAGTGGAGATGTGTCCTGTAAACTGTTAAGATTCTAGAGTTAGTTTGAAATTGAAATATTTTAATTTAGTATTAATATCTTCAGCCAATTTTTACTGGGCACCTAGTATGGGCCAGGCACTATTCAAGCCAGT
This sequence comes from Homo sapiens, assembly GCF_000001405.40. Lineage (NCBI taxonomy): Eukaryota > Metazoa > Chordata > Mammalia > Primates > Hominidae > Homo > Homo sapiens. The sequence continues at coordinate 963,675 of NC_000002.12, read as the reverse complement.
CAAAAACTGTGGAAAAGAAAAATGAAAGGCCCAAATTTTAGTGAAGTTAAAAACTGGCATATTAAATATACTTTTATCTTTAAAGGTGTAAATATTAGGAGTTGGTCCCAAGGCACATGTTATTTCAATAAGAACATTATTAATTATTTTGGGTACACGTATACCAAACATAGGTGATAACCCTGGTCACCTCATTTACATATAAGTGTGTAAAGCGTGGAAACTGACTTGCTCGCCTTCCTAATACTTTTCCCAGAAGAACTAATGTTTAGAAAACTGTATATCATATAAATATGATAAAGTTAAATAAAGAGTTAACTTTTTTGAGCATGCTGCCTTTCTTATCTGTTTGAAGCACATTTTTTCTGTCTACTTTAATGCAATTTTGAATTTTTTGGGTCATTCCATTTCAATTTTTACGTAGCATATTTTCATTTTCAAAAGTACCTATTTTGTGATGCTTTTGGAAAAATAGGCTTTAAATTCATTATGTTAATGATGTTAATGTTAATCACTTTCAAATAATGAAGTTTTTTTTTTAAAAAAAGCTCAAATCATAGTCTGATGATTAATGAAGAATAAATTAAGAAAAACTGCAGTTAGTTTTTGAATAGTATGACACAAAGCAGGCACTCAAACCAGCTTTAGACTACAGGAGTGGTATGAGAAATCATGTTACCACGCCAAAAATCATCAGTATTCACCTTTTCTGGTTTGAAATATTTGCAGTACCTCCAAATTCCCCGCTAGTAGAGGCACCTGTGAATGTGGGGCTTAGCACGCTCATTCTCTAATTTAAGGGATGACACTTATCTTCTGTTTTAATGAACTGTTTTTTTGTTTTGTTTTCAATTTATGTGCCTCTCCTCAATCAAATTAGAAGCCAGGACAGGGCTCACCATATCTCCTTTACACAGGTATCTGTAATTTTCTTGGTTTTATGTGGCTTCATTACTTAACATCATGAGGTTGAATAAAACATATTCGATTTATTATTTTTCTATTTATTTCAAAGATGAAGTGAAAACTCAGCATAACCTACTTATTCAAAGACAGGCATAATCAAGAAATATGTTGATTCTATTTGTACCATGGATAAATTCCTTACTTCATCTAATTATTTTTCTGCATTGCAGAGGCTCATATGGTTTCAAATGCAGCTACTCCAGCAACTGGATACAGCGAAGGACACAAATGAAGAAGCTGAGAGTGATGTGGTTAAAGAAAAGGTGCAAGGCAGATCCAGATCCAGAACCGTCACCACAAAACTCATGCTTTCTTGTATGGTACGAAACTTATCTTGGGGCTGGGCATGGTGGCTCACACCTACAATCTCAGCACTTTGGGAGGCCGAGGCAGGAGGGTCGCTTAAGACCAGGAGTTCAAGATCAGCCTGGGCAACATAATGGGACCCCATCGGTATAAAAGTTAAAAAGTTAGCCGGGATAGTGGCATGTGCCTGTGGTTCCAGCTACTCGGGAGGCTGGGGCAGGGGCATTGCTTGAGCTGAGGTGTTTGGGGAGTTCAAGGCTGCAGTAAGCTATGATCATGCCACTGCACTCCAGCCAAAAAACTAAAACTAAAATAAGAAATGTATCTTAGGTTACCAGTATTTCCACATTTCACTGAAGAACCAATGAAGTCTAGATTGAATGGTACAACTCCATCTTTCTCAACTGAAATTGTGAAATGTGATTTTTCCATCTGCTCATCTGGGAAGAAGTACTGCTGTTCTAAAAAGTAAATTTTCCTCAGCAGCTTCACATGAAGTGTGCACACCAGTGTGTTTTCTATAAACCCAGCCTGGCTAAAAGCCTCAGCAGCTTCACATGAAGTGTGCATACCAGTGTGTTTTCTATAAACCCAGCCTAGCTAAAAGCACTTCCTTTCTCTGAGCAAGATCCACTGCCATGATCAGTTCAGCACGGAGACAAACAGGCTGTCACTATCTTAGACCCATTCACTGGGAATGTACCCACATTTCAGAATAGCGGAAAAACTGAACTCAAAATGACATAAGAGATCCCAGGAAACAAAACAACAGACACAACATAAGCCTACAAATTAAGAAAAAGAATAAAATGCTCCATTAAAAGATATTGCAGAAAACCCAATAATTGAGAAATTCAATGGCTAATCCTACCATTCTGAGTAAGAAAATTAAAATGTAACATTTCCTGGGCACACCGTGGTGTGTTAACTCCCAGCAGCTGTACTAATGCAGATGCTACGTTATAGAAAAGTTCACAGACATGGTTCATCTCCACGGGCACAGTGGCTCACTCCTGTAATCCTAGCACTTTGGGAGCCTGGCCAACATTGTGAAACCCCATCTCTACTAAAAATATATTAAAAAGCCAGAAATCGCTTGAATCCCAGAGGCAGAGGTTGCAGTGAGCCAAGATCGTGCCACTGCACTCCAGCCTGGGTAACAGAGCAAGACACCGTCTCAAAAATAAAAAAATAAAATAAAATCTAACAGTAGTTTCAAACCAAAAGCCTCCCAGGGGTGATAACATATAAAACAAAATAAAGTTGGTTTTATTTACCATGACAATTTCTCATTTACTAGAAACTCTGGCAATATCAGTAAGATAAAGATTTATATCAACAGAAAATGGTGATAAAATCAGAAATCATAAATTATTGTGATCAGCACTATCTACAGTAGCTGGCAGCATTCATGGGAGCTGCCCGTCCAGGCGGGGAGTGACAGGAACAGACAAACCAGGGGCTGTGCCCTGGAGTGGCAGGGAGCAGGAGGGCAGGTGAGGAGTCCCAAGACCATGAGCAGGCAGTAGGAGCACCCCCTTCAGAACCAACAGCCATGCCCGGGAACCCTCAGAGCTCACCGTGCTCCCATGAACAGGCATTAGGAGCACCCCCTTCAGAACCTACAGCCGTGCGTGGGAACCCTCAGAGCTCACCGTGCTCCCATGAGCAGGCAGTAGGAGCACCCCCTTCAGAACCTAGGAACCCTCAGAGCTCACCATGCTCCCATGAGCAGGCAGTAGGAGCACCCCCTTCAGAACCTACAGCCATGCCCGGGAACCCTCAGAGCTCACCGTGCTCCCATGAGCAGGCAGTAGGAGCACCCCCTTCAGAACCTATAGCCGTGCCCCGGAACCCTCAGAGCTCACCGTGCTCCCAGCTCCTCCACGAGGGCAGAGTCCTCTGTCTGCATCCAGCTGAACCCTGAGTTCCAGGGCTCACCTGGGAGACAACAGGAATCCAATCTCACCGATGAGAAAATAAGGCACACATGACCCTACCCTGAAAAGCATCGTGCACTGAAGCATTCCCAACAAAGGAGAGAACAAAGGAGAACAGGCAGCCCGAGCTCTCGGGAGAACTGTGGGGCCCAGAAGCCCAGCATTCCCCACTGTGGGATCCTACCAGGGAACAGGCCTGGCTATCAGCTGGGATTCCTAAGCAACACTGTCACCCTAGTCACAGACGCCTGAGCCAGTGCAGCAAGGACAGGTGCTGCTTTCCAGACAGAAGGGCAAAGGACCGTGTCATTAACAGAGCCCCCTCCTACGGGAACACCTGCCCGAAGCCTCTCCACTGATACAGAAGAACCTTAAGCAGGGGGATGATGGTAATTGATGGATATTTCTTAGCAAACTATGAAAATTATCATTTTATAATGAGAATTCTAAAAAGCAGGATAGAAAATTCTATCTTGAGGATGAGTTTAACTTACAGAATATACACCAGAAAAAGCCAGAAGGAAATCTATGAGCTGCTAGATAGGTATAGACCAGGTCACAGGAACTTTCCTTCCTTGTATTTTTCCATCTCATATTCACTTTCAGTACTGAGATACGGATACCATGCCACTATTCATACAAACATCAAAGGAATAAAGGAAATGTATTTACTCCAAAGAAGGGGATAGGAAGATTCAAATCACATCCCCAAAGGTTCCCTCCATCTGCACAGCGGCACCCGAGATGCAGCCTCCAGCCCCGGGTCACAAAGGCAAGGCCTGCACGATGCAATTCTGTGACACTGGTCTGCTCCGTTCACCTTCTCCATTCAGCCCAAGGCCAGTAAAGCAAAGGCCGCCCTGAGACTTTGCACAGCCCACTGCGGGAACACCACACCCCCAGGCAGCCCCCTGCACCAGGCGACCCTAGCACAGCTGAACCCTGGACCTCCCCCCGACTCCAGGCCTCCCTGACTCCCTTCCTCCTGCCAACATGGAAATTACAAATCTAAAAGCATTCTGATTCCACCCTGATTAAAACCAAAAGAATCTGTAGGTCACGACAAAATTTGATAAAGCTTTGGAAGAAAATAATTGCAATACATAAAGCTCATAGCATTTTCATAGATCTGTGCTGGTCCTCTCCTCAATTCAATAAGGAAGAGTTGCATAAAAGAATATTTACATCCCAGCGCTTACAAAGCACGTAATTCACATATGCAGCTGTTTCCTAGTGGGTTTGTATCTTGTTCTGATAGGAAAGCTTTCAGTTTACTTCCTTTTTTCAGCTACTAGATTTTCCTCTTTATTCGATTACTAAATTTACAATATTATTCAACATAGAAATGAATTTTTTAAATATAATTAAACCTTATATAAGTGTTATACATTACAAAATATATTACAATTTGTTCTATTTCATTTTGTTGCTACAAAGAACAAATGTATTTTATATACAGAGAAAAAGTGGTCTTATCTGTGTGTGAGTCCTTATCCTTTATTACCTTTTGTTATTAGCAGTTTCAGAGTTTGGTTCTAATTTCTTAACTCTTACCCAAGCATCATTGTTTTAGATATCGTACTATCCCAAAATTTTGACTGTCATAAGGCATGTTTGATACTATAACTCCTAACATCAAAATATTAAACTATGTAAGAAATAGTACATTTTACTGTACTACATCTAGAAAGCTAAAATAGAAAATAATTTGGAAGTCCACACAATTTTTTTCATATCTCTCTGGATTTCAAATGAACCACTTTAAAAAAAAAGACCATTTATTTAGATTATAATGTATTTTGGTTACAAATTCATGTTCTCAATACCTTTCAAATTCTTAACCCCAATTTAGATAATGGTGACTTTAGAGGTTTTCTTTTTTTTCCTTTTTAAAGCAATTACAGTGTAGGTAATTGACAAAGCTTCTGCTAGTTCAGCTTCAATAAAATGTCATATCTTTGCAGAGTCTTTTTATGAAAAATCCATCTTGAAGCACCAAATCTGGAGAATATCACATAGTACTCTGCATGATCTCAACATCATTTCACTGCTATGTGTGTGGGGAGGGGCTGCATGAGCTGTTGCCATCTACTCGACTTATGAACCTGTTCCCATTTTGTATGACAACCTCAGTTATAAGAAAACAGTTGTATATTCCTCCTGATTCTGATTTCCTAATTCCTGTTGTTATCCTTTTGTCTCACAAGCAATAACCACTTAAAGGAAACGCATTTGGGGCCATTTCTCAGCCTTTGCACGTGGGATAGAGACATCTCTCTCACAGTCAGACGCCCAGGGGCTGCAGCCACCATGCGGACCACACCTCACCTGCCGTCTCTACAGTCTTATGTGTAGGTGGGGAGCATCAGCAGTACCCCAGGGGTGTTAAAGGAACGAAGCCCTCCAAAGAGCTCTTAGTACCTAGTAGATGTTAGCAATTAGGTAAGTTCTAACCTGGGGGTTCTGGGCTCAAATTCCCTACATTTCTAAGAAGATATTCCCTAAAAGCTATATTACTTACCTAAAAAGACTGATTAGCTTCCCACGGCTGCTATGACAACACTTCCTCAAACTTAGTGGCTTAAAACAATGCACATTTATCTTCTCACAGTTCTGGAAGCCAGAAGTCCAGGATCAAATTCCTCCAGAGGCTCCAGGGAGCCTCCTTCCTGCCTCCTCTAGCTCTGGTGGCTGCAGGTGCCCCTGGCCTGTGACTGCATCTCTCCCGTCTCAGTCTCAGTCTCAGTCTCAGTACCAGTCTCGCCTTCCATGTGCCGGAAGACAAATGTTGCCCGACCTCATCTATAGAAGAGGGAACACATTGTAGCTGCCCTGTGCTGTTTCGTGTCTGCTTGTCTAGAATTTGCCTCTCAGGTAGTCAGGGCCCCACTGGCCTGGTCTGAGAGGTGTTCTACTCTATTTTTATCTTTAGCTTCCAGCTCAGTGTGTGGCAATTAATAGGTACTCAATCATTCTTCTCTAAATTCTGTGTGTCTGTGTCTGCACGTACGTAAGGTGCATCATGATAAAGCAATTCTCCAAATGGCACTTAATCATCGCCAAACCCCCAACTTTCAAAAGGAGGCCTGAGACCCAGAGCTACTTCCCACCACCGTTCCCCATCCGTTGCTCCCCCTCAAGCAGGGAGGTGGTAAAATTTCTAGTGTTTCTGAGGAGGTAATACAAAGGCTGGACTTTCTCTATCTACCTTGCTGCAGACCATGATCGTTTTAGGAATAAAACCAGACTTGGATTTCTTTCAAGACCATATGACCTATGCTAACTATGACCAAGTTGGCACACGTTTCTAAAAACACTGCATCTAACTCATCGGGTTCTGGATGTCCCCAGGTTTAGGTATAAGAAGTAATTTCATATTTCTCAGTACATAAAGAAAACTTAATCATGTAAAAAGGCAAACTGACAGAGCCATTTGGTAAAATATAATTATCTGCAGAGAAGTCATGAAGGATAATCTTGAGCAGGATACAGCTGAGAAATAGAATTATATTTACCATTAAACTTATGCTGATGTGAAAAATTAAAATCAAAACATAGCTATTCTAAAAATATGAAAGCACAATTTTACTTAAATCCAAATAAACTGGGCATAAATACAAAATAAATTATCAGTTCAAAAACCAGAAACGGAACTTTCTCTCTAGTTCATAGAAACACATACATCTAATTCAGATATATACTTATTGGCTCAACTGACACATGGGTCAGCTACCACGCAGCAGGGCAGAACCGAGTTCCCCGGGCTGTGTCCTTCTGAAAGCGGCCCCTCCACGGGCTCACAGCAGCAGGGGACCCAGGTGCCACTTCCCTCCTAGACGCCCGACCGAGATGGGCCCATTCACAGCCACGGGTGGGCCGGGGCCCTGGGGGAGCGGGTCCTCCGCAGGAAGGGGCATGGGTTGCGGGGGCAGGTGCTGCGCCTGGTGAGATGCAGCCTCCAGGAGAGGCAGCTGAGCAAAGGCCCTGGGCCAGGGCAGGCAGCGCTCCACGTGCCCAACCAAGGTGTGTGAAGGCCCGAGGGAGGAAGGATGCAGCCACGGGGTGAGTGGTTATGCTCCAGCCTGGGAAGGGCAGAACACAACCCTGCTCCGGACTGAGCTGCAGAGAGGAGTTTTGGAAAGGTCCGCGCAGAATGCCCAGCAGGGGCAGGCGCAGGGGGAGGTGCAGGGGCAGGGCAGGGGGAGGCGCAGGGGCGGGGCGGGGCAGGGGTGGGGCAGGGGCGGGGCAGGGGCAGGGGCAGTGGCAGGGCAGGGGTAGGTGCAGGGCAGGGGTAGGTGCAGGGCAGGGGCAGGGGCGGGGCGCGGTGGGTGCAGGGCATGGGCAGGGGCAGGGCAGGGGTAGGGGCAGGTGCGGAGCATTTGGCACAAGTCAGGGTCAGGGGTAGGGGCAGGGGCAGGGGCAGGGGCAGGGGCCAGCACAGTCACAAGGGCAGTGGGTGGGGCCAGGGCAGATGCAGATGCAGATGCAGGGGCAGGGGCAGGGGCAGGGAAGGCTCTGAGGCAGGGCCGGAGACAGTGGCAGATGTGGGCCCCTTGGCCTCCCTGGCACCAGCTTCTAAAAGGAGGGTAGCTGGGACCCCAGACTACGGGAGGCCTCCCTGTTCGGAGTGAGAGGACTTGCTAGAGGACTTGCTGCCAAATCCAAAATAAGTGATGATTTTGTTCAGAACAACTGGCAGCTGTATCCCACTTCAAAAATGCAGATTATTTTCTAAACACCCGCTCAACGAACAGAAACATTCTTCCATGGAATCTGAGTGCGTCCCCATGGCTGTGCCCTTACCTATAATAATTTATGAACTACACAATAAAACATCTGCAACTATAAGCATTGTTTACAGAAGTGGAATTTAATTCTTGCACAGGATTTGTCATTTAAACTATTTTGATGAAGGTAGGAGTAATTACAGTGATTTCCTGGTCAGTCCATACTTAGAGACCACTGCCACTGGCTGAGTACAAGAAGAAAGTTTGTCTTCTGGAGCTGGGGTCCAAATAAAAACAAGAGGAAAAGTAAATTTATAAAATGGAGGCCAATAAGCACGATATTTAGGACACTTGATTCTAATGTTCTATGTGATTGTTTTTATAATAACACGATTCGGTGCCATCATCAAATGATGTTCACCCAAATGTCGAGTGAATGTTGGTAACTCCCAGAGTTGATACTCAGAATCTTGACAGTGGAGGGTCACCTTTTTCATTAACACTAATGCGGATTATTGCAAAATAACAGGCCATGCACTGATCTAGGTTTCAAGTCCAGAGAAGTGAATGACATGCAGTTTCTTTACAAAGTATAACAGATAAAACAGAATTAAAACTTAGCAGTTTAGCAGTTAGCAGACTGTGAAGTTTAATAGTTTTTGCACTAAAAATATAACTTTACATTTTACAAATGTTTAGAACAGTATCCCCTAAATAAGAAGCATACTCACTTTCTTAAATCCAAAGTCTTTGCTAAATTAAAATGTAGCTAGTTTATAATCATATTTATAGGATGTAAAAATGTAGACTCCTTAAAAAGCAAACTATTTTAACATGTAATTCTAATTGCAAAATCACATCCTCATATTCACAGCATTGTTAACAGTATTTATTAAAATGTGCAAGGGGAGAAAACAGGAAGGTTCAGGCTGATGGGGTGAAGAAGCAGCACGGTCCCTGGAAGGCAGCCAGAAATGGGTGAGCTTTTGGAGGGCCTTCTTGTTCAGAGGGGCAGGGGATGAAGAGCCACAGGCTGGGGTCAGTCCTCAGGTGAGGGATTACACCCACATAGGGGAGCTTAGCATTTAATACAGAAATAGGAAGGATAACCTCGGCTTCCTGAATTTTACAGGGAACTTTAGTATGGACTGGGGGAAAGTGACATCTAGTGTTAGCTGAAAATAATCCAAAGTCGACTATTCAAAACTACAGTCATGACAACATGCGGTAACCAGCTGGACAACAATGACAAGTACACACCAGTTCAAGGTCCATTTTCCATTAAATCCTGAGTGCATTTTTCCTCCAAAAGCATGTTTTCCACCTTCCTTGTTGTGTCTCACTCAACAAAAATACCTCTAGAACTAATTAAAGAGTGAGTTTCTGAGGGATTTGGAATCAGATACAAAGTGACCTTCGGAACCCAAGCACACATTCCACAGGTGAGAAGCCAGAGCCAGAGAGGATGGTGGTTCCCGAAGCCGGGGTTCTCTGAGTTCCCTGGAACCCTGATCTCCCTCCTTCCTTCTCCATTTCCACGAGCACCTGCCTGTGTCCGCCCCATGCCCAGCAGCGCAGGAGCTAGGGGTGCGCAGCAGAGCCTGAGAGCAGCTCCTCTTTGGGGTCCCTCGTGTGCCTGCTGTCACATGCTACATGAGCTAACAGGAAAGCCAGAAAATCACACTGCTTAGTAAGTCTATCCTGAATATACCCATTTAGTAAATAGGAGGCCTGCGATGCAAACACACCCTCTGTCACCGAGAACTGCAATGCCAGCCCCTCTGCCAACTCACTCAGAGCCTCATGGGGTATCTTGAGAAGCAGATCTAAATTAAAACTGAAGCTTAAATGCCTTGTCTACAGTCATCATCCATAAAGATATCCAGAGACAAGAAGCTGTTGCTCCACATACACCATTCAGAAAACAAGGCAATTTTAACATCCCATGTTGGAAAAAAACAAAAACAAAAACAAGGCACACTTTTCTTAATTGGACCTCATTCAAATATTTACTGGGGAACATGTCTCCATGTCTCCTGGTAAAGTCAGGTAACTGCCTGCTTTGTAATGCATGGATTTTGCTTATGATGTCATAGACGTCAATAGAAATTCTACAGTTGAAATTAAAGATGAGTCAGCAAGGATGAGAAACATAACCAAAGCATAGAAGGAATGGGGAACCTTCTTAGGAGCTCAGATGCTTCATTCATCTCATGCAGCAATTCACATCTGTAAACAGATGATTAGGTGGTGCCCTTACCCCACATGCACCTTTAAAATGACCTAACGTGCTTTCCCCCTTCAGTGGGCAAGCTCATCACATAAATGGGCATGTTCCCGGCTCATGCCAATAATTCTTCCAGCGCCCCAGACTGAAGAAGTGTTGTCATTTAAAAGCAGCAAATGTGCTGTAAACATCAACCAATAGTAGTCTTTGAAGCTACAAGCAAGACACACTTCGCACATTGTACTGAGGTTGTCTGCCAGTGGGATTTTACCCCTCAAATCCAGGTATGGTCAGAGACAGAGCTCCATGAACTCACTTAACTTAGAAAAAAACATCGGGAACAGGCACTTGAAAGGGGAAACAAAACAGGTCTGTTACCGAACAGGAGACCTTCAAACGTGGCCAAATTCCATGATTCAAACAAGCAGTCATGATAAAGAATGTGTATAGTTTTGACTTCAGATAGAAAAAATATAACTAGAAATATAAGATTTAGAAAAGACTTTCATCTTTTTCTAGTTAAAAGCACCAAGTTCTCTTAACTGAAATGATTAAATAATTACACAAGTTGAATAATATTGTGCAGTTATGGTAAGAAAATAATTCTGCCATTAAGTAAGGATGACATTGTATACTAAGAACATTCATGTTTTCAAGACAAACCTGCCAACACCAATACTTAACAGATTCGTTTTAAATACATAAGAATCTGAGCTAACATGACCATGCACTGGTGTCTAAGGTAGGCTTAGCACATACCTAATTACTTATGACTGCAAAGTTAGGAGTCTTGCTCTTAAAATGCTCCATCTTATTGTAATACTTGGCCTCCAACGCTAAAAAAAAAGTTTCTTTCAATACAATTCAGACAGGCTGTTTCAAATAATCAAGGTCCTTATTAGAAAGAAAGCGCCAATCACATCTTGTAGCAAACAGGTGAGCAGAGGCCACTCTTGACTGGAAAACATCAAATTTAGCACCTTAATTAATACTGAGCGCAAAGGAGAGCATTTACTAGAATACGCGCAGTTGCTTTATTTGTTGACGTTATTGCCAATAACTCATCAAGTGGGTCAATCATGAAGTATGATGAATCCACTTCAACGCTTCCGCTATAATTACAATGATTAAAAGCAAGAATTGCTTTGCTCGAATGTCTGGAGAAAAATGCACAATCCCTAACCGTGGGAGGGCATCATTATAAAGCTGAAGGCAGTGACCAGACGGAAAGCCTGTGATTCCACAGCGCCTGCAGTTTTTACTGCGGTTTATTTCCAGGTAATCCCCGCATATTTTCTCGGGTTTGATTACCATGGGCAACAGTGGGATAGCTATTCATATTACAAAGTACTTCAAGAAACGAACACCCACATTTTACATGAAATTTAATTTTCATATTTTGTAGTAAAAGCCCAGAAAGGTGCTACTTGAATGAAGATGCACCTGTCTCTACATAGAAATCTTTTTAACATCACAGTAGCGACGACCACAGTCCTAGTTTAGAATCATTATTATGACGATAGGAATTTGTAGCAGCCCTCAACCCGTGGCCTTCTGAACCGTCTCTCCACTGTCCTATAAGGGAGGGCTAACTGTATTCCTGGTCGCTCCTGGGACTGGGAGCTCCTGGGGAAGGAATCCTAAAGGAGTGGTTGTCAATGCATTTTCATTAACAGCCGCGCTTCTCGGCAGCCTCCTAGGGCTGGGGTGGCCACGTGCTCCCTTAAACTGTTTTCACAACTCGAGGCTGTGCTGTGGGTGGCAACTTGAAGGTTTCCAAGAACTTTTCGTTTTTCTTTGGGCCAACATTTCTGTTTTCTGTCAATCAATAGTTTAGTTATTTAAAAATAAGAAGGTGAAGAGGGAGTTATTTAGGGTGGGAACCAGAATAGACTTCAAAAAAGAAATCCGTATTACCCAGTTGGCGTCCCAGCGGTTCCCCGAATGGCCTAGAGCCCCCAGCACCTGCCGAGGCCGCGCCATGCACCTGGCTGGGCTCAAACTGGCCAACTCAGACCTGGCCTGGGCGCCCGAAGGCTGCAGGGGGGACGCTCCGGTCCGAGCCACCGCCTGGGCCCGAAAGAGCCGCTCCTGGGAAGCAATGCCGGGCCAATCTCAAATCCCAAATTCTGGAAAGCACTACTTCCCACGCAGTAAAGGGAAGCCCGGGCGCCTCAAAACCAAACCTTGGAAGACGCTGGAGGAGCAAAGCCTGCAAGTTTCCAGTAAGACACTGGGCTGGAGGGAGCAGAGCGGCCAGGGGGCGGGTGCCCACTGCGTCCCGGGGCTCCGGCGCCCACCCTCCGGCCAGCCGTCCCCGGAGACAGGGAAGGGGTCGCGGGGAGCGAGGGGGCGTGGAGGGAGGAGGGGCGGGGGGAGAAGGGCGCGAAGGAGAGGGAAGGGGGGCCGGAGGTGAAGGGGCGCTGAGGGGCCGCACTCACCCGCGCAGGTACCAGCAGGCAGCCCTGGCGTCCGCGGGAGGCGGCCGGGGGCGGGGGTCCCTCGGTGCCCATCGCCGCCCCTGCGGCTGGGTCCGCGCTCCGGGCCGGCCGAGCTCAACGCCAGGACCCCGTCCGAGCCTCCCAGGGCCCCGCCAGGCGCCGCGTCCGCGCCCGCGCCCCTCTGCCGGCTCCGGCTCGGGCTCCACCGGGGCGCAGGGCTGGGGAACCGGAGCTCCGCCCGCCGACCCGGAGCACCGCCCACGCAGACCCGCCCCGGGCGAGGGAGGGGCCGGGCGCGCACCCGCGGGGAGGGCGGCGAGCGGGGATCAGCCGAAGTCGGGAGAGGGGCGCTTCCACGGGGCGGGAAACTGGCGCGCGACTCTGGGGGAAGTGCAGGATGGGGGGACAGGGGCGCTCCCGCGGGGGTGGATGGGGGACCATAGCGGGGCTGGCGGGGCAGGGGCCGGCGCACGAGGCTGGAGGAGGGGAGCGCGCGCTTCTACCCGGGCTGGGTCGCCGAGGTCCGCGGCGCATCGTGGCGGCGGTGGGCGGAGGGGGGCGGGGGGCACCTCTTCTCCCTTGTGGCGCAGGTGGGCGCGCTCTGGACCGGCTTGACGACCCCTCCCCGCCGCCCCACCTCCCTGGCCAAAGGTTCTCAGCTTCTAATCAGGGACATTTCTAGTCCACAGCCTCGAAGCCATGGGTTCTCCCCGGCCCTCTGAAGCCGCCACACCTGTGCCAGCCGGCCGCGTCCTCAGACCTTTCCCCGCGGAGTCTTCCCAGCACTTGGAGACGCAGCGCAGGGCCCCGAGGACGGCCTGGCCCGGAGAAAAGATACCGAAGCTCCAACTTTCCCCAACCCCGCTCCCCTCCTCCTTCCACCCTCCCTTCCCGCCCCCAAAGCTCGGGGGTCCTATCCCTCCTCCGGTCCGCGGAGTCTCCCGAACCCTGCGGGGACCCGGCGCTCGGCGGTGCCCTCCTGGGGCGCACGGGGCTGGGGCGGGAGCGAGGAGACCAGGTGGGGAGGGGACCCCAGATCTCAGACGCCAGGGGAGACGGCGTTTCCCGCTGTTCATTCAGGTTTGTGCCAAAAGGAGCCTCACAGATGCAGTATTGGGTTTGGTAGACTCAAATCGTCTTGTTTTAATGTAAATGAAAGTAAGTTTAGGATAAATTCCAGTGCGGCGGGGGCAGGCAAGGCTACCCACATTTTTTAAAAAGAAGCCAGCCCGTATTTTTCTCCCTTTCCAAATCCTCCGCCCCCCAGTCCTTCGACCCAGGCACGAGCGCCCATCGCGGAGGCCACGATGCCCGTTTTATTCCCTCTCCACGGCAAGGAAAAGCAGCGAAATCTGAGGTCTTCAGAGGTTAACCCTATCTAGGAGCAGAATGTGACGCATTGTAAACAAATAAATATTGAAAACTCGATGTTAAACACTTTACTTTTTCTGACTCCGACTTGCTTGACCCCTGAGCAGACCTGGGTTTCGAACACAGACGCCCTTCCCCATTTCTCTATTCTCTGTATTCCTGTTTCACCTTCACGGCAGTCTGCCAGCACTTCTTAGCACTCAGTTTAACCAGAGGACAAGCTCTTGAATAGCAAAAACCAGGTCTTTTTATACGTGGCACAGTGGCTGTTACAAAATATGCTTCTTGGGTGAATTGGTAAAAAATATTGTATTACTTTTTATTTGTAGCAAAACCTAGAATAAGAAAAAGTACAAGAGATTATTGTTTGCCTTTAAATTGCATTTTTAAAAGAGCGTGCATATAATCTCTGAGAAATTAAATGTCTACAAATAGCACAAAGATATTGTCTCATTACCTTGCAAAGGGACATTCTATTCCAGGGCCTGAAGAAGGAAAAACAGCGTGTTGCATGCATAAATGTTGACTTTGAGAGACAAGTTTTTGTTAAAATTTTATCGTTAAATGAATAGACACATATATTTTTGTTTTTCAGACCAAAGGTAATTGTTAATTCATTTGTAAAATAATGTAGTTTTGGCTAACAATCTCTGGAATCCTTTCTATAATAAAATTTTGTGATTCCAGGACGTCGTAGGCGCTCTGGGGCTGCTTTTGAAAGGCTAATTAATTCAAGTTTTAACTGCCTATCTGCTTTTATGCATCTGTGTCAGGACTGCACGTAAGGGTTATTTTGCTTATTTTAAATACTAGGGTTCTACTGCAATAACAATAACAATAAAAAGTAAAACCCTGACTATCCTGAAACTCTGCGAGGGAATGTCCCCCATGAGGTTACCAAAATTCAACTTTCTGGTTTTTGTGATGAGTATAGCTTTGATTCTGAGATGTGTCTAAAACCAGTTGCAGTTAGTGTCTCTTTATTAACTTTTAACTTTGAAATAATTCTGAATTTACAGAAACTTTCTAAATGTAGTACAAAAAACTCCAGTAACCCCTCATCCTCATGGGTATGTTCCAAGACCCCCAGTGGCTGCCTGATACCGTGGATAGTACTGAACTATGTATGTGTGTATATATATGTATCAATTGCATGCATATATATATGTATCAATTGCATGCATATATATATATATATATATATGCATATATATGTATGCATCAATTGCTGACCAAACTGATGTATGTGGCCTAGACAAACTGGAAGATGCCCTGGTCAAAAGGCAGGAGCAATGAGGTTGTATTTCAAGGTAAAAATACAACCTTGAGGCCGGGCACAGTGCTTCACAC
The DNA here is from genome assembly GCF_000001405.40 of Homo sapiens. NCBI lineage: Eukaryota > Metazoa > Chordata > Mammalia > Primates > Hominidae > Homo > Homo sapiens. The sequence continues at coordinate 948,347 of NC_000002.12, read as the reverse complement.
CTGTAATCCCAGCAATTCGGGAGGCCAAGGCAGGTAGATTGCTTTGAGCTCAGGTGTTTGAGACCAGCCTGGGCAACATGGTAAAACCGCGTCTCTACAAAAAAATACAAAAATTAGCCAGGCATGGTGGCATGCACCTGTGGTCCCAGCTACTAGGGATGCTGAGGCTGGAGAATCCCTTGAACCCTGGAGGCGGAGGTTGCATTGAGCCGAGATCATGCCACTGCGCTCCAGCTTGGGCGACAGAGTGAGACCCGGTCTTAATAATAATACAACCTTGGCCTTGTCATTTTTATAGTCAACATATTCAGAATGGCCAGGTACATTGTCTGTTACTAATGAGACTTTATATTCCAACCTTCCCCCTTCCAAGGCTTTGGGAGGAAGTACTGGTGGAGCCCTTCCATAAACATGGTGGTTACCACTCATGCTTTCTGGTTATGTTGCCTGAACACAAGCAGGTAACGTTTGTTTTTTGAGCATAAGTGTTCCTCTGTGTGTGCAGCACACCTGGCTTGGCCACACGTCCTACAGCATTGCACACGGCACAGGGTAAATCAGCCCTTCAGTGTTTTATGCCCTGGGGCCTTCTTTGCCCTTTCAAGAACGTAGGTTCTGTTGGGTATCTTCTTCCAGAGGAGCCTGGTCTCACTGCAATTGAAGACTTGCTTTGGATGGCATCCTTTCCCTTTAATCAACTTCAACTCTGCCGGAAATATGGCAGCAGCTTCTTCACTGGCAAACACAGCCTCTCCAGTTTTTTGGTTTTTGGTTTTTGGTTTCGTGACAAGCCCACTCCTAAATCAGTGTAGCTATGCCTCACTTGCCATGAATGGCTCAGTGTCACTCACTTTGGGGGACTGACTGCTGAAGTCTTCCCATGGGATTGTGCTTTCTGCGCTGACGTGCCCTCGGTGGGAACACCTTTCCGCTCATGTCTTCTACCTACAAGTTCAGCGTCTTTTCCGTCTTAAATAGGCACTTATCACTCACTGCAGCCGTAACGTTTGCAGTTTGAAATGTGATAGCAAAACTAGCATGATTTCTTTTTTATTTTTATTTTTATTTTTATTTTTATTTTTTATTTTATTTATTTATTTTGAGATAGAGTCTCACTCTTGTCGCCTAGGCTGGAGTGCAGTGGCGCGATCTCGGCTCACTGCAAGCTCTACCTCGCTGGTTGAAACAATTCTCCTGCCTCAGCCTTCTGATTAGCTGTGATTACAGGCGCCCACTACCACGCCAGGCTGATTTTTTTGTATTTTTAGTAGAGATAGGGTTTCATCATGTTGGCCAGGCTGGTCTCAAATTCCAGACCTCAGGTGATCCGCCTGCCTCAGCCTCCCAAAGTGCTGGGATTACAGGCGTGAGCCACCATGCGCAGCTGGGTTTCATTTTCGAATTAACTTAAAATACTTTCTGGACTGACAGCCTTGTGGGAACATCCTTTATATTGCTTGATTTGCTAACTGAACCTATTCCCCCTCCAGGCATAGTCTTATTTCTGCAAGGAAGACCTATTACCTTCCTGTTTCACACTTGGTTACCATTCTGTAACTAGTTTTTCTGCCCCTAGAAGTTTCATTCTTACCACACTGGAAATCTTAGCAATTTCATCATACATTTTTTTCCTTTCCTTATTAAAGTGAGTACTTTCACTTTTTCACTTAAGGAAGCACTTTATGGCTTCTCTTTGCCCTAGTCTTGTGTTTGGGGCCAATACTGAATAAATTAAGCAAGACTTGAACAGAAGCACTGTGCTACCTGGACAGTCAATTTATAACCCAGACAGCTACTAAGTGTCAGGATGTGTGGTGCACACAGTGAATTCATGGGACAGAGAAGGCGTGAGGATTCGCCATGCTTCTCAGAACAGGGCACAACTTCACTCTTATGAACTGAGAGGGCAACTTACATCCTGAGAGGCACAAAGGCGTCGGTGTGAGGATTTGCCATGCTTCTCAGGGCACAACTTCACTCTTATGAACTGTTTATTTCAGGAAATTTTTATTTAATATTTTCAGACTGCAGTTGACCACAGGCACCTGGGACCACAGAAAGTGAAACCGCACATAGCTGGGGCTGCTGTGCCCTTGATCTTTCACTCAAGTCCCAGGTAATACTCAGCTTCTCTCTATTTATATGCAGATTACTTTCCATGAAACCTGTTCAGAGTAATTTGCAGAAATAATGTGCCATTTCCATTAAGTACTTAACAAATGTTTCCTAAAAAAATCAAAAGCACTCTCACGCCTGCACAGAGTATATTCATCACTTCTATTCTGTACCGGTAGTGGAAGTCCTAGCCTAGCACTTAGGCAAAAGAAAGAAATAAAAGGCAACCACATTGGAAAGGAAGAATTCAAATTGTCCTTGCTTGCAGAGGAGTTGGTATTACATATAGAAAACCCTAAAGACTCCTTCAAAAAGTTGTTAGAACTAATTAATAAGCACATTCAGTGAGGTTGTAGAACACAAAGTCAACACACAAATATCTGTTGAGTTTCTATACATGAATAGTGGCTAATCTGAAAAAGAAATCAAGCTCATTTATAGTAGCTACAAAAAAAAAATGATACTTAGGCATCAATTTAACCAAGGAAGTGAAAGATCTCTGTGCTGAAAACTATAAAACGATGAAAGAAATCGAAGAGGACTCAAATAAATGAAAAGATATCTTGTATTTGTGGATTGGAAAAATTAATATTGTTAAAAAGTCCATATGACCCAAAGTGATCTACAGACTCAGTGCAATTCCTATCAAAATACCAATGTCATTCTTCCCAGAGATAGAAAAAAAAAATTCTAAAATTCCTGTGGAACCAAAAAAAGCCTAAGAGCCAAAGCAATCTTGAGGGAAACAAAAGCCCACGCTGAAATAAGAATTCAGCTGGACTTGTTTACCAAGACAACAGGTCACATGACTCCACTAATAAGACCAGAGACAGTAGAGAAACCAGCTAAAGCCAGCTAGAACCAAGATGGCAACAGAAATGACCTTTGGTCCTACTCAGTGCTTATTATTTCTCTAATTATAATGCATTAGCATATGAAAGCCATGCCCACCAGCACCATGGCAGTTTACAGATGCCATGGCAATGCCCGGAAGTTACCCTGTAAGGGGGAGAAACCCCAGTTCCAGGAGCTCCCCACCCCTTTCCCTGAAAACTCATGAATAACTCACCGCTTGTCTAACATATAATGAAGAAATCGCGCTAAGACAGCCAGCTAGAAGCAACCCTGGAAATACCCTCCTATAGTCTTGCCCTGCTCTGCCTGTGGAGTGGCTCCTTTTGTTCCTTTTTTTCCTTAATAAATTTGCTCTTGCTTTTCTCTGCCACTTCACTCTTGAGTTCTTTCCTGTGCTAAAGCAAGAACCCACTTGGCTTCCTAGGCTGAGCCCCAGTTTTGGAGATCACCCTGTGACAACACCACTTGACTTCAAAATATACCACAAAGCTATAGTAACTAAAACAGCATGGTATTGGTATAAAAACAAACATGCAGACCAAAGAAACAGAATAGAAAGCCCAGAAATAAATCCACACATCTACAATCAAGTAATTTTTGACAAAGACACCAAGAACACACAGTGGGGAAAGGACCACCTTTATAAATGGTGCTGAGGAAACTGGATAGCCACATGCAAAAGAATAAAACTGGACCCTTATCTGTCACCACTTAAAATCAACTCGAAATGGATTAAATACTTGAATGTGAGACGCCCAAACTATGAAACTACCAGATTAAATATTTGAATGTGAGACCCCCAAACTATGAAACTACTAGAAGAAAACATAGGGTGAACACCTCATGACCTTGGACTGAGCAAGGACTTTTTGGATTAGTCCTCAAAAGCATAATCAACAAAAACAGAAATAGACAAATGATATTCCAAAAACTATGAAGCTTTTGCACAGCAAAAGAAACAATCAACAGAGTGAAGGAAAGACTGACTGAATGGAAGAAAATATGTGCAAATTCTACATCTGGCAAAGGTCTATTATCCAGGATATATAAGGAACTCAAACAATAGCAAAAATCTAAGTATTCTGATTAAAAAACAAGACAAAAACTTTATTAGATATGTCTCAAGAGAAGACATACAATTGGCCAACGGGTATATAAAAATGTGGTCAGCATCAGTATCACTAATCATCAGGGGAATGTGAATCAAATCATGATGATATGTCACCTCACACCTGTTAGAGTGGCTCCAACACACATCTCCTTCCAAAGCCCCAGACTCAGCCAGAGCAGGGCAGAGGACAGACAGATGGCAGGGCGACCAGCTGCAGAGAAGAGCTACCCTCTCTGCTGACAGCTGCAGAGAGACAACAGGAGGAACTGCTGCAGAGAGGAGCCACCCTCTCCAGGGCCTTCTCTCTGCCGAGAGCTGAACACTCAATGAGATGACCTTCCTGCAGAGAGGAGCTGCCCCCTGCGGGTGTCCTCTGAGCTGTTCTAACACTCAGTAAAGCTCCTCTTCATTTTGCTCACCTTCCACTTGTCTGTGTGCCTCATTCTTCTGTACACAGGACAAGAACTCAGGCAAAGGCACCACCAGCCATAGAGGTTTCCAGCCAGAAAATCGATACCCCAAAGATCCCATAACAACAGCAGGAGGAGCACAGTGAGACTGTACCCAATTTTATGACTCCTAATGGTCTCACTGGTACTACAAACACTGGGACACTTGGGACAGAGAAAGGCCACATGGCCCACAGGGGAGAGAGCGCCTCAACTGTGACGTCATCTTCTCAAGTCGGGAGTGTGGGGAAATTCCTAAAATAGTGGTAGCATGGCCTTCCCACTACGGTGAGTGAAGTTTCTTCTTCTATCTTATAGATGAGGACAGTCAACATCCTGGAGAAGAATGCGTGTCCCTCTCTGGCAACAATCCCAAGTCTAGGTGACAATAGCCATGCACCTCACCCTGGTGTTAGGTTCTGTTCAAAATCAGTGTTACTTAATGGTTCCATGGAAATCTCCATCTGTCAGTCCTCCGAGCAGAAGCTCATCTCTGAAGTTCTGAGATGTATCACTGGGGCCGTGGATTCGGCCTGCGCTGCCCTTGAACAGCTTTATTGATTAGGACGCACGATGAGCACAGATTCCCAAACGCATGGATGGCTTTTCCAGTTCAGTGCTCACAATTTTCCAAATGGTTGAATTTGGAGTTGAATTTACTCAGAACTGACAACAACCTTAAGGCCTTTTGAATAACAGTTGACCTTCCCAATTTGGAAACATGTTTTATGTTTTTTTGGAAGGGATAATTGAGTGCTGATTTAGTTTATGATACTTGGCAGGAACAGAGTAAGCTGAAGTCCTGTGCTTTTCTGTTTATTATTCCTCAGATCAGCATTTCAGACGTGGGGAACAGGTTTTCATTTTCCTTGTTTGTGGGAAGACCATGTTCTGCTTCTTTTGTTCACCTGGAGCAAGTTAAAGTCTTCACTTTGCTCTTAAAACCTTTGTGTGATGTCACTGAAGTTACTTCCACGCAGTGGAAAATGTCCCTAACCCCTTGGTTATTTGCCTGTTACTCTAATACACGCTCATTGTTTGTATCATGATAATGATCTTGGCTTCATCATGTTTTGACATCAGGTGTTTCATTTTAACAGAACACTCCCAAGCCTTTGGTGTCAGTGGTTACAGCCAGTTTCTTCACACTCCTTCTCATGGTCATAAAGAAAGTGTTTCAGAGAAATTATTTCTTTTATATTTTACTGCTGTAGAACATGGAGTCAAATGTTAGAAAAACATTCCCAAAACCAAAAGGTGTTTTGCAAGTTGTAGCCAATCGATGTGAAATGTATTTAGCATTATTGAAATCTAAACAATCTTCCATTTGGAAAACCTTATGAAACAGAAGTTTTATCTCAGTACTAGGTGTGACTTTACTACAAATGGTTTGTATAGTTTTATTTGAAATCATCAACATAGAGGAATCTATATGAATTTTTCACTTCAACTTAATGCAATTACAAATAAAAAATACAAATATTAAATTTGGACTATTTGAAACTGTTGACCTTATAAACATGCACATCCAAACTATGTCCTATATGTATGACCTCATCACATATTTTCAACAGCTTTCAAGGAAGGTAGAAAAAGCAAACAGAAAGCACGTAGCATGTTGAAAACATAAGCCCTCAGGGGCAAGCAATCAGGACACTTCATCCACAAACGCGGAATGAGAAACGCGATGCTGACGACTTTCTGGAGTTCCGCCTCCCGCCCTGCCACCCTTTCCTTCCCTCATGTCTCCTATTTTGCTGGGAGCAGGTGCTTGGGAAGATGCCAGTGAGAGGGCCCATCTGGCAGCGGCAGCCGAGGGCACTGGTGGTTCTGGTGGGCAGGGGGAGGACCCACGGAGACACCCACGTGCCAGGCTCTCTGCGGGCAGGTGTTGCCTTCCATGCCGGGCATCCCAGTGCTTCCCTCCAGGGCCTTGGGTGCAGGTAGGGAGCCATTTTGGCTCAATACGTGCACAATTTCTTAAGGAACCTAAGGACTGAGTTGTCACAGACTGAGATTTCGTCTGTGCTGTAATTGTTCACTTGCACATTGATTTCCTCAGGAAACCCTGTCTTTGGGGTCCTATGACCCACGTATTCTTCTTTCTGGCCTCATTAATCAGCACGTGACGAGCACAGAAAAAAATTCACAGTGAATATTTGCTGAGTAAACACGTGGGGTTTCTTTCCATGCTTTTCAAGGCTGATTGCTAAGTATTGCTAAACTACAAGAATTGAAATAAAAGTAGGAGAACAATTTTAGAAAAATTCAGAACTTAAATGACAATATTAAAAATGCATTAATTCAAAAATTACCTGGACGTGGTTGCACGCACCTGTAGTCCCAGCTACTTGGGAGGCTGAGGCAGGAGAATCGCTTGAACTCAGGAGGTGGAGGTTGCAGTGAGCTGAGATCACACCACTGCACTTCAGCCTGGTGACAGAGTGAGACTCTGTGTCAAAAAAAAAATGCATTAATTCATCACATACTTTTGAAGTAACCACGGTGTGCTGACAGGTGTGTTAGGTGGTACGGATCCGGTGGGAAGCAGGATTGATGTGTATTCCTGTGCTTAGGGAGTCTTCCGTGTGGCTGCAGGGCTGTGTTAGTGGCATGTTTTATCTTTACCAGATGGAGGGGACATCAGCACTGTGAAATGGACAATATATTATCTGCAGCATCTCAGTGCCTTGAAGATTCCACGCCCTTGCAAATCCCCACTGATATCTTTGTAAAACATTTGGATGCTCAGTAGGTGTTTGGGATACATTTTCTCAAAAATAACACAGGAAAAGCTACTAGGGTTGCATAGAGAGGTGAACAAAGAAAACGTAGAAGATTTGTTTGGGGAAGATGCCTCCAGGACACGGCTGACCTTCCCATCTGGACAAAGCTCTTTCGGGCTCTGCATTTATTCCAACTTTCTCACCAAGTGCCAGCAATTCAGCATTCCAGGCCCTCCTCATTGCTGTCTGTACTCTCACATTTTCATTGTGCCTGATGCCAATGGATTATTCTGAAAATGTCCTGTCCCTTTCACACCCCTGGATGGGGTTGGCCTGCCTTTCTATGGGCTGAATAGGGGTCCCCCCCAAATTCATATGTTGAAGCCCCTCTGCACAGCATAATGGTATTTGGAGATGGGGTCTTTGGGTGGTGATGAGGTTAGATGAGGTCATGGAGTGGGGCCGTCGTGATGGGATCAGTGCCCTATAGGAAGAGACCCCAGGGAGCATGCTTCCTCTGACCACCATGTGTGGACACAGTGAGAAGGTGGCCAGGAAGCGGCCCTCACCAGGACCCAGCCACGCAGGCACCCTGACCTCATGCTCCAGCCTCCAGGCCCGTGGGGTCATGCATTTTTGTTTGAGCCACAAGTCCATGCTGGTTTGTTATTCCAGCCTGGGTTGATTAAGACACATTGTTATCCATAGTTGAGTAACTTCTTCACATTTTGATTTATTAAACAGACGTTACTGAGAGAGTACATTTGGATTCATTTGTAAGTTACATCAGTCTTTACACGAAGCTTGTTGCTATTGATGACAAACTCATCTTCCATTTTTTTCTTTCTAAATAATATATTGGAAGAAAAATGAGAAAATGCAGATACTCAAAAATACAGAGAAACACTGCCCACAATTCTGTCCCTCTGGAGAACTCTGACTAACACTCGTGCCTTCTGCGGAAGGAGGAAATTCCAGAGCGAAGGCTTTTCTCTTATTCACACTGAGATTTCCCATCAGCTAGTCAGAGCCCTGGTGAAGGGCCACCCAGAATTCTGGAAAAAAATCTCCCTACAACCCCAACCCCCTTAAATATATATATATATAGATATAGATATATATATAGATATATATATAGATAGATAGATAGATAGATAGAGAGAGAGAGAGAGAGGTTTTAAACACACACACACACACACATACACACACGGGGTACCATGTTCATGATATTTAATAAGCTCATTCCCGTTGGAATGTCCTTCTCCACAATTGACAGAATCAATTGCATGAAAGGGATTGATGAGGAGTAATGGGCTCACAGAATCACAGGGGCAGAGAAGTTCCAAGATAGGCTGATGCAAGCAGCAGAACCAGAAACACTGGAGAACCAGAGATGCTGGGGAACCAGAGATACAGCAGAACTGGAGACGCAGCAGAACCAGAGACGCAGCAGAACCAGAGGAACTGAAGAACCGGAGCAGCTGGAGAACCAGGAGAGCCGGCAGCCTGGCTCATTCCAAGTCTGGGAGTTTCAGAACTGGGGAAACAGACAGCGCAGCCCCCAGTCTGAGGCCAAAGCCAGGGAGCCCTAAGGAGTCCAAAAGCAGAAGAACCTGGAGTCTGATGTCTAAGGACAGGAGGAAGAAAGGGGCCTTGCCCTGGAATGGAGAGAGAGAGCAGAGAGAGAGAGCAAATTCTTTTTCTTCTCCCTGTTTTGTCCAGCTGGGTTCCCAGGTGCCACACACATGTAGGGCTGGTCTTCCTATCTCAGATCACTGAATTTCAGTCAGTCTCTCTGGAATCACCTCACAGATACACTCAAAAGCAACACATGGCCGGCCACCAGGCCTCCACAATCCAGTCAGGCTGACAGCTCCTATTAACCACCACAGCAATTGTCCCTTGGACTTAGCCCCGTCTGGGGCTTGGGACCCAAAGGGCAGATCAGGTATTTCAGACAAAATAGATGGCAACTCTGTGAGGCCCTGTTGTTCAATCCAAAGAGCATTTGGTTGATTCAGTGTACACCTGAGCATACACAGGCATGCTCACACACGCACACACGTAGGAACACGTGCCCACCCATGCATGCGTGTGCACATGGACACACTTGCTCACACATATGCGTATTGACATGCGCATACACACATAACACATCTGCACATGCACATGTGCACACGTATGCACACAGGTACCCACATGTACATGCATGTGAACACGGGCACGCATGCACATATACACACATTCACAAACAGATATATTCACTTTTTCTGTGTGACACTGTGCTAGGATTTGCAGACACAGCAATAAACATCGCGGGCAGAGCCCTGCCCTTCACTGGTGTTTTTTAACTAGAAAGGGAGAGGGAGAGAGAATGATATATAAAGACACATCACACAGCCATCCTGTATGTGGGAAAAGCCAAGGTCCTGCAGGGTGTCACAGGAAACCCCTGGCATCCAGGCTTTGGGAATGTGGGGGGAGTTTCCAGAAGGAAGTACATTTCAGTGGTTTGCAATTTCATGGGAGCTGGCTATGGAAAGGCGTGGGCGTGTGGCATGACGTGCTATGGTATCTGGGGATGGGGTTGCACCCTGTATCTACAACCAAATCCAGCCCAGCAGGACGAGAGCTCAGAGTCCGGAGGGAGGCAGGAGAGGAGCTCCAGTCTCCCACAGGCACCCTGCCCTCGGCCGCAGGCGTGGACACTGACGAGCTCCATCTCTTGGCTTCCTGGGGTCTGCGCTGCCGCAAGGCCTCATGAGGCCGCATCCTGCCCTGTGAACTGGGAGGTTGGCCTGAGCTGGAGGGGCCCTTGTTCTGTCCTCCAGATTCTGCAGCATCCCAGTTTGCACAGGGTAGCATGAGTCCTGCCCGTATGCCTTGCTTCTTCATGCTCTCTTCACACCCATTCTCTTCACTCTGGGTAAGGGAGAGAGTGGGAATCAGTTCTTAAAGAGACCTCACCCTCAAAGTCCATTCTGATAAGTAGGAGGCTGTGAAACAAACAATGTTTTCTAGGAATAAAAGGACATCTTTTCTCTAGTGAACCTGTGTTCCTTTTCATAGGCAACAGTACAGGTTTCTCTCTGAAGCCCGAGGGGTGTTTACATATAGGGTCTCTGTCACATATAATTCTCTTTAATTTTAAATGACATTTTCACCACCCTTTAAAAATGTAAAATTCTGTGGCTCAGAGACTCCCAGGCAACCCCTAATGACTCCGACCTCCCGGAGCTCATGCCCCTGAGGAATCCTCTCCCTGATCGGGTGGCTCCCGTGACTCTCTCCTGACTCAGAGAAGACGCCAGGGTGACGACAGCAGGGACGCAGGTCTCCCTGGAGCCCACTCCGTCCTGCTGGCTGTGAAGATGCCGCGGCTGTGATATGTATCCGCTGTGGGGCTGTGGGCAGGACTGACTGCTCAGGGCCAGCTGGGGACAGCAAGCGGCCAGCACTGAGGCTGAGCTGTGCAGCAGGGAGGGAGTGGACTCTGCCAGCAGCCGGGTCTCAGGGAGGCCGGTCCTTCCCTGTGGAGCCTGCTGATGGGAAGTCAGCCCCGTGGACCCCTCAAGGGCCTCTACGATCCTGAGCAGAGGACCTAGCTGAGCCAGGCCTGGACTCCTGACCCCCAGAAACTGTGAGATAATAAACGGGTGCTGTTCTAAGCCTCAGTGTGGTGTAGCAATGGATTATGCATTGATACGGCTTGGCTATGTCCCCACCCAAATCTCATCTTGAATTGTAGCTTCCGTAATTCCCACGTGTTTTGGGAGGGACACTGGTAGATAGTTGAATCATGGGGTGGTTTCCTCCATACTGTTCTGTTCTCATGATAGTGAATAAATCTCACGGGATCTGATGGTTTTATGAGGGGTTTCCACCTCTTGCGATAGTGAATAAATCTCATGAGATCTGATGGTTTTAGGAGTGGTTTCCGCCTCTCGTGATACTGAATAAATCTCATGAGATCTGATGGTTTTATGAGGGGTTTCCACTTCTCATGATAGTGAATAAATCTCACGAGATCTGATGGTTTTATGAGGGTTTCCACCTCTCGTGAAAGTGAATAAGTCTCACGAGATCTGATGGTTTTATAAGAGGTTTCTGCCTCTCGTGATAGTGAATAAATCTCATGAGATCTGATGGGTTTATGAGGGGTTTCCGCCTCTCGTGATAGTGAATAAATCTCACGAGATCTGATGGTTTTATGAGGGTTTCCACCTCTCGTGAAAGTGAATAAGTCTCACGAGATCTGATGGTTTTATAAGAGGTTTCTGCCTCTCGTGATAGTGAATAAATCTCACACGATCTGATGGTTTAATGAGGGGTTTCTGCCTCTTGTGATAGTGAATAAATCTCACGAGATCTGTTGGTTTTATGAGGGGTTTCCGCCTCTCGTGATAGTGAATAAATCTCACGAGATCTGATGGTTTTATGAGGGTTTCCGCCTCTCGTGATAGTGAATAAATCTCATGAGATCTGATGGTTTTATAAGAGGTTTCTGCCTCTCGTGATAGTGAATAAATCTCACAAGATCTGATGGTTTTATAAGGGGTTTCTGCCATACTGTTCTCATGATAGTGAATAAATCTCACGAGATCTGATGGTTTTATGACGGGTTTCTGCCTCTCGTGATAGTGAATAAGTCTCACAAGATCTGATGGTTTTATAAGAGGTTTCTGCCTCTCATGATAGTGAATAAATCTCACGAGATCTGATGGTTTTATGAGGGGTTTCCACCTCTCATGATAGTGAATAAATCTCATGAGATCTGATGGTTTTATGACAGGTTTCCGCCTCTTGTGATAGTGAATAAGTCTCACGAGATCTGATGGTTTTATAAGAGGTTCCCGCCTCTCATGATAGTGAATAAATCTCACGAGATCTGATGGTTTTATGAGGGGTTTCCACCTCTTGTGACAGTGAATAAATCTCACGAGATCTGATGGTTTTATGAGGGGTTTCCACCTCTCGTGATAGTGAATAAATCTCATGAGATCTGATGGTTTTATAAGAGGTTTCTGCCTCTTGTGATAGTGAATAAATCTCACGAGATCTGATGGTTTTATGAGGGGTTTCCACCTCTCGTGATAGTGAATAAATCTCATGAGATCTGATGGTTTTATAAGAGGTTTCTGCCTCTCATGATAGTGAATAAATCTCACAAGATCTGATGGTTTTATAAGAGGTTTCTGCCTCTCATGATAGTGAATAAATCTCACGAGATCTGATGGTTTTATGAGGGGTTTCCACCTCTCATGATAGTGAATAAATCTCATGAGATCTGATGGTTTTATGACAGGTTTCCGCCTCTCGTGATAGTGAATAAGTCTCACGAGATCTGATGGTTTTATAAGAGGTTCCCGCCTCTCGTGATAGTGAATAAATCTCACGAGATCTGATGGTTTTATGAGGGGTTTCCGCCTCTCGTGATAGTGAATAAATCTCACGAGATCTGATGGTTTTATGAGGGGTTTCCACCTCTTGTGACAGTGAATAAATCTCACGAGATCTGATGGTTTTATGAGGGGTTTCCACCTCTCGTGATAGTGAATAAATCTCACGAGATCTGATGGTTTTATGAGGGGTTTCCACCTTTCGTGATAGTGAATAAATCTCATGAGATCTGATGGTTTTATAAGAGGTTTCCGCCTCTCGTGATAGTGAATAAGTCTCACGAGATCTGATGGTTTTATAAGAGGTTCCCGCCTCTTATGATAGTGAATAAATCTCACGAGATCTGATGGTTTTATGAGGGGTTTCTGCCTCTCGTGATAGTGAATAAGTCTCATGAGATCTGATGGTTTTACAAGAGGTTTCCACCTTCACTTGGCTTTCATTCTCTCTTGCTGCCACATGGAAGACAGTGTGTCTTTCACCTTCCGCTGTAATTGTGAGGTCTCTCAAGCCACGTGGATCTGTAAGTCCATTAAACCTCTTTTATATTTATAAATTTCCCAGTCTTGGGTATGGCTTTATTAGCAGCATGAAAAGAGACAAATATATGCATCAAGGATCACTGATATCAAACGTTCTTAATTGAGAATCACACAGGAAAGCCCACGGGCCCGATTTAGCCTCTGGTTGTATTTATAGATCCCAACGTAGGACAAAGTGGGTGTTGAGTAAATATTTGATAATAAATATTCTAAATATAATGAAATATTCCTACCATATAATCCCAGCACTTTGGGAGGCCGACAAGGGTGGATCACCTGAGGTCAGGATTTCAAGACCATCCTCGCCAACATAGTGAAACCCTGTCTCTACTAAAAATACAAAAATTAGCTGGGTGTGGTGGCGGGTGCCTGTAATCCCAGCTACTTGGGAGGCTGAGGCAGGAGGATTGCTGGAACCTAGGAGGCAGAGGTTGCAGTGAGCTGAGATAGTGCCACCGCACTCCAGCCCAGGCAACAACAGCAAGACTCTGTTTCACAAAAAAAAAAAAAAAAAAAAAAAATGGAGCTAACCTGTTAATGTTCTGGTGTCAAATCAATTGAACCATATGCTTGTCTTATTTATGAAGAAGAAATTTTTTCTTCAGCTCTGGTCTCCCTCCCTAAATCTGGTAAAAGATAAGGCCAGTCCTTAAAAACAGCATGCATGGTTTAATGAATCTAAAAAGTAAAACCTTTCTGAGACTCTTTCAATCTTGAGCATGGTGTGTTTGGCAACAAATCTAATTTACAAACTAAAATATTGGCTGCACTTCACCCCCATGGACTCCTCTCCTTCCTGCCACACAGACTATGAAACTGTGGATTAGAGCAAGCAGAGAGATGGAATTTTAGGACCTTGCAGACAGTCTTATTTGCTAAGATAAAAGTGTTAGTTTAATAAAAGACAAATGGAATTTAAGGACATTTGTTACAGTGAGATTGTGTCGGGGTTACGTGCAGGGGCCACCCCCCCTCTATTTGACGTGGGTGTGTTGACGTGTATAGAAGCTAAAGCATTTATCTCAGGAAGTGCTGGGAATATGGAGCGCTCTGGGGACACTAGAGGAAAGGTCCACAGCCAATTTGCAGGATCAGAACAAGGACCAGCCTGGGAAGCATCTGTAATCGCCAGGGGTTCTAAGTGTGGCTGGTGGCCCAGGCAACAGGGCCCCTCAGCCGACAGCTTCAGGGAGCAGCGAAGCTGCCTGTTCAAGCTGTGAATGGCCAAGAAACAGGCCCTGCCAGGGTTGGGGACGCCCCTCTCCACTCTGCAAAGTCCTGGAGGTGCATAGCGGATGGGGAGCCTTTAACGAGAGGTGAGACGGTGCCCGTGGGCTGTAACTCCCTGAGCCAGTAGGTATTAGCGCGAATTTTAACGTGATTCTAACTGAACTTTCTCATTCCTGCGTTCTTGGGAGTATATGCTGAATACACAGAGATACACAGAGTATACCCTGTTTTTTGTTTTTTCTTTGAGATGGAGTCTCGCTCTGTCCCCAGGCTGGAGTGCCATGGTGTGATCTTGGCTCACTGCAACCTCCGCCTGCCAGGTTCAAGTGATTCTCCTGCCTCAGCCTCTGGAGTAGCTGGGATTACAGGCATGTGCCACCACGCCCAGCTAATTTTTTGTATTTTTAGTAGAGATGGGGTTTCACCATGTTGCCAGGCTGGTCTCAGACTGCTGATCTCAAGTGATCCACCTGCCTTGGCCTCCCAAACTGCTGGGATTACAGGCGTGAGCCCCTGCGCCCGGCCCACTTTCTTTATTTTTTAATGAAAGAACTCACTTGAAACACCACTTTGCTGAGCAGACCTTGTCTTCTTTATCTTTGATCTGTGCTAGCTGCTTTTCGTGTTTCTGACCGTAGAGTCTGTCCGGGCAGCGCACAGGGAATTTATTTATCATCAGTTAGTGCCGTGTGGCACATGGCAGGGATATGGAACGCACAAATCAGAAGGAAACTCGTTCCCTGGGTCAGCACTTTCTCTAGGGGAGGGTGATTTGAAGAAACCGTGCTTTTACAATGTGGAAAATTCTAGAAATAATCGCGCTTGGGCCCTTCCCAAGTCCCAGAGCCCCGCAGCGCTGCCTGGGAATTGTTTGCGGAGGCCCACGCAGGTCTGCACTGAAGGCACTTTTCCCTGGCTGAGGCTGTAAATGCGGCTGCTTTCAGCCAGCTCCTGAGCCGGCGGCTTCATTAAGACGCTTTAGCTTTATCCTCTCAAATGGCCTAAAGAACGTTAATGAAGACAAGGCATTGCTAAGTGTGAAATTAAGTCCTTGTAAAAATTTGTTCAGAGAAGTAGTTTTCCTTACTTCAGAGAAAGAAGGGAAATATCTCTTTGAGTGTTGCCGGCAGCATTCGAATAGATAATGTGACCAGATTTGCACAACAAAAGTCACGTTTACAAGTCTTCCTGTTTTCCAGTAATTTCTAAGAGCCATGATTTGGTGATGGTATTCTGAAGAGATAATTGTCTGCAGTCTGGAGGCCATGTGGAGTCGCCGGCAGTGTGATCGATGTGGTCAGGGAGGGCTTTCTTCAGAAGGAGGGGGCACTCTTCCCTCACTGCCAGCATCCGTGCCCAGGCCTCTGCCTCCGCAATGCCCCCCAGGGCGGCCTTCAGCATCCGTGCCCAGGCCTCTGCCTCCGCAATGCCCCCCAGGGGCGGCCTTCAGCATCCGTGCCCAGGCCTCTGCCTCCACAATGCCCCCCAGGGGCGGCCTTCAGCATCCGTGCCCAGGCCTCTGCCTCCACAATGGCCCCCAGGGCGGCCTTCAGCATCCGTGCCCAGGCCTCTGCCTCCGCAATGCCCCCCGGGGCGGCCTTCAGCATCCGTGCCCAGGCCTCTGCCTCCACAATGCCCCCCGGGGCGGCCTTCAGCATCCGTGCCCAGGCCTCTGCCTCCACAATGCCCCCCGGGGCGGCCTTCAGCATCCGTGCCCAGGCCTCTGCCTCCACAATGCCCCCCGGGGCGGCCTTCAGCATCCGTGCCCAGGCCTCTGCCTCCACAATGCCCCCCGGGGCGGCCTTCAGCATCCGTGCCCAGGCCTCTGCCTCCACAATGGCCCCCAGGGCGGCCTTCAGCATCCGTGCCCAGGCCTCTGCCTCCGCAATGGCCCCCAGGGCGGCCTTCAGCATCCGTGCCCAGGCCTCTGCCTCCACAATGCCCCCCGGGGCGGCCTTCAGCATCCGTGCCCAGGCCTCTGCCTCCACAATGCCCCCCGGGGCGGCCTTCAGCATCCGTGCCCAGGCCTCTGCCTCCACAATGCCCCCCGGGGCGGCCTTCAGCATCCGTGCCCAGGCCTCTGCCTCCGCAATGCCCCCCGGGGCGGCCTTCAGCATCCGTGCCCAGGCCTCTGCCTCCGCAATGCCCCCCGGGGCAGCCTTCAGCATCCGTGCCCAGGCCTCTCCCTCCGCAATGGCCCCCAGGGGCGGCCTTCAGACGCTTCTTAGTAGAGTGCTCAGAACCATCCCCTGACTCCAAATATCATCCTAACTGATACTTAAACTCGCATAGGACTTGAGAATTCCAAAACTATTATAGGTTATCCAGCTTTAAGCTTCACTTTGCTTGATCTTTGTGACTCTACAAAGCAGAAAGGAAAAATTATCACTTTTAAAAAGATAGGAAAGCTGAGATTCAGACATCCTAGGTAATTTGCCCCAATTGACTCAACTTCTTAATGATTGGACTGAGACAAAAACCTATGTCCCTGTTAGTATACGGTGGTCTTTCTCCTAAACCCAAACAGGTCTGGCACATTGTTTGAGAGTAGAGATAGCAGTCCACTTCCAAATGCTTGACTTTTCTCCTGGTGAGCTTTCAAGGATAATTTCCAACTTGAAGAAAGAAAGCTGAACAGTCTATATTTGATGCTTTTGAATTTCCATTTTTGTATTTAACTTTTCTCAACCTCTCTTAGTCAAGATGATACATGAGTTGAGTCCATTGAACTTTGGACTGTACAATTCTTGGCACAGGATCAGATTAAAATGCTTATTGCTCTGTGGATGGGTGGATGAAGGAAATAAATGATCCTTGTTTTCACTTCTTTGTGTGCCTGTCTGGCTTTAATGAGGACGAAGAAATCATAAAATGAATATTCAGTCCGCAGCTATGAATTTTTTTATCAGTTTGATACGGCGTATGGTAGAGGAAGGAATTGCTTGCTTGATTCTCAGAAATAGCAGTGTTTAGTTGATGTCTCAAAGGTGGAGACTTTTATTGTCATGATATAAAATGGCATTTGACCAAAGAACCTGGGATGGCCTGTCCCCACCCCATGAAAATGCTGCCTCTTTTCTAAGCGAAATGAATAGATAATGCACGACGGAGGAGAAACCAGAGTTCCTCTTGGGACAGCTGAATCCATGCACAGGGCCCGATGTGGCTGGAGCTGAGGTGGTGCAGGGCCTGTGGCTTGTGGTCCTGGCCTGCCTGTGGCCCTCCATGGATAGCTGCAAGTCAGTGGCTGCACATGCCTGAAATTCAACTTACATGAACTTTACCCTGTTTTCAAATTCCAATGCAGGCATGAAGATCTAGAATAAAGTATTCTCCTTAGATAAATTAGGGTCCTAAATATTCAGTGCCCACATCTTTCGTCCTTACTTCTCTCACACTGCTGGGCTGGAGGATGCTGACCTCGGGTGGTGTCTGGTTCCTATCTGGCTCCCGCCCGCCAGGCTAAGGTGGCACCCTGTTTAGTGCTCTCTCCAAGGAGAAGGATGGATGCACCATTCTCCCGTTCACTCTCGGGGTCCTGCGTGGGGATAAGTCTTACAGGGGAATTGTCGTTCAGCCGTGTGCACTTCCCGACGCTCAGAGGTGGGGGTGGTGTAGGATTGCACAGGCAGCGGGACACACAGCGAGCTCATCAGGGTGTGCGTGGGGCAGCCACGGTGCACGGCCAGGCCATGTGGGCCGTCTGCCACCAGCTTGGGACTCAGGACAGACCAACACTCTGGAACTCAAGGCTTCGGCGTCCAGACGCTCGGCTTCGATGAGGCCGAAGTTCCTCGTTTCTTGTCTGTGTGGGCGTCTACCTTTGCCTTTTCACTAAGAAGACATAAATGTCAATCAGCCACAGACTTCAAATTGTTCTCATGCTCAGGTCAAAGAGCAAACTCCACAGCACCAGCTGTTTCATCATCTGAAAAGGAACATTTTTACAAAAGGAATCTCAGGATCCTGGAGAATTCACCTCCTGTCTTGAATGGAAATAAAATGATGACTTCCAAAGAATTCCACATGATTTTTCAGGACTGATTTGTAAGCCAGGTGAGGACAGGAAAGAACATCATAGCTCTAGGCTTATATGGCAGGACTGAGAAACAAGGAGACTCTTCTACTTACCCCAGCACACGGTTCAAGCACGGTGCTTTCATGTGAGTGCAGCTGTTTCAACTGAAAACCACCTTGTTTTTGTCAATAATTTGTGTAAAATTTGGGCAAATCAGGTAGAAAATAATAGGAGAGAGCAGATAACATCATAGCCTCAGCCTAGATGGTTCTCAGCGGCCCTTGCCAGAGCTGGGGAACAGGCAGCTGGCTTGCCAAGCCCATCAGGCATATCCCAGAGCCGGGGAGCAGGCAGCCGGCTTCCTGGTGCCCATTGGGCATATCATAGAGCCGGGGAGCAGGCAGCCGACTTCCTGGTGCCCTTCAGGCATATCCCAGAGTCGGGGAGCAGGCAGCCGGCTTCCTGGTGCCCTTCAGGCATATCCTAGAGCCGGGGAGCAGGCAGCCAGCTTCCTGGTGCCCATCGGGCATATCGTAGAGCCAGGGAGCAGGCAGCTGGCTTCCTGGTGCCCTTCAGGCATATCCCAGAGCCAGGGAGCAGGCAGCCAGCTTCCTGGTGCCCATCGGGCATATCATAGAGCCAGGGAGCAGGCAGCCGGCTTCCCAGAGCTCATCAGGCATATCCGTGGTGGGGCTTCCATCTCTTTGCTGGGGCTTGCTTTTCCCAGGACAGAGAGAATGTGCTCATCCTGTCCCTGAACGCTGCCACCATCGTCTCTGGGCAGCCGGCTGCTCTGGAGGCAGAGACTTTACTACCTTCTGTGGAGAGAGAGCCATGTGGCAAGTTCTCAGCAAGAAACCCATAGAACCTTTATTTTCCTGCAGCTGTGCTCTCTTGCTTCTGTTCTATGAGAAGGTGGAAAGAGAAAGTCTGCTGTGGACTGCAGACCCCGGGCCTCCTCCTTCACTTGTGGATCCCGAGACCTGACCCAGGAAGTCTGCTGTGGACTGTAGACCCCAGGCCTCCTCCTTCACTTGTAGATCCTGAGACCTGACCCAGGAAGTCTGCTGTGGACTGTAGACCACAGGCCTCCTCCTTCATCTGTGGATCCTGAGACCTGACCCAGGAAGTCTGCTGTGGACTGTAGACCACAGGCCTCCTCCTTCATCTGTGGATCCCGAGAGCTGACCCAGGAAGTCTGCTGCGGACTGTAGACCCCAGGCCTCCTCCTTCACTTGTGGATCCTGAGACCTGACCCAGGAAGTCTGCTGTGGACTGTAGACCACAGTCCTCCTCCTTCACTTGTGGATCCTGAGACCTGACCCAGGAAGTCTGCTGTGGACTGTAGACCACAGGCCTCCTCCTTCATCTGTGGATCCCGAGAGCTGACCCAGGAAGTCTGCTGTGGACTGTAGACCCCAGGCCTCCTCCTTCACTTGTGGATCCCGAGACCTGACCCAGGAAGTCTGCTGTGGACTGCAGACCCCGGGCCTCCTCCTTCACTTGTGGATCCCGAGACCTGACCCAGGAAGTCTGCTGTGGACTGTAGACCACGGGCCTCCTCCTTCATCTGTGGATCCCGAGAGCTGACCCAGGAAGTCTGCTGTGGACTGTAGACCCCAGGCCTCCTCCTTCACTTGTGGATCCCGAGACCTGACCCAGGAAGTCTGCTGTGGACTGCAGACCCCGGGCCTCCTCCTTCACTTGTGGATCCCGAGACCTGACCCAGGAAGTCTGCTGTGGACTGTAGACCACGGGCCTCCTCCTTCATCTGTGGATCCCGAGAGCTGACCCAGGAAGTCTGCTGTGGACTGTAGACCCCAGGCCTCCTCCTTCACTTGTGGATCCCGAGACCTGACCCACTTGACATCAACAGGGGGAAATCCTGCACCAAGGTCACCACTTGTTGTGATGACATGGGCTTCCCCTGCGTCATCTTTTCCTTATTTTTAGAATTATCCTGTTTTCCTGCTCTCATAGATACTGATATTTGCTCTATCAGCCTAACTGCTTCCATTTTGTTTCTTGTTATGTTCAGGCCTGTGGATCTGTTTTCCTCATGTATTTTCATAGATAGGTTTCTCTAGAACACTGCATTTCAAACCTTACCACACATTGGAATCATGGGGGTGCTTGTTGCCCACAGACCCCGGGGTCCTGCCTGCATTGGAATCACGGGGGTGCTTGTTGCCCGCGGATCCCGGGGTCCTGCCTGCATTGGAATCACGGGGGTGCTTGTTGCCCGTGGATCCCGGGGTCCTGCCTGCATTGGAATCATGAGCGTGCTTGTTGCCCGCGGATCCCGGGGTCCTGCCTGCATTGGAATCATGGGGGTGCTTGTTGCCTACAGATGCCGGGATCCTGCCTGCAGATTGGAATCACGGGGGTGCTTGTTGCCCGCAGATCTCGGGGTCCTGCCTGCATTGGAATCACGGGGGTGCTTGTTGCCCGCAGAGCTCGGGGTCCTGCCTGCATTGGAATCACGGGGGTGCTTGTTGCCCACAGATCCCAGGGTCCTGCCTGCAGATTGGAATCACGGGGGTGCTTGTTGCCCACAGATCCTGGGGTCCTGCCTGCAGATTGGAATCACGGGGGTGCTTGTTGCCTACAGATCCTGGGGTCCTGCCTGCAGATTGGAATCATGGGGGTGCTTGTTGCCTACAGATCCCGGGGTCCTGCCTGCATTGGAATCACAGGGGTGCTTGTTGCTCACAGATCGCGGGGTCCTGTCTGCAGAGTTTTGGATCCCGTGGGTCAGGGTGGGATTTTCAAAGAAGGCCTCAAGGCCTCGGCTGCCTCTACTGCTGCTGCTCCTCCAGCGACTTCACTTTACAAAGCTCTGCTTCAGAAGGAAAGAACCAGGGGCCCCCATGGGAGACAGCCCATCCTTGTGAGGGTGTGGGGAATACGTTCACAGCGCCATAGAATTTCTCACGGGCTCCTCTACATGTCTTACTGCTCAACCTTACACTAAGATAAGTAATTTACTTCAAAGAAGTTCTTACAATGAACATTTCCAGACTTTTGCAATTCGTACTTTCAGAAAATTTGACTTTATAAGTCATCTAAATCTTTCTTGCCCTTACGTTCTGAAATCTAAATTATTAGCAAAATTGGCTTTGAATGTGGATGTAAAACTTTTATAGGTCAACAACCTATGTGAGATTAGGTAGGCTGAACAATAATTAATCTCCAAACTAAGTAGGATCTGAGCAGTGCAGCCCTAGGTCCAAGTGCGGGGCTATCAGACACACCAGCCCTCAGAACCGACCTTGATCAGACCCGCCCCTCTCCGGCCCGCCTTCTGAGGTCCCTCCTTTTGACGTTGTCTCTGCAACACGACCATGCTCCTGTGAGGCTGTCGTGACTCTCCTTCCCAGTTCTGCGGCCCTGTACCCGGGCACTCTCAGGATGATGCGTCTAGATGCTCTTTTTTTAGACTGACCTTGTAGCTTGGCATTGACTTATGCTGGATATTTTTGGCATTCTTTTCTGTCCTGCTGTGCTACTGAGACGGGGACTAGACAGATACCACTGCAGAGAAGGTGGTAGAAATAAGGTCTTCTGAGTAGCAGTGAGGAGGTATCTGCAGCAATTGATCACTTCATAAAATGATGCCAGGAAGGGATGGAGAGCTTGGGAAAATGTGTTATTGTTTTCATTAAATTGATTAGAGGTGACCTGCATGCAGAGGCATTGGGAGGCTGGGATGTTCTGGGTAGAGGCTGTGAAAGCTAACCTAAATATTCCAGACATAGGCCAGGTTCAGTGACAAGAGATTTGGGGAGGAGCCTGAGAATGAATAACTGCAGCTTTGGCTGAAGGAAGAGAGCCCCTTGTCCGAGTCCTGATGTCCTGGGAGATGCCACACCCTTAGAGGAAGAGCGGGGCGTCCTCAGTCCTGTTCATGCTCCCGAACTCCAGGCTGCAGTCCAGCCCCCACTTCACCAAAACTGCCCTTCTGTCCTTTTCACACTAAACCGGATCCCAGGACACCAACCCCAGCAGGTGCTCTCGGATTCATCTGTCTCTTCCCAAGGCCATCCAATACCTTTGGCCTGGCTGTCCTTTTTGAAACACATTTTCCCTGATTTCCGAGAGAACAGCAGGTTGTCCTCCTGGCTTCTGAGCACCCCCGGTGTTCCTCCCCAGATGGAAGATTTCTACCCAGCCCCAAACAGGAGAAACCCAGAGAGTCCAGCCCCTTTCCTTCCCAGGCTTCTCATGACATCTTCCATCCCCCAGGCGTCACCTGCCATGGATTCCCTGCAAGGTCAGGTTCACACCTGGTGCTTACATTTCTCTTCTGAGCCCCAGGCCTCCTGCCTGACCCCAGCCCTTGGCTGTCCCAAAGATTAGTGTGCTCCAATCTGGACTCTACGCTTACCTGCCCACACCCCTCTCTTCCCAGCTCAGCCAGAGGCAGCACCTTTCAAGGTGCCTTGCAGCCCAGACAGAGGCCTCATCACACAGGAACGTGAAATGCAGAAATGTTAAAACTTCACGTTATTCCTGTAATGAGTGCCTGATGCCTAATGCCTGATGCCTGATGCCTGGTGCCTGGTGCCTGAGGCCTGATGCCTGGTGCCTGATGCCTTGTGCTTTGTGAAGTGCTTTATGCAGTGTTTTCACCCATTCCTCTCTTTAATTGTTTTGCCAAAAGTTCCACTGACCAGTGCTCACTATCACTGCCTTGTGGACTCTTCTCTCTTATTTTCTGCTGTTATGGGCTAAGATGGGGTGAGCTCTCTGATCCTTTTCAAGCCACAGCATTGTTTATTCCTATTAATCCCAATCACATGGAAAAAAATAAATCCGACAAATACCTTTCAGTGAAAAGACAATTTAACCAATTTTCCTCATTCTGTTATTGTGGGTTTTTTTTTTAATGTAAATGTGGGAGTTTGAATTTGCCCTTCTGTTATTGTGCTTTTTTTATGTAAACGTGGGATTTTGCATTTGCCCTTGTTATTTCATTACCTTTCCTCTGCCTCGTGGCTCCTATCTGCCACCTGCTCATGACGGATGACTGCCATTTAATGTATTAACTAGGATTCTTGGCTTCGTGTGTACTGAAAACTGATAAATGTGCTGTCCATGTCTTAAAATGAAATTATTCACAGAAGTGAGGGAAAAAGCTTTGCAGAACTCTCCAAAGGAACTTCAGAAATTATTTTAATTCCAAACAAGATTCTCTGGGGCAGTTGCTGAAACAAATATAAATCAACCAAATTGTATTATTGCTAAGCCAAAATGAAAAAAAGAAAAAGATAGATGTTAGTACGGGGATATGTTAGTACGGGGACATGTGAAAAAGAGTAAATCAGTTCTTAGAGTTCTGTGACTTGAAACCATTTATGGATGTGAGATTATGTAGGTAAATATGTAACTAAGCAAATAGAGCGGAAAGATGTCAAAACTCTAAACACAAATTTCATCCTTACTGGTTCTGTAGCTACTTAATGCGATATTAGAATGTCACATGGAAGGACAGGAGCTGAGGTCACCTGGTTTTCTGGTATCTGGGAAGAAAACACTGAATACTGACCACTGGGCAGACTGGGACTGGAGAAGAAGCCGTGGGGAGAGTGGGGTTTCCAGCAGGAAAACCTCACACAGAGGCGAACTTGAATAGCTGATATGCAGACAATTGGTAGGGCAGAATATTTTTAGAGATCATGGAGTTGAACCCTTCGTTTCACAAACACAGAAACTGAATTGTGAAGATTTTGCTCCTTTTCCAGAGGCTAGTAATGTGTGGAAGAACAGACCTCAGTCTCAGACCCTAGGCTCTCCTCAGGGCCTCTCTGAGCTCTGTTGCGTTTCTATTCCACAAGTGTTCACTGACCAGTGAGTAAGAGAAAGCAACTGTGCAGTACGCTGTGTGCTGCCTGTTAGATGAGGCTGACTATGGGCCAGGCACAGTGGCTTATGCCTGTAATCCTGGCACTCTGGGAAGCTTAGGTAGGAGGGTCGCTTGAAACTAGGAGTTTGAGACCAGCCTGGGCAACATAGTAAGATCTCATCTCTTAAAAATAGTTTAAAAAATTTAAAAATTAGCCAGGCATGGTGGTGCATGCCTGTAGTCCCAGCTACTCAGGAGGCGGGGAGGATCACTTGAGCCCAGGAGATTGAGGCTGCAGTGAGCTATGATCATGCCACTGTACTCCAACTTGAGTGACAGAGAGAGACCCAGCCTCTTAAAAAAAAAAAAAAAAGAAGGCCAGCACGGTGCCTCACACCTGTAATCCCAGCACTTTGGGAGGCTGAAGTCAGAGGGTCACTTGAGGCCAGGAGTTCGAGGCCAGCGCTGGCAACATAGTAATATGTGGTCTCTACAAAATTACATATAATAAAAAAAATAGATGGGCATGGTGGTGCACACCTATAGTTCCAGCTACTTGGGAGGCTGAGGCATAAGAATCACTTGAACCCGGGAGGCGGAGGTTGCAGTGAGCTGAGATCATGCCAGTATACTCCAGCCTGGGCAACAGAGTGAGATCGTATGTGCAAAAAAAAAAAAAAAAAAAAAAAATGCTTAATAATGAAGTCCTCAAATTGAGGCTTTTGAATTGTGGAGAAGAAGACATGCTTCCAATAACTACAAGCAGAGTATGACAAATATTGTAAAAATTCTATAAAAGTAAAGAAATTAAATAAAGGATGCAGCTGTGACTTCTGGTTTGAGACATGGGGTTGAAGAGGGTGTTGGGCTGATGTGGGGGTCACCGAACAGAAAGGAGGAGGAAGGGGCATTGCCCGTGGAAGGAAGAGCCCTGGTTGACACTCAGGAGCCCTCCTTGAGAGTCCTTGGGGACTCTCCGGAGACATAGGGGAACAGTTTGCAGCCGGAGAGCTTGACACCGAGACTTTATTCTCTTGCTAGTGGGCTGCACTAACCTAGAAATCTAGGCTTCCTTCTCCTGATCGCAGGGAGGCTTTGGGATTCCCTGAGCAGGGTGTTGGGCCGGCTGTCTTCAGCGTTCCCACACTGCAGACACTATGTTTTGGCTAAGATGAAACTGTCTGAATTTTGGAAATTACGGACTCGCTGGGAACTTGATCGATGATCTAAGCTACAGCAGGAATTTCTGAGTGACCCATACTTTTTCCCTTTTGAAAGTAAACGGACATATTATATCTAAATCACCCTCACTAAAGATCCAGACATTGTCTATTAAAAGATACCTCCTTTTTTCCAGGTCACATGTGAGGGTTTGCTGCTGATGAGATTTCCTCTCACAGAGCTCAGGGTTGGAAGGCCCTTCTCCCGGCCGAAGTTCCTCCCTGCTTTGAGCCCAGCAATCTCTGTGGGGCAGGGGAGGCTTCCCCAAAGGGACAGTGAGGGAGATGGCCTGTCCAGAGGCTCCCAGTCCAGGCCCACCAGCTCCCAAGGGCAGCCCGTTGGGGCAGGGACGGCTCTAGCAGTGGAGTCAGCGGCCATGTAGGCAGGTGGCTGAGCACCTGAGCACTATGCCCTGCGGTGTATCTCAGGGTGTCTGCGGGGACCCTGGGCACTCACTCCTCTGCTGGCCCTACAGGGGCCTCCATTCTCCACCCTGAGTCCAGGCTGGCTGGAGCCCATGGTCTTCCTCCACACCAGCCCGGAAGCACCTTCCGGAGGCCGGCCGTGTCCCTCCCCTCACTGGATGCCAGCAGCCTTTCCCCGTGGCTGCAGGCCTGTGCTCTGCTCACACCCACATTTTCCTTTGGGATGCTCTGTTCCTGCTCTCACCTGAGAAGCCCAGCTGGTGTCCTCCCCAAAGGCCTCCTTGTGTCAAAATCCTCTCAACCCACTGCTAAGCACAGCCATGGACCGGGTTGTGTGCACTGCCTCAGGATGGAGATACTGACTGTCATTAGGTTAAGATGAGGGCATTTAGGGTGGGCTCTAACCCAAGATCACTGGTGTCCTTATGACAAGGGGAATTTGGACACAGAGACAGACAGAGGGAAGACAGAGGAGGAGGCCCGTGGACAAGCCAACAGCAGGCCTCAGAGCCTTGGAGCGAACCCACTCTGCAAGCCCCTGGATCCGGGACTTCCGGCCTCAAGAACTATAACACAATTTGTTTTTAAATTCTGTTGTTTCAACCCAAGCATGGCACTTTGCTTCATCTGCCGTGGGAAGCTCGCACACCTGCTTTCCTACATTCCCTGTCCCAAATGTCAGCCTTGAGGTCTATGCATATGACTTTACATAAGGAACTCTTCTCTGCCCACAAGACAACAAGAAATACAATCTTGGGGGCAGCAGGTGGTCCCATGTGCTTCCCCCATGAGCCCCACAGCAGAGGGGCAGGGATGGGAGGGCACAGATACAGGGAAGGGGTCCGAGGGCCAGGGTCCCTGCTGTGATTCCTGCCCTCCTCCCACACCCAGCCTCCTTCAAAGACAAACAAGCAAGTGGCATGGTGAGGTCTCCTCTGAGGGGACTCAGGGAGAGTTGGGGGCTGGGTGGCGCCTCCCTGTTCTCATCCCCATCGACCCCACACTCAGCATTTCTAGACTAAAGCCCCACACAAGGAAAGGAGCCCATAATTAGCTGGAAATTCAGCTCCAGGCCTGCATTTGGCCCCCTGTAGATGTTTTAGCCTGGTGGATGAGATAGCATCGACAGGAAAAACAGCCCAAGATCTATCTGGTGGTCACCAGTATCAGAAGCACAGTGCACCGGAGCAGATCGCGTGCAAGGCCGCGATGGCGGAGTGGGAGGAAGGCTCCGCCCTGGAATCCCGGCTCAGTTCTGCGTTGGGTGGCACATTCACCTTCCACACAAATGCAGGATTCTATTCCTCAGGGCAACGTCTAAACAGAGCATCCTTATTCGGGTCGGCACAAATGGAAGATGAACTGAACCACACACTGACTTCTGGCCCAAAATACTATGTGAGTGTCTGTGCATTGGTTGTAAAAATAAAGCTATGGCTCTGAGCCCAGGTTCTTAGAACATCTGAGGATGGTGGAGATAAAACAGAAGAGAAGTGATCCGGTGGCCTCGGGCAGACGACACCTGCTCCTCCCAGGACTCCCAGTGCCACCCCAGAGGCCAGACACACACGTGTGTGCAGCCAGACGGGCCCCCGGCATCAGGCATGGCAAAGGTAACAAATGCAGAAAGGAAAATCCACGTGACCGACGGTGTGGGATGCACTCGGATGCAGGGACCCTGCGGCTCACCTTGTGGGGGGGTCCCCACTGTCCCTCACCCATGGGTGTCCTTGCTTGTTGAAGAGAATGCAAATATACTGATGAGGTCACCTTCCATAATTAAAAAAAAAGCATTGCAAGAAAGGGAGATAGGAGAGAGAAAAATGGGTAGGAAGGAAGAAAAAGGAGGGGGAAGAGGAGAGTGAGTAAGGAGGAGGGACAGGTGGCAGGAGGAACAGGGGAGCCAGAGGGAGGGTGTTGAATCCTGGGAAATGAGGATTGAGAGGGAGTGGAAACAGGAGGGCAGGGAGGATGAGAGGATCCTACCCAAGCCCCAGAACCCTGCGCAGCAGTTTTAAGACTGAGAATGGAATTCAGAGTCGGGAGGCCTGAGCTTCCATCTCAGTGAGATATGAGAATGCTGACTAGTTGTGTGGTTATGCAACACACAGAACTGTTTACCCTTCAGATGCAACATCTCTAGGGTGGCAGCATGTCCCGGTCCATGTCTGCTCATGCCTATGCATCTGCTTCTGTTTGCCTATCTCCATCTATCATTGATCTATCTACCCATCTCTGCCTCTCTATCGATCATCTATCTATCTATCAATCATCATCTATTATCTATCATCTATCTATGATCTATCATGTATCTATTATCTATCATTTATCTATCATCTATCTATCATCTATCACCTATCTATCATCTATCTCTCTATCATTATCTATCATCTGTCATCTATCTATCATTATCTATCAGCTATTATCTATCATCTATCTATCATCTATCTTTCTATCATCTATCCATCCATCATTACCTATCATCTATCTAATCATCTATCATCTATCTATTATTTTCTATCATCTATCATCTATTATCTATCACCTATTATCTATCATCTATTTATCACCTATCTATCATCTATATCTCTATCATCTATCATTATCTATCATCTATCATTTATCATCTATCTGTTATCTATCATCTATCTATCTTTCTATCATCTGTCTTTTTATCATCTATCATCTATCTATCTATCATCTATCTATCATCTATCCATCCAACATTACCTATCATCTATCTATCTAATCATCAATTATTATCTACCACCTATCATCTATTATTATCTATCATCTATCTATGTATCATGTATCTATTATCTGTCCGTCATCTGTCTATCATCTGATTGTCTCATCCCTCTAACTCTATCATCTCTCATCTGTTTGTCTACCGTCTATCTATATAACTATCCATTGTCTATCTACGTATCTATCTGAAAGTGCTTTGCAGTCAGCATAGCACCTATATGTTTTGAGACAGTTGGTCTTTCTGGGATCCGACAGATCTGAGTGGTGATACAGACAATGTGATTCAGACACTTTAGTTTCCCTCTGTCGGGAGCCACAATATCTCCATGGCCAGCAACAACTTCAGTGGAAACTCCAGACAACTCCAAATTGTGGAGGACAAAGGCTGCTTACCTATCACACCTTGACCTGCAACCATTGCGCATGAATGTTTGGCCTCCCCGCAGGGACTGTGTGTCAATCCTCCCATAGGGATGGAGTCAGGCTGCGTCCTCACGCCTCTGACAGGCATGCTGCACACATTGAACACTTTTGGTTAAAGACTCGTGTAAAATGCATCAAGCAGTCCAACT